>NC_000023.11:57607411-57923467 GCF_000001405.40 Homo sapiens | reverse complement strand
TAAGCATGAGGAGCTTGTCTTTTATCAGATTGGAAATAGTCTGAACACTATTTCTGTCCTGTCAAAGTGTAGAGATCTTATTCCTAGATTTAGACTGCCCTTAGGAATCGGCTCAGATAATGGGCCAGCGTTTGTGGCTGACTTGGTACAGAAAACAGCAAAGGTATTGAGGATCACATGGAAACTGCATGCTGCCTACCGACCGCAAAGTTCTGGAAAGGTGACCGAGTGTGGATCAAAGACTGAAACATAGCCCCTTTGCATGCACGGTGGGAAGGACCCCAGCCCATCATCCTGACCACTCTCACTGCTGTGAAGGTAGAAGGAATCCCGGCCTGGATCCACCTCAGCAGTGTAAAACCTGCAGCGCCTGAAACTTAGGAGGCAAGACCAAGACCGGATAACTCAGGCCGTGCTCCGCCTGTCAGATAGTAAATCCCAGGTGATGTACCTGCTGTCAGCAGATCTAGGCTTTCTTCTTGGACACCTTATACCCACAGTCCTCCAGGTGCCAAAGTAGGGCATCCGTTCCCTTGGCAAACCCGACTGCTGTGGGGTGTCCTAGCAGAAGGTCCTCGACGTACTGGAGCAACACGCACCCTGGGTCTCTGGCAGGAAACTTCTGGAAGTCCCGAACCAATGTTTCCTCGAAGAGATGGTGGGGGAGTTCTTGAACCTTTGGGGAAGGCGGGTTCAACTGTACTGAGTGGTGACACCCGACCCCAGATCTTCCCACTGAAAGGCAAACAGTTTCTGGCTCTCAGGGGCTAGTCTGATGCTAAAGAAAGAGTCTTTCAGGTCCAAGCAGGTGAACCAGCTGTCCTCAGCTGACAGCAACCCTAACAACATGTACAGTTAGGCACTGTTGGATGTAAACTCACTGTAGCTTGATTAACCAAGCACAAGTCCTGTACTGGCCTGTAGTCCTTGGTCCTTGGCTTGGGAACAGGCAGGAGGAAAGTGTAGTATTCTGAGGTCTGAACAGGCAGGAGTGGAAAAACACCCTTCCGAGTTCCTAGTGTAGCCTTCAAATTTTACAGACTTATACCTTACATGGTGTAATTGCCAATCCACTCTCAGTGAGAGGTGGTTTACTGAGGGTTGTGATCAACTGTGAAACAGAGTCTTGGTCAGGTTCTGCGAGGAGGATGTCACCGATATAATGCCAAAGCATAGTTTCTGGTGAAATTGAGGGGCAGGTGTCTATGTCCTGTTGGCAATGACTGTGCAATTGGAGGGCTATTAAGTATCCCCCAAAAAGCTAGCATCACAATGAAGATGAGGGGAAACAAATACCCCAAAAGCAAGTGGGTAAAGGCGTACTATTGACTCTCAAAGGTGGAAGTGAAATGTGTTTGACTCAACTGTGAAATTTTTACTAAACAGAACATGTTAGCCAAGTCTACAACTCCAGATTCAAATTCTGGTGGCTTTAGATGCCCTGGATTAATATAAACTTACCACTGATGTTTTGAATGACACCCATTAAGGCAACAATGTCCTATACAGGTGCTCTAATAAAGGAAACAGCCCTGCTGAACTCTCTATGGTCTATAGTCTCCACTGATTAGTAGTGTCTCTTAGGGCAGGCCATATGGGGAATTGATAGGTGAGGTAGTAGGAGTCAGTGTTCCTTGTTTATCTATGTCACCTGTGACAGGCCATAATCCTTCAGTGTCCTGCTTCAGCTTCTGCTGTGGTATATGAACCACCTGAACCAGGAGGGGCAGGTTAACTGGTTCCCTCCGGGAAGTGCCCACCAGTAGCATAAAAACCTTAGTCTTATGTCATGAGTTTATCTGCGGCCTCAGGAGGTCTCTTCCAATAATGGGGAAATGGATAATCTTGGAGGGGAGGCAAGCAGGACAGAAGCATATTTTTAGCAAAACTGAGCCAATTTTAATAGTTAAGAGGGGAATTATCCCTTTAATTAATCCCTTTAATTAACCCCCTTCCAAGCAGGTAGCCTACTTGCCAGGAGGGGGTTCCTTTTAAAGCATGTGTGTGTGTTGGCATTAGGGAGATTTGGGCACCCCTGACTGACAGAGTTAGCCAGTGTTGTTTGTCAGTGCCCAAGCCACAGTTAATATGGTGAAAGGGCAACTGTCTGTCAGAAGGGGCCTTCCGACACTGCAGGATCCCTGTGTGAGAGAAGATTCTTAGCCATTTGGCAAGCATCAGAGACAGGTGTGGAAGATAAGGTTACCTCCAAAGGGAAAGCCAGCTGGGGTGGGAGGGGGTCGTAATCTAACCCTAGTAAGTATTGCAATTGCTCCAAACATTCACCAGAGATCATCCAATTTGGGACCTTCTTGTGCCTTAGGGTCTAACATAACCTCTTTTCGTCATCTCGTGGTTGATGCATACATGGGATCCTGGCCACAGGTGGTTTGTTTGGCCCAGGAGGGGCAGCCTGAGTGGTGATAGTAACTTTGATTTAGGCCAGGTAGGGTATTATAGTGTTAGCAGGCAGCACCTGACTCTGAGTTTGTCTTTCATGAGTTTCTATTAAATCCAGTGCAGCTATGGTCTCTTGAATTGTTTTAGCAGTAGCCACCATGCCCAGTAAAGAAGATTTTCCCAGGAGCCCCGCCCCCCGAGGAACAATTGAGTGGACTCAGGACTCAATTCAGACTCCTCCAGTCTTGTCAAGTCATCCTGCCCCACCTCATTTGTTGCCTCCACTCCAACATGTCCAACTGGTGGAGGAGATGTTTGGCCTTGGCTAACCTTTTCCCTGGACAGTCTTCCCAGGCCATTATGAGGTCTAATGGTGGGCAGTCTTCTAATCCACAAAAATACACATCAGCAATAAAGATGTGAACAGAGGTCCAATGTGGCTTCTTCCCAAATTCTGCTCTAATTATACAGGTTCCTTTAGTGGGGACACAATTTTTCCATCATGTACTATCGCTCCTAATTGTTTAATTTCATTCCCCATTAGGTGGAATCAGTTCCCTGCCAGATGCATTCTGTAGAGCCAGGCAGCCCCTTGTTTATTTGGTTCTTGGCCTGGGTACTTAAGGAGAGACTGGGGCTCGGGTAAGAGAGAGGATAGGACTCCTCCTCTGAGCAGGAACAGACCCTTCCTTCTTGGCTCTCCCTTTTTTTCTTTTCCATTTTTATTACTTTCTGGGTGGCTACAGGCAAAGCAGAGGGTAAGTTTTCCCAGTCCCTACCGTGGTGACACTGTGCTGCCTTTTCTTCTGGAGAGCACCTATTCTCCTCTCCAGGGACCTCTTGTCCAAACTGTCTCTCCCAAGAGTTTGGGCTCTTACCTCTTCTCCAGGTGGCATCCTGGTGATAAATTGCTGCCAGCAAGGTCAGCACATGCCTCATGGTTAGGAATCCTTCTTTGACCTGACAGCAACCTCCTGTAGAGTTCCAGGAGGGGCAGGAATATAAACTTTTTTGCCTTCAGTCACTTTAAGTATCACTCTAGATAGCTCAGCCCAAAGGTCGAGATATTAATATCCCTCTGGAGAGGGGATAGCATGATGACAACTGCAACATCATAATTGAGTGTAACAACAGTAGAGCCATGCTACCTGCTTTCAAAGGCCTCTCTACCAGCTGCCCTTAGGAGACCAGCCTTGGCCTGATGTCTCTGCCTTATTGGCTCATTTGCTTGCCTAGCTGTCACCGGGGAGGAGGACATCCTCACATCTCAGACTACCCCAAATCCTCAACCCAGCCAAAGAGAACACTTCCCACCATAGCCTGTTATGCAGTCCAGGGTGGTTCACCCTTATTCCAGAGGCATGCACTCCCTCTTTTTCTATTCAGGTGCACAGGTGCACAATGTCCAATGTCAACTGAGGGGGGGACCCAGGTAAGTAGGCTGACCTCCTTCCCAAGTACCTTGGCATCTAAGACCCCAAAAGCCAGTTCTAGTGGTGTGGGTTCACTCAACTACTGGTGCTACCTCTGGGCCAGGTCAATGAGGTATAGAAGGAGACTGCAAAAAGTATATTGTTGCGGTACAGCAATGAGCGATGCTAAGCAAAACTGCTACAGAGGCATTCTAAATGTAGAGTCTGAGCACTTAAGGCTGCCTAGGACTGATTTTTCAATTGATTGTCCTACTGACTGGGTAGACGCTATGCCAATTTCTTGTTCACGAAAATCCCATCCTCCTCACCACTTGTGGTGAGTTCCAAGATTTCTGGGCTGATCAATGAAGAAGACATGACCACGAGGTGGCAGTAGCGCCCAAAAACATTTTTTTTTTTTTTTGAGAAGGGAGAAGGAGTCTCACTCTGTTGTCCAAGCTGGAATACAGTGGCGCAACCTCTGCTCACTGCAACCTCCGCCTCCCGGGCTCAAGTGATTCTCCAGCCTCAGCCTCCGAAGTAGCTGCGATTACAGGCTCCCGCCACAATGGCGGGCTAATTTTTGTATTTTTTAGTAGAGACGAGGTTTCACCCTATTGGCCAGGCTGGTCTCAAACAGCTGACCTCAGGTGATCCACCCGCCTCGGCCTTCCAAAGTGCTGAGATTACAGGTGTGAGCCACCGCGCCCAGCCAAGAAGCTTTTTATTTCGGCGGTGCTTTGACAGGTTGCCAGAAAGGGGAGGTCTCTCACATCAGACCTTCCAGAGGCAGCAGCAGAGGGCCACTGAGCAGAAGGGGAAGAAGGCAAGGTAACTCCTGGGGTAGAGGAGAATAGGAGAGGGCCTTATGTGTCTGGGCGATATGACTCAGCAGCAGGAGAGGGAGTCTCTGGGTCAGAGGGTTCTGGAGGCAAGCAGTGGCATGGGGTCTTTTATAGCCCCTGTGTTTTCTTTAAATGTGGCTAGCAGATGTCAGTGCAGTTTTGTGGGGCATGCAAGGCAGGCAAGCCCTAAGTGGCTACACATATGCTTACTTGAGCTATATTTAAAGCAATTGCATATGTGAAAAATTCGAGTTTGGCGTTGGCAGGCTTTCTGCCTGCTGTGAGGAAGTATAATGGCAATATAAAGGCTAATATATGGAGGTCATCTTTAACCCACTGATATAATAACATGCCACTTAGTCAGCCACTCTGATTAATCCGACTAGCATGGTCTGAGATAAAATCCATTCAATCTGTACTGTCAACAGTACTCTAAGCAGCAAGGTGAGATCAATCTGCAACGTTAACCCGAACTTAAAACGTTAAGCGCACACGTACAATACTACTGCTCCTGAGTTTTTATCTAAGAGAAATGAAAGCATAGGTCCACATAAAGACTTGTATGTGAATGTTTATAGCAGCTTCAATTGTACTAGTGAAAAACTGGAAACAATCCAAATTACCATACAATGAAATACTATAATATGACAAATAGTAATGAACTATTGATAGAAATAACAGCATGGGTGAATCTGAAAATAACTACGCTGATTTTAAGAAGACAAAAAAGAGTATACAGTGTATAATTCTATTTATATAAAATTCTATAAAGCACAAACTAATCTATAGTGAGAGAAAGTAGATCAGTGGTTGCCTAGGGACAGGGATGGGGATGGGTAGGGAGGGAAGCAACATAAAGGGGCATGAGAAAGCCTTAGGAGGTGATGAAAATGATTGTCATTTTGAATGTGGTAAGGGCTTATGATTATTGGTAAGGAGTTATGCTCATAAAATATAAATAATTTGTATTTTATAAATTATATAAATTACATATAATTTCTTTTAGTTTTAAATTTAAGGAATGGCAACATGTCTTGCGTCAAAGAACCCTTAAAGCAACACCTAAGTACTGCAAAATCTTTGACGATGTATTTGCCAGTTAACTTATCTTTAAACATCAATAATAAATAAAAATGGTCAAGACTTATTTGTTTCTATGTGTTTATTTTAGTGTGCTATTGCTTTTTCACATTCTGGGTCATATTTTCAAAGTATTGTTTCACATCGTGTAAATGTATGTTTTTTTTTTCACTATTAGTAAAGAGCATCTCAAGAAAGGTCCTACTTTCTACTTTGATGGTATAGGAGCATGTTTGACTCAGATATGAACCACTTGTGGACAGAGTTATGGGTGAGAAATCTGATATTTAAGGAACACTCTGGATTAGTTTCCACTGGTGAGAAAATAAAAAAGTGATGAGCACTTTTTCCAAATACCACGTGATGAATCAAGTACTCAAACATGCTAACTGCATTTAGACTATTCTATTACCAAAATATTCCAATCAATGCCTGTGGACAGTTTGTAAACTGTCATTCCCAATGCCTCCTCATTCTTCAAGTTCCCACTGAAAGGTCTCATAGCTTGTCAGACCTTTGGGGGAAGTGCTTTTTTTTTTTAATTAAAAGTTAAGTCATGTGCAGGGCAGAGTGAGGCAAAATGCAGCCAGTGGTTAGGACCTAAAGACCTCTCCTTCACCTGGGCCTTGAGAGTTTGAGAGAAGCTCAGGAAGAAAAGCCAACCATCTGAGTCCAGTGGGCTTTGAAGCAGTGGTCTTGCATCTGTACATGTGGGATAAATGATGTGAAAACCATTAACTCTGCTGCTGATCCAGCTGCAGGGAAAAGCATTTCCTCTGATCAAGGTGAACATCTGGCTGGTGGACCTCATTTTGCACCAGGTCCTGATCAATGAGCTGAGCCTGAGTCCACAGTTCACCTGATGGAGAACTCAGAGTCAAAGCCCAGGCCCAAGTGAGGCTGTCTGACTGCTGCTTGAGGGCCTAGGGACCACACCCCTGGAGTCAGGAGGGCAGAGGTGAGGATGACAGTGGAATGGCCAGAAGGTAAAGATACATGTGAATATTCTATCTCCATTAGGTCACATGGATGAAAGGCAAGAGAAAAGTAGCATATACATTTTTGAGAAGTTAAAGCTGATAGGACACAAAGATGGTTGATTGTTCTACAGACGTGGAAGGCAGGGGCTTAGGTCCTGTAAAGTCCCCCACTGAGCAAATAACTGAGACAGTACTTCCTAGTGATGCATTCTGCTGTCAAACAGTGTGAAATTTTCCTGGAGAAGGCTCAGGCCATCAGTCCCTGGTCCATCTTCTGGCCCCACAGAGATGCTGATCGAACACCCTCCACAGGGAGAGCATTGCACAAGTGATTCCCTTTTTAGAAATTCTTCTAAGCCAGTCAGAAGAAGACAAGCTTGCAGATGGAAGGGAATCAGAACCTGGGCAATATCTTGTAGTGGCCGAGCTATCCCTGTGTGTGGTTTGGAGTGTTTTCACTAAGACAAAACAGTGGGAGAAAGAAAAACCCTACACCCATACAAACTTTGAGGGAATACTGGAGCTTATTGTAACAGACACTGGTCATGCTATGAAATTTTATTACCTTTTCTGGAGGGGTCGCAGGGCTTTGTGTTTGGGCTGCTTTCCGTGGTGCAGTAATTGTCAAGCTTGCCAAAAGTGTGACAGAATCACGGAATTACCCTTGGCAGAAACGCAGAATTACTCCTAACCTCTACTCTCATCCTCCACCTGGACCAGACAGAGAAACAACTTCTTGAGTTTTCAGAAACTACCAAATCTTGGCTCTAGCTCCGCATCCTTGGCCAGAGCATGGAAGGTTGGGGTGAGGGACACGGTGAACAAAAACTGCATCCTCGAGCTGCTCGCACTTCCTCTTTCCCTCTTTGGTCTTGTGTGTGGGGTCAGAGGTTACCAGGCAGGGGTCACTAAGGTTGTCAGTGGGAGGATGTGAGCCCTAGTGGGTTCCTCCCAGGCAGCTCAACATGGGAGGCTCCCAATTCCCCTTTCTCCTGCAAGGAAAGATACCACAGCTGTGTCATTCTCCTTCAGAGACTGCAGATTGGAGGTCTGTTTTTCCACAAAACCTAGTTCTAAGACATTTCTAGCAAGTGAGAGTGACTGATTGGAAGTCTAGTGGTGACAGCTACCCATGGGGCAGGCTTAAATAGCGACTCCTCCTTGTAGTGAACGAATTTCAGATTTCACACAAGAAGGGCAAAACCATGGGCTATTTTCTCCCATGAATTTTTGCCTATTTTGGGCCCTAAATCAAATTGAGAAAAGTGTGACTAAAACACTCAAACTGCCAATATAGTTAGAGATATACACTTTGTGAGACTAACTCGGGAATCTACTGCCCTGCTTCTGCAAGGATAAGGCTCTGTAAGGCATGACTTGAAATGAAATCCAAGCACCTTTTATCTGTTTAACTCTGGTGCAGGAGAACAGAGCAGCATTTAAGGTATAAATTAAATTAGTCTATTCCTGAAGAGAACATTTGCTACTCACATTTATGGTGGAAGATGCAATCTCACAACACAACAAAGCTCTCCTTGTGAGTGGAGCAGGCCAATACTGGGTAGGGCTAGACTATAGGGCTCACAGGCTCTATGCCCTAAGCTACTGATGCCCCTTTGTGCCAGAGGCTGGGTTTTGCAACAAACTCAGTTCAGGTCTGGGAACACTGGGCCCACCGAGAATCCTAAATAGTCAACTAAAATCCCTGAAATACCCAGGCCTGTTTCTTTAATCATTAGTATTGTTTGCATACCTTTAGGAGGTACAAGCGCAGTTTTGTTACATGGTTATATTACCCACTGGTGAAGTGTAGGCTTACCAAAGCAAAAACAGGGTGGTAGATAATCTCCCTTGTGCAATCAACAACTATAACCCTGGCAGGTAGGGTGCCTACTATTCATACTGACTACAGAGAGCCTGGACTCCTCTAACCTGATAAAGGATATGAAGCCAGTTATCTATTTATTACCTCTTAGCTCCAAATTCACCAGTCAATATATATTCTTCGATAATAGAGGGATTCTTTAAGCATCTCTCCTTTAAAGTAGCATCAAAGAGCACGATGTTACACTTACTTAATAGAGGGCTCTGGAGGGACAGACATTGAAAAAGGAAGGGTACTTCTATGATTTCTGGCTCTCAGAGGTGTGGAGGTAAGGACATTCAGGATGCTTTGTCCCAGGCCTGGGCCCAGAACAACTGTCCCTCAGTAAACCTGCAGTCCTGGTGTGCCCTGATGATCAGCTTCTTGTGGCCCTCTTGATAGGGACATCCTGTACTCCAAGTCATCTGCCCACTGCTTCCCTCTGCTCACTTGCTCCGCAGCCACACACACACACACACACACACACACACACACACACACACGACCAGGTTCATGTAGTCCTTTCAATACTGCAGCCCTCTCAACACCGAGCCCCCACCCTGATCCTGTGCAAGGGGCATTGTTTACTCCAGGCCTCCAACTGAGACAGGACTCCCAACCCCTACTTCACACCACATACTAGGCACCAGCTATGGCTTGTCCACACTACCATGCTCCAAAGGGTGCCTTCTTGCTTCCTCTGCGACCGTAGACCAGTTCTGCCTCTGTAGACCAGCTTAGGTACTGGCAAACCAGTGGAACTTCTCTGCCATCCAGTAGGTTCTTCTCCAATTAGGTATAAAATCCATCCTTGGGGAGAAGCTTTCATTCTAAGCTTGTCTTTCCTTGGGTACTCTCTCCCAGCCCCAGAAAACCCCACATAGAGTTGTCTTGTATCCTATACAAGATCTTTTATCATCGCTTAATGATTCTTTATATTAAATTTTCCCCTTCTAGATCACTGTGTGCTTTCTATCTCCTGATTGGATCCATATTGCTGCAGAACACAACATCTACAGCAAGCATCATTCTTAATGGAGAATCACTGAAAGCTTTCTCTTCAAGAGCTACATCAAGTAAGGATATCCACTATCACCACTTCTATGCAATAGTTTACTGGGGGTAGGGGCGGGGTCCCAGGCAGAGCAGTAGGGCAAGAAAAAGGAATAAGATATTTGGAAAGGAAGAAGAAAGACTGGAACTATTTTCAGATGATATGACAGTGTATATAAAATTCTACAAAGTATTACAGACAAATTATTAGAATCGATAGAAGAGTTTATATGCTTATAGGATAAAATCTTAACGAACAAAAGCCAATTGTATGCTATTTAGAGCTATAAATTTAGACAATAAAAATTTCAAACATATGATTTGCAAAATATTAAATGCCTAGGATAAAAAAGTTGCCTTGTGGGAAAAATATAAAATAATATTTGGGCAAATTAAAGGTGATCTTATTAACAGAAGAGATAGACCATAACCACGAATCGAACATTCAATATTGAGAAGTCAAATCTAAAATATCAGCACAATTCAAATTAGAACCCCAAACTAGCTGTTGGTTGAAGTTTTTACGATTAGTTTATAATTTAAATGGAATTGAAATGGACCAAAAGTAGCCAAGACACTTTTGAAGAGCAAGGTAGAATTGATTTGCCTAATCCAAATATCAGAATTGACTATGGATCTGTAGTAATTAAGACAGTGTGGTATTTCAAACAGACAAGTGCTTAATAGAGAGTATAGAACTAGCCCACATATGTGTAGATACTTGATTTATGGCACTGTAAATCAACTGGCAAAAGGCAGACTTTTCAATAAGTGGTTCACTGAGAAAACTGGATATTCACTTACTTACATACATATATACATAAATGGAACTCTACTTAACACAATACACAAACATCAATTGCAGGTGGATTAAGACCTGACTATGAAGGACAATAGCAGACATATTTTAGAAGAAAATATAGAGAATGCTTTCATGGTCCAGGGTTCCTTAAAACAGAAAAGATTTCTTAAAACAAAAAAGCACTAACCATCAGGAAAAGAATGATGAAATTGACTATATTATAATTAATAGCTTCTGTTCACAAACCGGAGCACAAAGCAAGTGAATATACAAACAGAGCAAGGGAGTATTTTGGCCGCAGGTGTGGAAGAGTATTTAAAATATTTAACAGACTCATTAAGTCAGTATCAGATGAACAATAAAATAGAAACGTGGGTTAAAAGAGGTAAATTTGAATAGGCCTTCCTCAAAATAGAAACTCCAAAAGGCTCATTAACACAAAAATGTGCTAAAGCTTAATAGTAATTTGGATATTGCCCACCAGTAGACCGGCAAAATTTAAATTCGGGCAATACTTGGTGTAGGTGAACATGTGGATCAGTAAGGACTCTCTATGCTGCTGGTGGGATTGACAACTCTCCCAATCACTACAGAGAACAATTTGGCATCATCTAGTAAAGCTGAGGATATCCATTCCCTATGGCCCTGTGATTCTATTCTTGGATATATACCCTAGAGAGATTTTTACACGTGTCCCATTAGAAATGTGCAAGAATGTTCACAATAATCATTGAAAAGTAGAAGCAATCCTAATCTCCATCTGCTGTAGAATGGAGTGGAATAATCATACAATAATCACTTTGCTATAAGCATATGCTGGAAAGACAGTCGATGGAGACAAAGGATCTACTTACTTATAGCTATTATGAACAACATGGACGAGTCTCTCAAGTATAATACAGAGTGAAAAAAGCAAGCTATAAAAGGAAGCATGCCGTATGATTCCACTTATACAACTTCATATCAACTCTATTGTTTAGGGATGCGTACAAAAGTGATAAAGCTATAAAGGAAAGCAGTGAAATGATTATTACAAAGTCGGAGCAATTACTATATCTATATAGGAGAGTGTGGTTTGTGACTGGAAGGAGTACAGCAGCTGTATTCTGGGAGGTTGGCAGTGGTCTATTGCTTGACCTTGGTCCTGGTTAAGTAGGTGTCTGCTTTTGTAAAATAATCTAAACTATACAGATACGTTATATGCACTCTTCTAATTTCAGATTTGAAAAGTGCTTCCTCCAGAAAAAGTAATAGAAAGAAAAGTATGTGGAGTAGAAATTTTGATGAGGTTCGAATAGTTATGGTTGAAAAACTTGATTTTCAAGAGACCAAGTGTCCACTGTTATTAAAAGAGGGCGAGAGAGCTGGGAGTATTTAAACAACAGGTTACACCCCCCCACCCCCACCACCACCAATCTGTTCATCACTCTAAGCCTTCTCATCTCAGATATTTCACCCTATATTTGTGTCAATTCCAAACTCATTCGTGACAGACAAATTGGAGGATTGTCGTCATCATTAATAAGGACATTAGGCACCAAAGGCCCAGCAAGACTGGGCCACCACACTTAAATGTGAGCAGGTACACCGGGGCGAGTGGACAAGATCGTCTGTGCACATTACTTGGCAGAGTCCATTGAGTGACTGAGGGTTTAACCTTAACACATTTAACTGGAACTCCTGCCCAGAGAATGTGCTGGAGAATGCAGAATAAACTGAGCAATGCCCTCATTGTGCTATGAGAGTGGACATGAAGTTTATCATGGTACAACCGATCGTCGAAGGGCAAAGAGTTGGTTTAGGTTGTGCACTGTATAGGGAGAAGCCAGGGGCGGGTTGGGTTTTTTTCCAGATTTCAGTATAAATTGTTTCATCCTCCAGACTTTGCATTTGTAGGCTGAAGAGTGCTAATCTGTTTTGGCCGCATCTCTCACTCATTCTAATCTCTGTTATCAGCAGACAAAAATTGAACTATGTGGCAAATTGTACCGAGCACTTTGCTCAAGACAATTGTGAGTATGGAAGTTGTCCCGCGCAGAGGTGGGAAGGGGAAGGGCAATTTCCGCAGAAATGCCAGCACTATGGTGGTTTAATGCTGACACAGAGACAGTTTTTTCTCTCAGGAATTGTCTTTCATCCATCAATCCAGCCAGGTAGCCAGCCAATAAACAAATTTTAACACACAAAAAGTATGAAGCAACATGTCTAACACTGGGAGGGGCTGGCGTGTGTTTATTTGGGTATATACAATGAGTCACGGATTAAAATTGCTTTTACCAGATAGATACCTAGGTGTTCCACAGCATTATTGAACAAGATGTCGTCATTTCCCCATTACTTCAGAAGACCTCCTTAATTACTTATATTAATTGTAGAATATATTTATGCATACCAGGCTCTACCTCTGGGCTTTCTATTCCGTTCCAGAGACCCAGTACCAGAATATTTAAATCACTGTGGCGTTGAATACATTTTAATATCTGATAGGGCCAGTTTCTGCGCATTGCACATTTTTTTTTCCCCTTTCAGGAACGTGTTCAGGCCCGCGGCAGGGGGCGGGATCGCGCCTCCTCCTCGGCTCTGGTTCCAGCCGAGCCTCTCGGACGCAGAGATGGAAATCCCGAAGCTGCTCCCGGCTCGCGGGACACTACAGGGCGGCGGCGGCGGCGGTATCCCCGCGGGTGGCGGCCGAGTCCACCGAGGCCCTGACTCGCCGGCTGGCCAGGTCCCCACGCGCCGCCTCCTGCTGCCCCGGGGCCCCCAAGATGGCGGGCCCGGGCGGCGGCGCGAGGAGGCCAGCACGGCATCACGGGGCCCTGGCCCAAGCCTGTTCGCGCCGAGGCCCCATCAACCTAGCGGCGGCGGCGACGACTTCTTCCTGGTGCTGCTTGACCCGGTGGGTGGCGACGTGGAGACCGCGGGCTCCGGTCAGGCCGCAGGGCCTGTGTTGAGGGAGGAGGCCAAGGCGGGCCCGGGGCTCCAGGGGGACGAGAGCGGCGCGAACCCCGCGGGCTGCTCTGCGCAGGGCCCCCACTGCCTGTCCGCGGTTCCCACTCCGGCCCCGATCTCCGCCCCCGGCCCCGCCGCGGCCTTCGCGGGCACAGTCACTATCCACAACCAGGACCTGCTGTTGCGCTTTGAGAACGGCGTCCTCACCCTGGCCACGCCCCCACCACACGCCTGGGAGCCAGGGGCCGCTCCTGCCCAGCAGCCCAGGTGTCTGATCGCCCCCCAAGCTGGGTTCCCGCAAGCCGCGCACCCGGGTGACTGCCCAGAGCTGCGGTCCGACCTCCTGCTAGCCGAGCCCGCAGAACCCGCGCCTGCTCCGGCGCCCCAGGAGGAGGCGGAGGGCCTGGCCGCCGCCCTGGGCCCCCGCGGACTGCTGGGCTCTGGTCCAGGCGTGGTGCTGTACCTGTGCCCCGAGGCGCTGTGCGGGCAAACCTTCGCCAAGAAGCACCAGCTGAAGATGCACCTGCTGACGCACAGCAGCAGCCAGGGCCAGAGGCCCTTCAAATGCCCCCTGGGTGGCTGCGGCTGGACCTTCACCACCTCTTACAAGCTCAAGAGGCACCTGCAGTCGCACGATAAACTGCGGCCCTTCGGCTGCCCTGCGGAGGGCTGTGGCAAGAGCTTCACCACCGTGTACAACCTCAAGGCGCACATGAAGGGCCATGAGCAGGAGAACTCGTTCAAATGTGAGGTGTGCGAGGAGAGCTTCCCCACGCAGGCCAAACTCGGCGCCCACCAGCGCAGCCACTTCGAACCCGAGAGGCCTTACCAGTGCGCGTTTTCTGGCTGCAAGAAGACATTTATCACAGTGAGTGCTCTGTTTTCCCATAACCGCGCCCATTTCAGGGAACAGGAACTGTTTTCCTGCTCTTTCCCTGGCTGCAGCAAGCAATATGACAAGGCTTGTAGGCTGAAAATTCACCTGCGGAGTCACACCGGCGAGAGACCTTTCCTTTGTGACTTTGATGGCTGTGGCTGGAACTTCACCAGCATGTCCAAACTCTTAAGGCACAAAAGGAAGCACGACGATGACCGGAGGTTCATGTGCCCTGTGGAAGGCTGTGGGAAATCTTTCACGAGGGCCGAACATCTGAAAGGCCACAGCATTACCCACCTGGGCACAAAGCCTTTCGTGTGTCCTGTGGCAGGCTGCTGTGCCAGGTTCTCTGCTCGCAGTAGCCTCTACATTCACTCCAAGAAACACCTGCAGGATGTGGACACTTGGAAAAGCCGTTGCCCGATCTCCTCTTGTAATAAACTCTTCACATCCAAGCACAGCATGAAGACGCACATGGTTAAAAGGCATAAGGTGGGCCAGGATCTCTTAGCTCAGCTAGAAGCAGCAAATTCTCTTACACCCAGCAGTGAACTTACCAGCCAGAGACAGAATGATCTCAGTGATGCAGAGATAGTGTCTCTCTTCTCTGATGTACCTGACAGTACTTCTGCTGCATTGCTGGACACAGCATTGGTGAACTCTGGAATCTTGACTATTGATGTGGCTTCTGTGAGCTCGACTCTGGCAGGGCACCTCCCTGCTAATAATAATAATTCCGTAGGGCAGGCTGTGGACCCTCCGTCCTTGATGGCCACCAGCGACCCTCCTCAAAGTCTGGATACCTCTCTCTTTTTTGGAACGGCGGCCACTGGTTTTCAGCAGAGCTCCTTAAATATGGATGAGGTCTCAAGTGTAAGTGTGGGGCCATTGGGATCTCTGGACTCTTTGGCCATGAAAAACTCCAGTCCAGAGCCTCAGGCTTTGACACCCAGCAGTAAGCTAACAGTGGACACAGATACTCTGACTCCTTCGAGCACCCTTTGTGAAAACAGTGTCTCAGAACTACTGACACCAGCCAAAGCGGAGTGGAGCGTACATCCTAACTCTGACTTCTTTGGACAGGAGGGAGAAACCCAGTTTGGATTCCCCAATGCAGCAGGAAACCATGGTTCTCAGAAAGAAAGAAATCTTATCACTGTGACTGGCAGCTCATTTTTGGTATGAAGCAACTCTATTCATTCCTTGCCATGTGGCTAACTTTTATTACAGTCAATTTTGAGGATATTCTGGACTAAATATTTAAGTGCAGTCATTTCTTTTTGGTTTGCAAAAAGAGCACAGCCCTGGACTATGAGTTTGGAGATCTAAATTCTGATCTTGAGTCTGGAACTGACAAGTTGTGTGACCCTCAGCAAGTCACTTAACCTATCTGAGCCTTAATTTCCTTATTTATAAATTGTGGTGGTTTGAACACATTGCTCATAAGGTCTTTTCAGTTTTGTTTTGTTTTGTTTTGTGATTTTGTGCTTTTTCTTGAAAATTTTCGGGCATTTTGCAATTATTATTGTTTGTACTTGTAATCAGAAGCGGTTTGAGCCCTGTAGCACTAAATAATGAAAGATTGAGGAACTGGTGTTTTACATTAAAAATTTAATGGAAATTTTACACAGTACGAAAATCTAATGATAGAGCTCAAAAAAAAAGAGCTAAAAATAGGAGTTGGTTCTTCTTAGCTGTTTATCCTTCTAACCTTTTTTTTAAATGATGAAGGTATGTTTTTGTTGTGGAAAATACAAGGGCTTTTGTTATCACTCAGACCCAGAGTGAAATGTTTGCTTTGTGGTTTTGAATAAGTTGGCCTTTAATAAGTTATTTAGTCTCTCTTAGCCTCAGTTTTCTATCTGTAAAATGGTCATAGCAATGTGAACATATGTGTTACATCCTAGACTTATTTTTCTACCCCAGTAGGTTGTATTGAAAGGAAAATGTTATATGTGTTTCAGCATGTTTTGGTGAATCTTCATTCCCTTTCCTGCCCCTTGTTTTCCCTCCTCAAAGGGGAGAAATTAGCACAAATTAGTATCAGGATTGTGCAGGAAATAAACATTTGTGAAGGTTAAGAAAGAGGAAAAGGAAGTTATTTCTTCAACAGATTAAGGATTTTTCTACACACAGTTCTTTTGTGGCATTGGCCACATGTCCATTAGACCAATTTGATAGTATCTTCGGTCTGCATTCAAAGCCAGCTCATGCAATGAGTATTCAGCCTATTCTTCCAAGACAATCTGGACATAGACCAGAGGGAGATTTTTCTCCCCTCTGTGCCCTAGAGAGCTCATTGCTGGCTTACTCTTAGAGTTGAAATGAGAGGGTTTTGTCTGCATTTTGAGTAGATACCATCTATCTTATGTGAGTATAGCATTTTACAATTTAGCACTTTCACAACTATTATATTTGATCCTCACAATCCTGTGAGGTAATTATGGCAAAGTCAGATCTACAATTCATATTAAAATTTACCTAGCTCAGATTACAAATGTATTTCACTTAGTAATGTGTGTGTGTGTGTGTGTGTGTGTGTGTGTGTAGCTCAAAACAAAGAGGAAATATTTCCCACTCTCCCATTCGACTCTTGAGTTTCATGACTATTTTGTTTATAACTGTTTGCTGCCTCCCACCTTAATTGATTTCTCTTACATTCTTTGTACTCCATGCTATTTCCTTGTAGGTGTACACCAGTCCTTGCCATGAATCTCTTTTACTTACATTTAAATTAGACACGTCTCTTTCATGGTCACCATCTCTCAGCCATTCTTCTTATGGCCCATTTTTCAGTCACAGTATTACTGCAAGTATGTGTGTACATTGAGAAGTAATTTTCTGGATTTAGATGGCAATGTGTTTATACATGAATCAGATAATAATGGAGACATTTTATATAAGGTGTTAGTGAGAAGTAGTTCTACTTTTCCTTTTTTACAGTGTGGTCCTGGTAGCAAACACTATTAGTTGCTTTCAACTATTGTAACCCAGTATTGTTTACATGTGGATACTTGGGGATAACAATTATTATGGCACTTTAACAGTGCACTTTAATATATACCACCTTGATATACATCTTTACTGTCTTTATAATTTTTAAGTTGGTTGTACTTATTCAATGAAAAAGCAAAAAATACACATAAATTTGTAATTCAAAGAAATAGAATTTTGTGTCTAACCATTTAACAGTTCTCCCTTAGTATTTTAGAAAGATTTTAAGCCATTTTAGAAATGTGTTGTCATTAGTTAAGTCCTCTTAAATAGATTATTATTATTTTCCTATAGAAAATGCAGAGGCCTGAGGTGAACGCAAGGGTCATAGGCATCCATTAAGATACATAACTATATAGATATCTTAAAACTCTGTCACATTGTTTCCTTAATCCCTTAGACCTATTTCCTCCCATGAAAACTATCATAAGCTATGCTTTTGTTATGGTCTATAGAATTTTCAAAGGACAAATTTTTTTTTTTTAGGATAAAGATCTTGTGATTGTCCGTGGGCTCACATGGTTTCTTTTGTTCAATTTTTTCAAAAGATTTCTTTTTCAATACTGTTGTCCCACCATGATAGTTGACATGGCATGTAATTACAGACAGAAGTGTGACTGTAAACATATTAGTGTTTCTGTTAGTGTTGGCATAAGCTTGCCTTTTTGTTTAAACAATGGAACATGATTTAATTTTATCTCATTTGCCTTTTGTTTATCTTCAGTCCTTGATTTATTAACATTTTGCCAATTGAAAACACAATAAAAAATGCCTTGCAGGAAGGTTTGATTCTGGGGGATCCTGATGAGCATATTTATCATGAGTTTAAATATGTTAATCTTGACATTTTTACCAGTTATCTCATTATAGTGTTACGTAATTGAAAGCCTTGAATAGTAAAAGTGAAACTTGTTGAAATACGAGGATCATCTTTCTCTGTGGATTAAATGCTTCATATTCTCATCCAAGAAAAATAAGATAAGGCATTAGTATAACAGGGTATTTTTGACTGTTCCTTGATTCCACATAAAGCAATGATTAACTCCCTGATGGGAATATTCATAATCCCTTGGTAATTATTGGTATCAAACAGATCCACTTGATAACTTCATGATGATATAAACTAAACTAAATGCAACTCACTCAAAATATGTGACAATTGAAATGTAAGGCCGAACTGAAATTTATGTATATATATAAAAAACTGAAATTTGTATATATTATATATGTAATTGAAATTTATATGTATATATTATATATAAATTTATATATAATATATATTTTTATATTTATATATTATCTATATAATAATATATATAAATTTATATATATATATATATATATATATATATATATAGCTTTTTTGAAAAATAGATTTGCTTAACAATTTTTTAAAAAGCAAGTTGTATGCTAGGGTTTAAAGCAGGAGTCCCCAGCCCCCAGGCCATGGACAGGTACTAGTCCATGGCGTATTAGAAATTGTTCTGCATAGCAGGAGGTGAGTGGCCGCCAGGGAGCAAAACTGAGCTCCACCTCTCGTCAGATCAGCAGTGGCATTAGATTCTCATATAGGAGCACAAACTGTTGTGAACTGCGCATGGGAGGGAGCTAGATTGCACACTGCTTATGAGAATCTAATGCGTAATGATATGTCGCTGTATCCCATTGCCCCAAAATGGGACCATCTAGTTGCAGGAAAACAAGCTCAGGGCTCCCACTGATTCTACATTATGGTGAATATGTAATAATAATATAAAGTGCACAATAAATGTCATGTGCTTGAATCATTCCAGAACTATCCCCCCATCCGTGGAAAAATTGTCTTCCACTAAACTGGTCTCTGGTGCCAAAATGGCTAGGGACCAAGGGTTTAGATAACAGATTGTTTAAGCACAAAAAAAACTATAAAAAGCAAAGCAATCATTAAAAATGAATTTTATATGTTTACAAAATCTAAATAGATGGGGCCTCTGGTAACAATTTTTAAGCTATGGTCCCCTCTGCATATTTCAAGTTAATTTACTGACTCCTTACAGAATGCAAGGTAGAATACTAGGGATATAGATAAGAAGAGTAAAATATGAGCCATATCTTAATTTTGGAGAGGACATAGAAATTCACCTATTAGCCATTTTACAACTAAACAAAATCAACAAACATGTTTTCAGGCACCAAATGAGTGGCTTGGAGTGAAAGGAGGGGCAGGAGCTAGAGTTTAATGGGTGGTTACATTTAGTTATATAAAGAAGAGTGTTGGTGAATTCCAGCCTGGGAGAAAAGCACAAAGAACTCAAAATGGAATTAGCCACACAACACTGTGAAAAACAGCCTAACTCAAATTCAGGGCTCATATTTGGTAAGTGCTGGGTGTTAGGGTTAGACTGCCAGTATGGAGCCAAATTCCGGAAGGCAATACAAACCAGTCAGAGTAGATAGGACTTTATTCTGGATATGATTGAAAGCCAGTGAAGATATTTGAGAAGGGAAGTCAAATATGATTATATAAAAATATTAATATAGTGGACATGTATAATGTGGATACGATGGGGGAAATAGTGCCGTCACATAGGAGTCTGTTGTAGTAATTCCGGAGTGTTGTGATGAAGGCTTGGACTGAAGTGGTGACGAGAAGAGACAGAGATATAGGTGATGTGTCCTAATTGAGGAAATGAATATAATTTGGTGACTTATTGAATGTATAGGACAACCATCAGAAAGAGAAAGGAAGATTAAAAATGTCCCTAAGGATTTCTTGGATACTATAAAAATTACACTTGATTAATATGAACAAAGTTGTGTAATAAAATATTTTCAGGAATATTTATGCAAAGACGATTAGGACATGCTTAATTTATCAGGAAGTGATAAACTATGGCTATCTCTGAATAAATCATGCATAGTCTAGATTATCCACACTGTTAGACGACTTTATCTTGTTTGGCTCCCTCATGTGTTCTTAGATTCACATTTGATGTTTATAATGTTATTTCCCTTTGAGAATCTGCAGGACTCTTCAACCTTGTACAATATAAGCCCAGACTACTCTGTATCAAAATGAGCTATGTCGTCGCTGGCTTCCATTTCTTTCTTACTACTGCCTTCTGCTACTACAGATATTCAACAGGTATTTTTTATTTGGTGCTTATTAATATAACAAATCAGATCTCCATAATTTGGAAGATACTGCTTAGTCATTAATTTCAATAGTTTCTCATGCTAAACTGTGTTAGATTGAGTTTTAACTGCATTTCTCTTAAATTGGAAGAGATAGGACTAGGATTGCCCAAAAACCAACTTCGATGTGATACTTGGGCTTCTTACTCATAATCCTCTCTTTCATTAGCTAACATGGCAAGTGATGATGTATGGAAACTCAATTACAGAAGTCACATCCTCTTTTCTCTTTACACCCTAATGTAACACATTTTATAGTTACCCTGACTACTAATGGTGATAACTCAGTGAGCATGGAGTGCAAAAAAAGAGAGAGTAAATAAATAGTATAATTACCTAGCAATTACATTTTGTTCGGTGGTGACTTTGCTGTCCTGCATTGTCAACAGAACAATACATTTCATTCTAGTTTTCTGCTGACATTTATGCACATGCAAAACACATTAACCATCATTCTGCCTATGGAAAATACCTTAACTCAGTATTTTAAACAAAGGAGATAATTATTCTTATGAGCACTAACTGTGAATCCTTAGACTACCTCTTATCATTACCAGCTTATTAAGCAGCTGGTGGTTATTGAGTGCCTACTCTGTGTGAGGCACTATGAAGTATAACACAAAAGTATGTTGCATTACTTTATTCAAACAAACATTTTTAGCACATATTTGACAAATTCTGCCCTTTACCCACACATATTACAAGCTAGATAGAAACAAAAATTCAGCAAGCAATGACAAATAATATATAATCAATTTCTAGATGGTTATGTATTAGAATTATACAGATTCAGATAGAATGGCAGTTGTTATTTTCACGGTATGGACAGAAAATTATGAGGAATATTTCAATGTGCAGATTATCAGAAGTTTTTTCAAAAAGTTCTAAGAATCTAAAATGTAAGCTGCAATACAGCAATTAGGATAAACTGTCCTAAATTAAAATTTAAACAGAATTGTGACTGGTAGCTTTAATTATAGCAAAATACTATGGGAAATAACTTGTAAATTATGCTATATTTTGATTTGCTCTAGATTGGAATCCCGGATATATTAAGTATAAAACCTGAGAGTGATCTTTTGGAAATTATATAAAACAAACATTTTGTTTCCAAATGAGAAAACCATAGCATATAAATAAATGATTTTACACCTGTAATTTTTGAAATAATTTTTACTTTCCTTATATTGGACACACAAGCAAATTTTAATTTTCTGAAACAAAAAAACAAGACTTTAATTAGAAAGTAGTTATTTTATATAGGTATGCTAGCTGAAAATAAGGCTATAAAGACTTCGTTTGATACTTGGGAATGACAACTACTGGAGTTTAACATGGAGAATCCTGAAACTTCACCAATCATGTGATGAGGGATAGTGTTAATCATCAAGCAGGTCTCTCACATTCTGAATAAAGTATAACTAACTGAATACATTTGGAAAGGAAACAAAGCCCATTATAAAAAAAATAAAGCTCACTATAGTGATACATAATATTTTATGTTCTCACCACAAAAAGTAGGTATATGAGGTAATGCATGTGTTAATTAGCTCTATCTAGTCATTCCACAGTGTTATATATATTTTCAAACATATTGTATATGATAAATATACACAATTTTTGTCAGTTTAAAAAATAAATACATTTAACAATAAAAATTGCAAATGGTAGCCAAAATGAAAACATTTCAATTCTAAGCCAGTCTTTCCTTGGAATAAAGTCAAGAAATGATTCGTCTTTGTCAAGACTTATTTCCCTTTCCTGTGTACACAGTAGAGGGATATAACTGCAGTGTGAAATAACATAATACTGCATGTGGAAGAAGGAAGCTTCTCTCATGTCTATTTGTGGGGAAATTAGCCAAATTAGAGAGCTAAAATGGAAATTCCACAGGCAATGACTCAGTGAATAGAAGTTCATTCCAGGCGAGGTCCAATTTTAGAATGTGCTGCTAGGCAGAGTGAGAACTATTTTTCCTCCCGATTTGTGTTGGCATTAGTTCGTTAATGCTAAACTTGACCCTTGATATTTCCAAAGAGATGCAACAGCTTTCCCTTTAAAGTCATTTTATGTTCTTGTGCTTTCTGGAACTTGTTTTATTTTAAATTATTAATAATAATAGGAATTGCATCAAATGTTATGACATGCTAGTAGAAGAGGGAATAAGCCAATATTATTTTTGCCTCACTTTCTAAAATAGCGTTGATTAAGTAAAACTTGCTTTTCTATTTTTTATGTGAGAGCTCATTTTGCCATTTGGGTATGTCACTTTCATTTATGTACTTAGGAAGCATTAGGATTTAAGAACATTGTTAAAATAAGTCTTTATAACTTTAGAAATGTGGTTACTTTGAAAATGGAAAAACCTAGACTAGCCTTACTACTTTTTTTAGATAACAGGGAAGACTTATGGAAATGAATGAAAGGCAAATTCAATTGGAAAAAAGAGATTAATTTCTTATTAAATCAAATTCTCTGTATTTATAAATTTTGCTGATAAATCCACTCTTGTATATTATTCAGCATATTTCTATTCAGTTCATTTTTAGAATAGTTTATCTACAGCAGTAAGTCTATGTGAAATCTAAAAATTTGACTAACTTTTATTATATTTCATTTTTACAGTAGGCAGTGGATAGTCATTTTCACTGCTAAATCTATGTACCAAATCTACTGAGTATTGCAAAAACACACTGGATAGAATATTATTTGCAAAGTGATTCTTGTTGTCATTCACCATAGATTCTTTTGGGACAAAAAAATTCTTAAAGATAAAATGTTGCCTGTATTTATAAAAATCATTGAGGATTCTTCCCAAAAATAGAAATGAGAAAATAGAATTTAAACAATCAAATGATTAAGTTTGCTCTATAGCCAAGTGTTTTGGTCTAAGTGTCTTTGGTTGAAAGCATCTGGATAAAAGCATAGTGACAATTTTGAAGCATGTCCAGAATTTTCCAGTTACAGTTAGACATAAAAAAAATCAAAGAGCCATTATTGCAACATTGGTAATCTGTCTGTCTAATACAATCTATCTTTTGAAAGTTTCTTGAAGACAGTAATAAGTAAAGAGAAAAGTTACAGATTTGGGCCCTGACTATGAAATGCCAAAATGTTATGAAATTGGAGGCTATTGATTATTTTACATGATAATTTTAGTAGTTGGTGTTTTTAAGTATTTCCACTCCAAGTATTTTTAAGAGTATTTTTAAACTAAATGTGAATCTTTGATTCATGCCTTTAAAATTGCTAATTGATTTTTATTTTATTTTTATTTTCAAGATTGTTGGATTATTCAATTCAATAAGCTTCCAGATACCAACCTATAGATTGTTAGTTGTGAGGCTATATTGTGTATTTTAATTATTTCTTGATATAATTTTAAGTTACCATGTATTGAATTATAACTGGCCCTAAAACATTTTTTAATTTGTAAATTTTATTTTTATAACTTTTATTGAAATATACTTTAAAAATATAACATACATTACAAAATTGCTTTATTAATTTTCAAAAAATGAATACACCTATAAAACCACTACTCAGATGAAAGGATTACCAGAACCTCAAAGCTCCCTCATATTCTCTGCTAGTCACTACCATCCTGTACCAAAATAAATAACTTGATTTTCAAAACCAAAAGTTAGATGTTTTTTATTTGCTTGTTTCTCTTCGTTTATTATTATTATTGAGATAAAATTCACATAATGTAAAATTCACCATTTTAAAATATACAATTCAGTCATTTTTAAAACATTCATAATGTTGCTGAGTCATCACAACTGGGTAATTCCAGAACACCTCTGCCACTCTGAAAAGAAATCCCATAATCATTCTCCATTCCCTCATCTCCAGGAAACCACTAATTTACTTTCTGTCTCTATGGATTTGTCTATTATGCATATTTCATATGAATGGAATTGTACAATATATGCTTTTGTGTCTGGCTTTTCTTAGTATGATGTTATTAAAGTTCATCCATGTTTTAGCACATATCAGTACTTCACTCTTTTCATGGCTGAAATGTATCACATTGTATAGCTATATTGCATTTTATTTGTTAATTAATTAATGGACATTTGAGTTGTTTCCACCTTTAGGTATTATTAGTTTTTGCTATCAATATTTGTGTACAAGTTTTTTTGTGAATATATTAAAACTACAGATTAGTTTTATTTTTAAACTTTATGGAAAGTTTATATTCTTTTTGACTTCTTTTACTCAACATTTTGTTTGTGAAATTCAGCCATGGTTTAGCATGTATAAACAATTCATTTATTCATTTTTATTTTAAGAGAGAAGGTCTCTCTTTGTCATCCAGGCTGGAGTGCAATGGCACTATCATAGCTCATTGCAGCCTTGATCTTCTGGGCTCAAGGTATCCTCTCACCTCAGCCTCCCTAGTATCTGGGACTACAGGCATAGGACACCACACGTGGCTTGTTCATTTATTTTTGTTGTAGAATTATAGTGTATCCCTCACCCATAATTTTTTTAGTTTCTGCTTATAGGCATTTATATTGTTTCCAGTTATTGGCAAGTGCTAATTATGCTGCTATGAACAATCAAATAAATAAATGGGAGTGTAGCTAGGTATGTTAAATTTTAGTAAGCACTGCCAGTTTTCCAAGGTGTTTGTACTAATTTACACATTCACCATCAGATATGGGAGTTCTTATGAGTGAGAATGTGAAATATTTGTCTTTCTGTGTCTGACTTGTTTCACTTAAGATAATGACATCCAGTTCCATCCATGTTGCTACAAAAAATGTGATTTCATTCTTTTTATGGCTGAATAGTATTTCATTGTGTATACATACCACATTTTCTTTATCCAATCATCTATTGATGAACACTTAGGTTTATTCCATATTTTTGCTATTGTGACTAGAGCTGAAATAAACATACAAGTGCAGCTATCTTTTTAATATAATGATTTTTTTTCCTTTGGGTAGACATCCAGCAGTGGGATTGCTGGATCAAGTGGTAGTTCTATTTTTAGTTCTTCGGGAAATCTCCATACTTAGTTTTTCATAAAGGTTGTACTAATTTAAATTCTCACCAACAATGTATAAAAGTTCCCTTTTCTCCACATCCTTGTCAATATGTGTTATTCTTTGACTTTTTAATTATACCATTCTGACTGGGGTAAGATAATATCTCATCATGGTTTTAATTTGCATTTTTTTCTGATGACTAGTGATGTTGAATACTTTTTTCACGTATCTGTGGGGCATTTGTAGGTCTTTTGAAAAATCTCCATACATGTCATTTTTCCATTTTTTAATGGGATTTTCTTTCTTTGTTGAGTTGGCTGAGTTCCTTGTATACTCTGAATACTAGTGCCCTGTTGGATGTATACTTTACACATATTTTCTCCCATTCTACAGGTTGTCTGTTCACTTTGTTTATTATTTCCTGTGCTGTGCAGAAGCTTTTTAGTTGAAGTCTCATTTGTCTATGTCAGTTTTTGTCGCCTGTTCCTTTGAGATCTTAGTCATAAATTATTGGCCTAAACCGAGGCCCAAAAGAGTTTTCCCTAGGTTTTGTTCTAGAATATTTGTTTCAGCCTTACATTTAAATCTTTAATCCATCTTGAGTTGATTTTTGTGTATGGTAAGACATAGCAGTTACATTCCCGTGCTTATGAAAATCAAATTTTCCCAGCACCATTTGCTGAAAGTGTTCTTTCTCCAATGTATGTTCTTTTTGACATTTTCAAAGATACATTGGCTGTAACTGTATGGCTTTTTGTTTTGGGTTCTCTATCCTGTCCCATTGATCCATGTTACTATTTTAATAAGAGTACCATGCTGTTTAGGTTACTATAGCCTTCTAGTATAATTTTAAGTAAGGTAAAGTGATGTCTCCAGCTTCGTTCTTTTTGCTAGAACTGCTTTTGCTATTCAGATTTTTTGGGGGGTTTCATATGAAATTTGGGATTCTTTTTGCTAATTCTGTTAAAAATGGTGTCATTTTGATAGGGATTGCATTGAATCTGCAGACTGTTTTAGGCAGTATGGTAATTTTAATGCTATTAGTTCTTCAGATCTGTGAGCATGGAGTGTTTTTCTATTTGTGTCATTTTCAATTTCTTTCATCAGTGTTTTGTAGGGTTTTTTTCTTTTTGTAGAGATCATTTGCCTCTTTTTAAAATGTATTCCTAGGTACTTTTTTTGTAGCTATTGGAAATGGGATTGCCTTATTGTTTTTTTTCTCAGCTAGATCATTATTGATGTATAGAAAAGTCACTGATTTTTGTATGTTGATTTTGCATCCTGCAATTCTACTAAATTCATTTATAAAATGTAAGAGTTTTTGGGGTAGAATCTTTAGGTTTGCCTAGATATGCGATCATGTCATCACAAAACAGGGATCATTTAACTTCCTTTTTTCCAATTTGGCTGCCTTTTATTTCTTTCCCTTGCCTGATTGCTCTGTCTAGGGCTTCCAGTACTATGCTGAATAGGAGTGTTGAGAGTAGGAGGCATCCTTCTCTTGTTCCAGTTCCAGATGAAATGTTTCAAATTTTCCCCATTCAGTATGATGTTGGCTTTGGGTTTGTCACATATGGCCATTATTATTATTTTGAAGTATGTTCCTTCTATGCCTGGTTCATTAACAGTTTTTTTATCATGAAGGGATGCTGAATTTTATTGAATGCTTTTTTTGACTCTGTTGAGATGATTATAGGGATTTTGTCCTTAATTATATTTATGTGATATATCACATCTATTGATTTGCATAAGTTGAACCATCCTTGCATCCCTGGTATAAAGCCCATTTTTAAAATGGTGTTTCATCTTAATGATGTGCTGTTGGATTCAGTTTGCTATTATTTTGTTGATAATTTGTGTGTCTATGTTAATCAGTGATATTGGTCTGCAGTTTAATCTTTTTTCTTGTGTTCTTATCTGATTTTGGTGTCAGGGTGATACAGGCCTTGCAGAATGAGTTAAGGAGAATTTTTTGGAACTGTTTCAGGATGATTGGTATTGATTCTTCTTTGTATATTTGGTAGTATTCAGCTGTTAATCCATACAGTCTTTGGCTTTTCTTTGGTGGGATATGTTTTATTGGAGATTCATTCTTCCTAGTTGTTATTGGTCTGTTCAGGCTTTTTATCCTTCATTCTTGGAAGGTTGTATGTGTCCAGAAATGTATCCATTTCATCTAGATTTTCTAGTTTGTGAGTATATAGATAGTATTTCATAATAGTCTCTAATGACCTATTTTATTTCTATGTTATCAGTTGTAATGTCTTCTTTGTCATATCAGACTTTATTTATTTGGATATTCTCTCTTCTTTTCATGGCCATTCTAGATAGTGGTTTATCAGTTTTATCTTTTTGAAGACCCAACTATTCATATCGTTGATCTTCTCTTTTTTGTTTGTTTGTTTGTTTGTTTGTTTTTGTCTCTAATTTGGTTCTGCTTTGATCTTCATTATTCCTTTTCTTCTGCTTATTTTGGTTTTGGTTTGGTCTTGCTTTTCTCATTCTTTGTGGTGTGATGTTAGGTTGTTGATTTGAGATATTTCTATATTTTTGATGTAGACATTTAATGCTATAAACTTTCATCTTAACACTGCCTTTTCTATATCCCACAGGCTTTGTTATCTTAGGTTTCCATATTCATTTGTTTCAAAAAGTTTTAATTTTTTTCTTCATTTCTTCATGGTCAAATGACCATTCAGGAACGCTTTGTTTAATTTCTATGACTTGTATAATTCCTCTTGGTATTTTTATTTTATTTTTATTTTACTGTGGTCTGAAAAGATAGTTGATATTATTTTAGTACTTTAAAATTTGTTGAGATGTGTTTTGTGGCCTAACATGATCTATCTTGGAGAATGTTCTGTGTGCTAATGAAAAAAATGTATATTCTGCAGGTGTTGGGTAGAATGTCCTGTATGTGTCTGTTAGGTCCATTTGGTCAAAAGTCTGATTTAAGTCCAATGTTTCTTCATTAATTTTCTGTCTGGGTGATCTGTCTAATGCTGAAAATAAAGTGTTGAAGTCCCCAGTATTATTGTATTGCTGTGTATATCTCTCCTTATGTCTAGTAGTATTTGTTTTATGAATCTGGGTGGTCCAGTGTTGGATATGTTTAGAATTGTTATATCTTCTTGCTGAACTGATCCATTTATCATTTATGATGACATTCTTTGTCTTTCTTTTTTTACCATTTTTCATTCAAAGTCTGTTTTAACCTAAGAAAGTATAACTATTTCTGCTCACTTTTGGTTTCTGTTTGTGTTGAATATTTTATCCACTTCTTTATTTTCAGTCTATATGTGTCTTTATAGGTAAGGCAAGTTTCTTTTAGGCAGCATTTTTTAAATTCATTCTGCTGATCTGTATCTTTTACGCAAAGGACATAATCCATTTACATTCAAGGTTAAAATTGATGTGTAAGGCTTTGTTCCCACCATGTTGTTGTTTTCAAATAGTTGTTTTTTAAATTTTTCTCTGTCTTTTTGTCTTGGTGATTTGATGAAATTCTGTCACGTTGCCATTTGATTCCTTTGTCTTCTTCCTTTGTGTGGTTGTTTTATAAGACGTGAGTTTTATGTTTCCATTTATTTTCATGATAGACTACTGAACTTTCAGTTCTGTGTTTAATATTCCTTTCAGCATTTGCTGTAGGGCTGATCCAGTGGTGACGGATTCCCTCAGCTATTGCTTGTCTGGGAATGTCTTTATTACTCTCTTATTTATGAAGTCTATTCTGCGAAGATGTAAACATTTTTGCTGACTTTTTTTTTCTTCCAGCACTTTGTAAATGCCATCTTATTCTCTTCTGGCTCATAAGGTTTCTGCTTTAAAGTCCACTGTTAGTCTGATGGGGTTTCCTTTATAGGTGATTACATGCTTTTATCTTGCTAATTTTAAACTTCCTTCTTTCACATTGGCTTTAGACATTCTGAATATAATATGCCATGGTGAAATACTTTTTGCAATATATTTGCCTTAGGGGATCACTTGGTCTCCTATAGCTTCATGTCTAACTCCCTTGCTAGACTTGGGACATTTTTATCCATTATTAACCTAAATATATTTTCTAAAGTTTTAATTTTTCTTCTCCCTTGGGAATACAGATAATTTGCAAGCTTGGCCATTTTATGTAGTTTCAAACATCTTAAAAGCTTTGTTTATTATTTTTTATTCTTTTTTTAAAAAAAAATGTTATCTAACTGCATTATTTCAAAAGGTCTGTCTTCAAGCTCTGAGATTCCTCTGCTTGGTTCAGTCTGTTTTTGAAGCTGAATACATTGAAGTTTTTAATACATTAAAAAAATGTATTTTGTATTTTCTTCAATTAATTTTTGTTTCCAGAATTTCTTCTTGTTTTTTTTAAGATCTCTGTCTCCTTGGTTAAATTTCTCATTTATATCCTAAAT
The DNA here is from genome assembly GCF_000001405.40 of Homo sapiens. Lineage (NCBI taxonomy): Eukaryota > Metazoa > Chordata > Mammalia > Primates > Hominidae > Homo > Homo sapiens. The sequence goes on along the minus strand of NC_000023.11, from coordinate 57,893,634 downwards.
TTTATGTCTGATTTCTTTATATTTGTTTTCAGATTTCTCTTGCATCTTATTGAGCTTCTTTAAAATCACTATTTTGAATTCTTTACCTGGCATTTTGAAGAATTATTTTTTATTGGTATCTATTGCTAGGCAATTATTGTGTTTCTTTGGGGTGTGTTTCTTTCCTTGCTTTTTCATGGTTTTTTGTGTGGCCTTCCATTGATATCTATGTATTTGTTTTAGCAGTTGCTTATTCTAATTTTTTGAAATTGCTTTTGTAGAGAAAAATTATTTCCTGAAAATTTATGTATGTTGTTGGTTGGGTAGGATACTTTGGCTTTGATTTGGGGTGCCTGAAGTAGTGTGATCTTTGTATGACTTCAGAAGTACACAGTATAAGTGATAATCTGTGATTTTCTCAGTGGCTTGGGGTACAATTATTAGTTGAGGTTGTGGTGAAGTTTTGCTGGCGACTTGGTTGACAACTGAGCCAGTTTCTGGGCCTCGGTAGTGGCTGCGGTGGTGTGAGTTTGCCTGTTTTTAGGCCCCAGAGCAGCTTACATTTGCTCTGGTGTTAGTAAGTCCTGGAGGGCTGATTTTTGGACCTCCAGGTAGCTTGCGCAGAAGCTAGTAGTGAGGACAGTGAGCCAAGTGTGTGGGCAGGTTTTCAGGCCCCTAGGCATCAGGTGTGATGTGGCTGATGGCAGTATTCGTGGTGGAGCAACCTACTGCAACCCAAGCAGTCCATGTTGGTATTGCTGGTAGTGCAATGGGTTGGGCATACGAGTCCCTAGTACCACAACTGCCTGTAGCAAGGCAGTGCATATTGTTCTATGTGTGCTTAGGAGAGCTTGTTTTCTCCTCTTTCTCCCTTGGCTGGGTGGCAGCTGTAGCTGCATTACCTCAAATGTGAACTGAGGATGGGGCGCAACCTAGCATTAAACTCTCAAAATGGCACCTTGGGCCTACAGCAAGGGAGAGTGGTGTCCCTGTTAGGCAGACAGCATGGGCAAGAAGCTGTGGGGACTGTGGTTCCCTTGCATTTCAGCCTCACAGCAGCCTGTTGCAGGGCAATGGGTATTGTCCTAGACATGCATAGGAAAGCCTGGTTTCACTTTTCCTCCTTGGCTGGTAAGTGGCTCTAGCGGTGACGGCTAGAACTCACCATGAGGGCAGGGTGCAGCCCAGCGTTAAACTTTCAAAATGTTGCCTTGGGCCTGGGACAAGAGAAGGAGGAGCGCCCCCCCCACCCACCGCCCCCTGCCGCCCCGCCGCCCCACCTTCATGCAACCAGCATGGGCAAGAAACTTTGGGGAGTTTGGTTCACTCATGTCTCAGTCTCACAGAATCCCATTGCAGGGTAGTGGCTATTGTCTTAGATATATGAGTAGAAAAGCTGATTCTTCTTAACCTTCTTTGGCCCGATGGCAGTTGCAGCCACATCAGCCTGAACTCAGCATGAGGACAGGGCACCTCTCAGGCTAGCAGCATGGCCAAGAAGCTGTGGGAAGTGCAGTCTTCTCATGTCTCAGTCTCAACAGCAGCCCACAGCAGAGCAGTAGGGACCCTCCCAGGGGTGCTTGGGAGCACTTGCTCTTCCCTTTTCCCCCTTGGAGCAACACAGCAGCAGTAACTGTGTCTATAGATCCCCAGTATTAGGGCTCTCAAAATGGCACCCAGCTGAGTCTATTTAGGTTTAGATACCTGTGGGATTCCATATTGGTTCCCTTTCTGGAGTAATGTCTTTGTCCAGTTTTCAGGCAGCTCTGTATGTCAGGCCTGAGGCCCTAGTAGGTCAGAGGTTTCTCCTATAACCAACATTGTAAAAGCCCATTACAAAGTGTGGAACCCTGAGTGTTTCTCTCTTACTGTTTTCCATGTCCAGGAGCCTCTCCCATCTCTCAGCTAGTTCCCAGCCAGGCAAGCTGCTTCGAACCCTCTCCTTCTGGTGCTTTCTTTCACTTCTTCAGTGAATCCTAGCATTCCCTGCTAAACGATCTGTTCAAAATGTGCGTATCCACTTAACTATTCTAATTCCTCTCTGTGGAGGAAGCACAGACTACCAGCATCTCATCAGATATTTTGATCCCTAACATTTTAAAGATTTTTCTATATATAAGATTGTGTTCTGTGTAAAGATGGATTTGAATTCCTCTTGTTCAATTTAGATGTCTTCTATTTCCTTGTCTTGCCTTATTGTTCTAGATAAGACTTCCAGTACCATAGTGAGTTAGAGTGGTGAACGTGGGCTTCTAGGTCTTGTCCCAGTTCTTAGGGAAAGGGTTCATCTTTTCCCCATGCAGTATGATGTTAGCTCTGTGCAGGTTGTAGAAAACCTTAATTATGTTGAGTTACCTTCTTTCTCTGTTTAATTTCTGAGTCTTCATCATGAAGAGATGTTGAATTTTATCAAATGTTTTTGCTGCATCTATTGAGATGATTATATGGTTTTAGTATTTCATTGTATTCATGTTATATATCACATTTACTGATTTGCATATGTGAAACCATCCTTGTATTACTGGAGTAACTACCAACAGATCAGGATGTTTCTTTTTATGTGCTGTTAGATTCAGTTTGATAGTATTTTGTTGAGGATTTTTGCATCTATATTTATCAGGAATATTGACCTATACTTTTTTTTAGTTATGTCTTTGTGGTGATTTGGGTATCAGGATAATACTGGCTTCATAGAATGAGTTAGAGTTACCTTCTCTTAATTTTTTTTGGAATAGTTTGAGAAGAATTGGTGTTAATTCTTTATATCAGGCAGACAGCATGGGCAAGAAGAGAACTCAGCAGTAAAGATATCTGACCCTAGGCTTTTCTCTGTCAAGGGACATTTCATTGTTGATTCAATTAGTGTCCTCAGGTTTTCTATTTCTTTGTGACCCAGTATTGGTAGGTTGTATGTGTCTAGGAATTTATTGATTTTCTGTAGGTTTTCTAATTTTTTAGTGTATAGTTGATATGGTTTGGCTGTGTCCTCACCCAAAATTTCATCTTGAATTGTAATAATCCCCATATGTCAAGGGTGGGACCAGGTGGAGATAATTGAATCATGGGGGTGTTTTCCCCCATCCTTTTCTTGTGATAGTGAGTTAGTTCTCACAAGATCTGATGGTTTTATAAGGGGCTTCCCCCTTTGCTGGGTACTCATTCTTCCCCTTCCTACCGCATGAGAAGAAGGATGCGTTTGCTTCCCCTTCGGCCATGATTGTAAGTTTTCTGAGGCCTCCCCAGCCCTGTGAAACTGTGAGTCAATTAAACCTCTTTCCTTTATAAATTACCCAGTCTCAGGCAGTTTTTTTATAGCAGTGTGAGGATGGACTAATACAATAAATTGGTACCAGTAGATTGGGGTGTCACTACAAGGCTACCCAAAAATGTGCAAGCTACTTTGGACCTGTGTAATAGGCAGAAGTTGGAACAGTTTTTAGGACTCAGAAGAAGACAGGAAAATGTGAGAAAGTGTGGAACTTCCTAGAGACTTGGCAGGCTCAGAAGACAGAAAGATGTGGGAAAGTTTGGAATTTCCTAGGGATTTGTTGAATGGCTTTGACCAAAATGCTGAGAGTGATATAGACAATGAAGTCCAGGCTGAGGTGGTCTCAGATGGAGATGAGAAACTTTTTGGGAACTGGAATAAATGTGACTCTTGCTATGTTTTAGCAAAGAGACTAGAAGCATTTTGCCCCTGCCCTAGAGATCTTGAACTTGAGAGAGATGATTTAGGGTATCTGGCAGAAGAAATTTCTAAACAGCAAAGCATTCAAGATGTGACTTGGGTGCTGTTAAAAGCATTCAGTTTTATGTATTCACAAAGATATGGTTTGGAATTGGAGCTTATGTTAAAAGGGAAGCAGATCATAAAAGTTCAGAAAATTTGCAGCCTGATGATGTGATAGAAAAGAGAAACCCATTTTCTGGGGAGTAATTCAAGCTGGCTGCAGAAATTTGCATAAGTAATGAAGAGCCAAGGGTAAATCTCCAAAACAATGGGGAAATGGTCTCCAGGGCATATCAGAGGTCTTCATGGCAGTACCTCCCATCACAGGCCCAGAGGCCTGGCCTCCTAGTCTTACTGCTTTGTGCAGTCTCAAGACTTGGTGCCCTGTGTCCCAGCCATGGCTAAAAGGGGCCAAGGTACAGCTCGGGCCATGGCTTCAGAGTGTACAAGCCCCAAGCCTTGACAGCTTTCACATGATGTTGAGCCTGTGGGTAGACAGAAGTCAATAATTGAGGTTTTAGAACCTCCCCCTAGATGTCAGAGGATGTATGGGAATGCCTCAATGTCCAGGCAGAAGTGTGATACAGGGGCAGAGCCCTCATGAAAAACCTCTGCTAAGGTAGTGTGGAAGGGAAATGTGGGGTTGAAGCCCCCACACAGAATCTCCACTGGAGCACTGCCTAATGGAGCTATGAGAAGAGGGCCACCATCCTCCAGACTCCAGAATTGTGGAGCCACTGACAGCTTGCACAGTGCACCTGGAAAAGCCACAGACACTCAAAACCAGCCAGTGAATGCAGCCAGGAGTGGGGCTGTGCCCTGCAAAGCAACAGGGATGGAGCTGCCCAAGACCATGGGAGCCCACCTCTTGCATCAGCATGACCTGGATGTGAGACATGGAATCAAAGGAGATTATTTTGGAACTTTAAGGTTTAATGATTACATGGGGGCTCTAACCCCTTTGTTTTGGCCAGTTTCTCCCATTTGGAACAGATGTATTTGTCCAATGCCTGTACCCATTTTATCTAGGAAGTAACCACTTGCTTTTGATTTTACAGGCTCATAGGTGGAATGGACTTGCCTTGTCTCAGATGAGACTTTGGACTTGGACTTTTGAGTTAATACTGGAATGAGTTAATATTTTAGGGGACTGTTGGAAGGGTGTGATTGTGTTTTGAATTGTGAGGACATGAGATTTGGGAGGGCCTAGTGGTAGAATATTATGGTTTGGCTGTGTCCCCACCCAGAATTTCATCTTGAATTGCAATAATCCCCATGTGTCAAGGGATGACCACGTGGAGATAATTGAATCATGGGGGTGGTTCTCCCCATCCTGTTCTTGTGATAGTTAGTTCTCACGAGATCTGATGGTTTTATAAGAGGCCCTTTGGTGGGCACTCATTCTTCCCCATTCTACTGCCATAAGAAGAAGGACATATTTGCTTCTCCTTCTGCCATGATTGTTAATTTCCTGAGGCCTCTGCAGCTCTGCAGAACGGTGAGTCAATTAAACATCTTTTCATTGTAAATTACTCATTCTCAGGCAATTGTTTATAGCGGCATGAAGATGGACTAGTACAATAGTTTGAATTGTCTCTAATGACCTATTATATTTCCATACTATTAGTTGTCATGTCTTTGTTTTATTTTTCATTTCTAATTTTATTTGAGTTTTCTTTTATTATTGGTTATTAGAGTTGGGAGTTCATAATTTTTTTATTTTTTTTGTAGAACCAACTTTTTAATTCTTCTATCCTTTGCATTGTTTATTTAGTCCTTATTTTGTTTACTTCTGTTCTGATATTTCTACCTTCTACTAATTTTAGGTTTGGATTATTATTTTATTTTCATTCCTTGAGCTTCATTATTAGGTTGAATACTTGAAATCTTTCCACATTTTGGATGTAGGTATATACTCCTATAAACTTTCCTCTTCATACTTCTTTTCTGTGTCACATATTTTTTGTTGTATTTTTAATTTGTTTCAAGATTGTTTTTTATTAATTTCTTTATTTATCCAATGATTGTTTGGGAGCACGTTTTTTTTTTTTATTTCTGTAGTTTCCAAATTTTTTCTTTTTGACTTTTTATTTCAATGTGTTCTGAGAAGATACTTGATATGATTTTTGTTTTTAACACTTTGTTGAAACTTGCTTTGTGGCCTCACATATGGTCTGTCCTGGAGAGTGTTCAATGAGCTAATGAGAAGAATGTGTATTTTGTATTTGTTGTATGAAATGTTCTGTAAATGTTTGTTACGTTCATTTTGTCTATAGTGCTGATTAATCCTAGTGAGTCTCTGCTATTTTCTGTCTAGACAATCTTTCCAGTGATATGTCAGGTGTTAAACTCCCCAACTATTATTGTATTGGGATGTATGTCTTTCTTTAGCTCTAATTATCTTTGCTTTATATATCTGGGTATTTCAGTGTTTGGTGTATACATATTTACAATTGTTATATTATCTTGCTGAGTTGATCCTTTTATCATTATATGATAATATTCTTTGTGTCTTTTTATATTTTTTGACTTAATGTTTATTTTGTTTGATAGAAGTATAACTACCTCTGCACACTTGTGGTTATCATTTGCATGGAATATTCTTTTTTTCATCCTTTCACTTTCAGTCCATATGTGTCTTTACAGGTGAAGTGAGCCTCCTGTAGGCAACACGCATTTGAGTCTTTTTTTTCAATCCATTCAGTCAGTTTATGAGTTTTAATTGGGGCATTTAAACTGTTTACATTCAAGGCTATTATTGATAGGTGATGTCTTACTCCTGCAATTTTACTAATGGTTTTCAAATTGTTTTGTATATCTTTGGTTTTCTCCCTCTTTTATTGTTTATGTTACAATGTAGTAGATTTTGTAATGATAACATTTGTCTCCATTTTATTTCTCATTTGTGTGTCTGCTCTACAAGTAAGTTTTACACGTTTATGTGTTTTCATGATGATAGATATCATACTTTTGTGTAGAGATGTAGAACTTCCTTAACTATTTCCTCTTGGACTGGTCTGGGGGTGATCATTTTTCAAAGCTTTTGCCTGTCTGGGAAATAATTTATTCCTTCATCATTTCTGGAGGGATAGCAAGGCTGGGTATAGTGTTATTGGTTGGTAAGTTTTCTTCTTTTGGTCCTTGAATATATCATTCCATTCTCTTTTAGCCTTGATATACTTGGATATTTGACCCCACGCAAATCTGATGTTGAAATGTATTCCCCAATATTGGAGGTAGGGCCTGGTGGGAGGTGATTGGGTCTTGGTGGCAGATCCCTCATGAATGACTTAGTGCTGTCCTTTTAATAGTGAGTGAGTTTGCATGAGATCTTGTATTTAGAAGTATCTGGCACCTACCCACTTCCTCTTGCTCCTGCTTTTGCCATGTAATGTGTCTTCTCCTGATTCACCTTCTGCCATGAATAAAAGCTTCCTGAGGCCTCCCTAGAAGCCAAACAGATGCTGGTGCCATGCTTTCTGTATAGCCTGCAGAACGATGAGCCAATTAAACTTCTATTATTTATATATTACCCAATGTCAGGCATTTTTTATAGCAATGCAAGAATGGCCTAACACAGAAAATTGGTACTAAGGGGTGAAGCATTACTATAGAGAGACCTGAAAATATGGAAGCAGCTTTAGAATTAGGTGACAGGCAGATATTGGATGAGTTTGGGAGCCTCAGAAGAAGACAGAAAGATGAGGGAAAGTTTGGAACTTCTTAGAAACTGGTTAAATGGTTGTGACCAAATGCTGATAGTGAAATGGACAGTGAAGTCTAGGCTGCCAAGGTCTTAGATGGAAATGAGGAACTTATTGGGAACTGGAGCAAAGGTCACCCATGTTATGCCTTAGTCAAGGGCTTGGCTGCATTGTGTTCATGCTCTAGGAATATTTGGAAGATTGAACTGGAGTATGATGACAGAGTATCTGGCAGAAGAAATTTCAAAGCAGCAAAGCATTAAAGATGTGGCCTGGCTGCTTCTAACAGCATATTCTCATGTGTGGGAGCAAATAAATTACTTAAAGTTGGAATTTATATTTAAACAGGAAGCAGAGCATAAAAGTTTGGACAATTTGCAGGCAAGTCATATAGCAAAGAAAGAAAAAGTGTTTTTTGGAAGAGGAATTTAAGCAGGCTGTGAAACAACCACTTGCTATAGATATTTGTATAACTAAAAGGGAGCCAAGTGCTAATATCCAAAAAGATTTTGAAGGAATTTCAGAGACCTTTATGGCAGCTCCTCCCATCACCATCCCAGAGGCCTAGGAGGAATAATGGTTTCATAGGCCAGACCCAGGGCTCTACTGCCCTGCATAGCTTCAGGACACTGCTTTCCATATTTTATCTACTTCAGCTCAAGCCAGGGATCAAAGAGGCCCAGGTACAGTTTGAACTGCCACTTTGGAGAATGCAAGTCTTGAGTCTTGGTATATTCCATGTGGTATTACACCAGTGGGCATGCAGAGTGCAACAGTGAAGGCTTGACAGCCTCTACCTTGATTTCAGAGGATGTATGAGAAAGCCTGGGTGGCCAGACAGAAGCCTGCTTCCAGGGCACAGCCCTCACAGCAAATCTCTGTGAGGATAGTGCCAAGAGAAAATATGTGGTTGGATACCCCACACAGAGTCCCCTATGGGGCACTGCCTAATGGAGCTGTGGGAAGGGGCCTGCCACACTCCAGCCCCTGGAATGGTAGATCCACTGGCAGCTTGCAAACTTAATGTGGAAAAGCCACATGGGCAGAGCTGCCCAAGACCTTGGGAGCCCACTCCCTTGTACCAATGTGCCCTGGATGCAAGATATGGAGTCAAAGGAGACTATTTTGGAGGTTTAAGATTTAATGACTCTCCTTCTTGGTTTCAGACATACATGGGGCCCATTGCCCCTTTCTTTTGGCCATTTCTTTCTTTGGAATGGGAATGTTTACCTAATGTCTGCATCTCCATTGCAACTTGGAAGTAAATAACTTTTTTTAAATTTTATTTTACAGGCTCATGAGTGAAAGGAGATGAGTCTCAGATGAGACTTTGGACTTGGACCTGGAACATTTAAGTTAATGCTAGAATGAGCTAAGACTTTGGGGAACTATTTGGAAGGCATGATTGTATTTTTCAATGGGAGAGAAACATGATATTTGAGGGGCCAGGGGCAGAGTAATATAGTTGGATATTTGTTCTTACCCAAATCTCATGTTGAAATGTTATCCCCAATGTTGGACATGGGGTTTGGTGGGAGGTGATTGGATTACGGGAGCAGATCCCTTATGAATGTCTTAGTTCTTATAATAGTGAGTGAGTTATCATCAGAAATGTTATTTAACAGTGTAACACTTCCCCCCATCTTGCTACTGCTTTTGCCATGTGATGTGCCCTATCCTGCTTCACCTTTTGCCATGAGTAAAATCTCCCTGAGGCCTCTTAAGAAGCTGAGCAGATACCAGTCCATGCTTTCTGTACAGCCTGCAGAACTGTAAGCCAATTAAACTTCTTTTCTTTATAAATTACACAGTCTCTGGTATTTCTTTATAGTGGTGCAAGAATGGCCTAACACAGGCCTATTGGGTTTCTGATGATAAATTCACTCTTTGTCTGATGGAGATTTCCTTACATGTTACTTGACACTTTTTTCTTGCTGCTTTTAGGAGTGTTTTTTACTTTTGATAGTTTATCTATAATGCACCTTGGAGAAAACTTTTTAGGTTGAATATATTTGGGGATTGTTGAGCTTCCTATATCTGGATGTCTGCATCTCTTGCAAGAGTTGGGAAGTTTTCAGCTATTATTTTGTTAAATAGTTTTTCTCTGCCTTTGCTCATCTCTGCTCTTTCTAGAACTCAGAAAATGAATATTTCACCACTTTATTATATCTCATATGTCACATTGGCTTTTTTTCTTCTTTTTAAAAATTGTCTGACAGGGTTATTTCAAAAGATCTGTCTTCTCATTTACAAAAATTATTTCTTCAGTTGTTCTTGTCTATTGTTGAAGCTCTTGATTGTACTTTTATTTCATTCATGGAATTCTTTAGTAACAGGGATTCTGTTTTTTATGGAATTTATCTATCTTTGGCATTTTCTATTCAGATCAGGAATTTTTTTTTATGTCTTTATATTGTTCATGTGTATTCTCTTTTATTTAACTGAACTGTTTGAAGACTATTATTTTGAATTATTTTTGAGGAATTTCATAGATTGTCTTTTATTTGAAACCCATTACTGGAAAATTATTGTGTTGCTTTGCAGGTGTCATGTTTTCTCACTTTTTTATGTTTCTTTTGTCTTTATGTAGATATCTGCACTACTGGTATTAGTTGTTCGTTTCAATCTTATGAATTATCTTTTTTTAAAAGATTTTTTCTATAGTCTTGGTTAGGTAGGATTCTTTGGCGCTGATTTTGGGTGAGCACAGAATTGTAGTTTTCATATGATTTCTTTGGGATGAGATGTGGTTGTTAGTGGAGACTATGGCAAAGCTTTGTTTGGTATCGTCATGCCAAGCAGGATGGTTCTGGGTCACTAGTAGTGGTGACAACAGGCTAGGCATGCCAATCCTTAATCCCTAGGGCTGTGTATGTGGGGTACCATCAATGGTGGTTATGGGTGTAGATGAGCCTGTCCTTAGTATCCAGGATGGGGTGTAGGGTGTGGTGAGTCATTTCCCAGGTCACTAGACACTGTGTGGGGGCACGAGTTTCTGTACCAGCTGTGGTAGGTGGAGAGGGCCTGCCCTCAGGCCCCTCAATGGAGGGTACCCATAGACAGAATGGGTTAGCCTCCAGCCCCTGGATAATGTATGTGGGCATTATTAGTGGCAGTGGCAGGAGGGAAGAGCCTGTCTGTGTGTGTGCTGAATGTGACAGGCAGAGCATGCACTTCTGTAGTCCTTCAGACAGCATGCTTATGTGCCAGAGGCAGTAGCAATGAATGGGGCAGGCTTGTTCTTACCCCACAATGGCATGCCTGAGTGCCAGTGGTGGTCAGTGATGTAGGCCTTTCTTCAGGCCTCAGTAAGTGCATCAGTGGGCCAGTCCTCAGGTTCCCTGAATTTGCATGCAGGTGTGTAGTGGCCCAGATGCTGGAAGGGATAGGATTGCTGTCATTAGCAGTAACCGCCCAAGGGCAGCTGTAAGGCTATGGGAAGTGCAAGTTTTGGCTCCTTTTGTCCTGTGGGCAGATTTTCTAGTGCATTACACTGCCTATTATCTGGAATGTTGGACACTGTGTAGGCTAGACTGCTGAGAAACCATCCTCACCACTGGGTCCAGCTGATGTTGTGTTGCTGTAGACCTCCATTTGAACATAGGGGAATATCAACAGGGCTCCAGGGATGTGGAGATGCAGGGGATGTTGGGTTCCAGGGCAGGATGTAGTCTAGCAGGGGCTGGGCTCTCGTAATTGTACTTGAATCTCCGTGTGTTTATGGAACCCAACATGAACTCTTTCTGGACAAGTGCCATCATATGTACACCAGGCACCTTCCTATATGGTCCTCAGGGCCCATGTAGGCCAAGTTTTTCTTCTGTGGCTATGACTGTAGGAGTCCACATTGAGAATGTGGACCACTGGGTATCCCTCTATTTTCCTTGCAAAAGGGAGTTCTTCCTGGCTCTGAGTCAATCCCAGCCAGGCCAGCTACTTTGCTTTCTTCTGCTTTTATACCTCATAGGTTACCTGTCACTTCTATATGGAATTCTAGTGTTCCGAAGCTCTAATCAACATGTGGTTATCTACTTGCTGTTTGGGTCCATCTTTGTGGAAAAAGTGAGCCCTGACACCTCCAGCCAGCCATCTTGAAGCCTGCTTTTTAAAATTGATACATAGTAATTGCACATATTTTCAGAGTTCATGTGATACTTTGATACATCCATACACTATGTAATGATCAAATAAGGGCAATTGGGGTACCTATCACCTCAAACAATTATCATTCTTTTATGTGGAGAACATTTCAAAGCTTCTCTTCTAGCCATTTTGAAATATGCAATACATTATTTTTAGGTATAGTTGCCCTACTGTGCTATTGAACAACATAACTTATTCCTTCTACTTACCTGATTTTTTTACCCATAAACCAACCATTCTTTATTCCTCCTCCGCCATTACCCTTCCCCACCTCTGACATTCACCATTCTACTCTTTACTTCCATTAGATCAGTTTTTTCGCTCCCACATACGAGTGAAAACGTGATATTTGTATTGCTGTGCTTGGCTGGTTTTGGTTAACATACTATACTCCAGTTCCATCTGTGTTCCTGCAAATGCTTGGATTTTATTTTTTAAAGATGAATAATAATCCATTGTATACATCTGCCATATTTTTTAATCCATTTTACTCTTGATGGACACTTAGGTTGATTCTGTATCTAGGCTGTTGTGAATAGGGCTGCAAATAAACATGGGTGTGCAAATGTCTCTTTGCTAGACTAAATTTCTTGCTTTTGGATATATACCCAGCAGTAGAATTTATGGATTGTATGGTAGTTTTAATTTTTTTAAGGAAACTCCACACTGTTTTTCATAGTGACTGTGCTAATTTACATCCCTACCAACAGTGTAGGTGCGTTCCCCTTTCTCTGCATCCTTGCCAGCATCTCTTATTTGCTATCTTTTTAATAGTACCATTTTAACTGGGGTAGATGATATTGATTTTGTTTTTTATTTTCATTTTCCTCATAATTAGTAATATCAAACAGGTTTTATATACCTGTTGGCTGTTTGTCTTTTACTTTAGCTGATACATAACAATTGTACATATTTATGTGGTACATTGTGATTTATTGATGCATACATCTGATGTGTAATTATTAAATCAGGGTAATTAGAATATTTATTATGTCAAATGTATCTCTTCTTGGTTGGGGATATTTCAAATCTTTTGTAGCTATTTGGAAATATACAATAAATTATTGTTAACTATAATCATCTTACTGTGCTATCTAACACTAGCAGTTATTCCTTCTACCTAGATGTATTTTCATACCCATTAATAAGCCTCTCAATATTAACCCCCATCCATTCCCAACCTATAGTATCTATCTTTCTACCTTCATGAGATTTACATATTTGGTTCCCAAATATGAGTAAGAACATGCAATATTTGTCTTTCTGTGACAAGCTTATTCAATTAGCATAATGGCCTCCTGTTCCAACCATGCTGCTGCAAATGACAGGATTTTACTTTTTATGGTTGAATAGTATTCCTCTGTGTATGTATAGCACATGTTCTTTACCAATTCATTGATAGATAGACACTTACATTGATTCCATATTTTGGCTATTTTAAATAGTGCTGCAATACACATGGCCATGCAAATTTATTTTTTATTTTATTTTTTAACATTTATTTTAGATAGAGGGGTACATGTGCAGATTTGTCCCATGGAAATACCGTGTGATGGTGGATGCTGAGGTTTGGAGTATGCATCCCATCACCCTGGTAGTGAGAATAGTACCCAATAAGTAGTTTTTTAACGGACCGCCTCCCTCCACTGTCCAGTTGTCCACAGTGACTATTGTTCCCATATTTATGTCCGTGTGTGCTCAATGCTTACCTCCCACTTATAAGTGAGAACATGAATAATTTGGTTTTCTGTTCTTCAGTTAATTTGCTTAAGATTATGGCCTCCAGCTCCATCCACGTTACTAGAAAGTACATGATTTCATTCTTTTTCATGGCTGCACAGTGCTCCATAGTGTATATGTCCCATATTTTCTTTAATCTACCATTTATGGGCACCTGGGTTGATTCCATGTTTTTGCTATTGTGCCTAGTGCAGCTATGAACATATGAGCCCCTGTGTTTTTTTGGTAGACTGTTTTCTTCTGAGTATATACATGTTAATAGGATTGCTGGGTTGAATGGCAGCTCTGTTTTAGGTTTTTTGAGAAATCTCCAAACTACTTTTCACAGTGGCTGAACGAATTTACATTTCCACTATCCCTTTTCTCTGCAGCCTCTCCATTATCTGTTGGTTTTTTGAATTTTTAATAATAGTCATTCTGACTGGTGTTGTATGGTATCTCATTGTGATGTTGATTTGCATTTCTCTGATGATTAGTGATGCTGAGCATTTTTTAATATGTTTGTTGGCCACTTTTGTATCTTTTTTGAGAACTGACCATTCATATAATTTGCCCACTTTTTCATGGGGTTATTTGGTTTTTGCTTGCTGATTTAAGTTTCATATAGATTTGGGATATTAGGCCTTTGTTGGATGCAGAGTTTGCAGATATCTCCTCCTATTATGTACATTGTCTGTTTGCTCTATTGATACTTTCTTTGGCTGTGCAGAAGCTCTTTAGTTTAATTACATCCCACTTGTCTATTTTTGTTTTTGTTGCAATTATTTTTGAGGTTTTAGCCAAAAAATTTTGCCAAAGCCAATGTTGAGAATAGTATTTCCTAGGTTGTCTTCTAGGATTTTTATAGTTTGAGATCTTAAGTTTAAATTTTTTTTTGTATATGGTGAAAGGTAGGGGTCCAGCATCGATCTGCATGTCACCAGCCAGCTATCCCAGCACCATTTATTGAATAGTGACTTCTTTCCCCATTGCTTGTTTTTGTCAGTGTTGCTGAAGTTCAGATGGTTGTTGGTGTATGGCTTTATTTCTGAGTTTTATATTCTGTTCTATTGGTCTATGTGTCTGCTTTTGTACAGTACCAAGCTATTTTGCTTAATGCGGCTTTATAGTATTTTTTGAAGTCAAGTAGTGTGATTCTTCCGCCTTTGTTCTTTTTTGCTTCGGGTTGCTTTGGTTATTTGGGTCTTTTTTTTGGCTCCATATATATTTTAGTTTTTTTCTAATTCTCTGAAGAATTATGTTTGTAGTTTGATAGGAATAGCATCAAATCTGTACATTGCTTTGGGCTTTTTGGCCGTTTATATAATATTGCTTCTTCCAGTTCATGAGCATGGAATGTTTTTCCACTTCTTTGTGTCATCTCTGATATCTTTCAGCAGTGTTTTGTAGTTATTTTTCTGGACATCTTTCACCTTTTTGGCTAGCTGTATAGCTTATTTTCTGTTTTGTTTGTATACTCAGCAGTGGGATTGCTGGATCATATGGTAGATCTATTTTTAGTGTTTTGAGGAACCTGCATACTATTTTCCATAGTTGATTTACTAGTGTACTGCGGGGGTCTGACCTGCAGACCCTGACCCAGCGACAGATGAATGAAGTACAGTGATACCCAGATATTCTGCTTTGCCAGTCTAGCTGAGTGTTCGAGCCGCTTACAGACTCCCTGGAGAGTACTGTAAACAGTTGCCACTGTGGCCTCGATCAGTGAGTGAGACTTGCATTTATTTAGTAAAGATTAAGTGACAAAGGTCGTGAGTAAATACCATTAGAGGGTAATTGATATTGTGGACTTTCTGAGTAGAAAGCAATGAAGCACCCATGGTACATCAAAGGGTGGTCTTAGGAAAACAAGTTAGTTAGATAAACTACTCTACATTCTTTTGTATTTGCACCTTAAGCTCTCTGGCTACTGCAAAGAGACTCTGGCTGCCTTCAGCCAGACAATCTGAAGCTATGCAAACTCTCAGGCTTTACAAAACATATTGTGGCTATTACTATAACTATCTTTAATATTTTTCCCACCAGCCTGATTGAACCCCCAAATCTCCCCATTTTTTGTTTTCTGCATCAGGTTTTTTTTTTTTGATTGGAGAGCATAGATGTGTGCAGCAACAGGTCAGGTGTGGCAGTCATTATGCTTATTCTGGCTTTGCATCCTAGAATTAGCAAATAACATAAAACAAAATGAGTATGATTAGCAACATTCTTTCCCAAAGAGTGACCCTGAGGAGGAGGGGTCTAAGCAGGAGAGATGATCTTGTATACCCTTCCATATGGCCTATGTTGGGTGTGTAGATCTATGGCATGAAGGGATTCTAAAATTTTAGTTTTAAGTTGCTTTCCATCTGCTGTTAAATTGTCATGAAATGTTCCCCAGAGGTGCTTTTCAACCTCATCCCAACTATGTATTGATTGATTCCATGGTAGAGAAGTGATGCAGATATGTTTATGTTCCTAGTCACAGTTTAATTGTTGCTGGAATGCTAGTGCATCTTGTTGCTCTCCCACATATTCTAAAGCAGTCTCGATGGCTTGCAGACATGCAATAATTTTTTGATCTATACTTTGCTGTAAGAGAAGTTCATTAAACACATTTTTGGCCAGATTATCTACAAAAGCAGCTGTTTGTACTGATTCAGTAACAGATGCCACAGCAATGCTAGCAGTTGCCGGGATGACTATGGCTAAGACTATAAAGGCCATAAGTGTAAATATGAATCTTTTGTGTCTGACCTGGGACAGGGCACATTCTAAGGTGGCAAGGGCAGAGGAACCTTGCCAGTCATGTGTCAAATTGACTGGTAGAAATGTCTCAGATTGTCTCCTTAATACCATAACACTAGAATTTTTAAATTAGATACATTACATTGTGATTAGTGACACATGAGGCAAACCAAGCCTGTCCTTGCACCTGTGTCACAAACATGGCATTTCAGAGTGTAATGGAAATGTTAGTTCCCATAAGGAAAACATATGGATGGTCAGTGCAAATCAGGCACTGATCAGTGTGATTATGAATAATTGCCCGGTTTGAGACTACCTGCAGCTAAAATTGTTAAGGGATTTTCTTTGCCATGATGTAGCCATACTTGTCTTTGGGCAGGTACACAGTAAGGGTTAGAGCCTTTATAACTTACACGCAGTGGGAGGATAGTGAAATGATATGTAGTGTTATCTTGTAGTGGGATTTTTAAGGAATCAGAGAGACAAATGGGGTTCAGGAGGATATTTATTATTTAGGTGCACCAGCCCAGTCAGATTAACATCCGAAGGACTGAGCCCTGAATAAAGAGCTAAGTTACCTTTTAAGCATTCTGTGGGGCAGGGGGAGATCTGTACAGGGGGAGGCATATTACAGAAGCGAGAAACAAAGACAGTTATTCAATTAATTGAGATATGCGTTACATCATTTCTTGCTTTTCAAGGAAAAACATGTTTTATGACTTGATTTTGTCTGTCTAGTGACCTTGCAGCTGCACAGCTAGAGAAACAGGGTCTTCACAATGCCTGGGAAAGGAGAAGAGATAAGACTCACTAGCCACAGAAAAACAGGCAGTTAATTTTTAAAGGACTCCAGCTCTTTCTCTTTCTCAGGGGGAATTGGGTTTTCTTACATACAACTGAGTTTCTGCTTACACATCTTTAAATTTCATTTAATTCCTATTCCAATCTGGCACCTTAGTCCAATGTGTGCCATTACTGAGAGACCACACTGGGAATAAATCTATCCATCCTATCCAAGCAGTCACGTTATTATAGGCTGGGAAAGGAGTGTCTACCCAGGTAACAGGGCGAAAGAAAGGCGGGTCTAAGATATGAGCCCAATAGAAGGTAGCAGGTACAGGTTGCAGACAAAGTGAGAGCATAAAAAGGATTAATAACCTACGTGAGATGCAATGTACAACAGAAAGCATAGCAAGAAACAAATTATCTGGAGTAAATGGGACTGTGTCCAGAACCGGATTTGTTCAGCCTCCTGAGTTGTCCTTTTCAGCATCCCCCAGGTAACGTCCGGGGTTTGTGTCATCCACAGAAGTCACATCGTTCGGGGCTTGGGTCTTGCAGGGTTAACTCCTTCATTTCTGGTACCGGGTTGGGTCCTAGCCACACCATGGAATACTATAATGGCCTGTGTCACTTGACCTCCAGCCAGGAGGTGGCAACGGCAAAAGAACAACAGATGCAGTAGTACCAGTGAGATTTGTGCTTGCCCTATGTTGCCAGGGGAGATATTCTGGTTTCTCAGGTGATGAGTGAGGCCATAATGCTCTCACAAGTTTCTGTCTCTTACGTTAAGCTACCAGGTCAGGTGGAGGGGCACAGCAAGGTGGCAGCTGGGTCAGGTGGGTCTATGCTATGACTCTCCAAGTGCAGGGCAATCTGTGGCCTCTCTGGGGGCTGGGGGGTGGTCCCCAGGCTACTGGAGTAATGTTTCAGAGGTTAGTGTAACTGTCTCTCTTGGACAGAAGAGTTCATGCAGGGAGTGAGGAGTAGCAAGCAACAGTAAGCCCCATGCAGATCCCACGCAATTGGTAAGGTGAGTCTCACTCCTGCAGTGCTCACCTAGATGCAGCAAACTGAGTTCCAGTCAACCTTTGCTCAGAACTCAAACCTGCCTCAGGCCATAAGCTTTCCCTACAATGACAACTTTTAGGCCATGCCCCTCCCTGTCTGCCTGCAAAGCCAGGTGCCTGGCTTCTGTGCTCCTGGCTGCAGCACTCTTCCCACTCATCTTTCGGGTTCTGACCAGGGGAGTTTGCCTTCACTTGAGGTTATCCTGTGAAATTCTGTTGGGAGCTTCTTTCAGCCTGTGATCACTGCTTGAGCTCGTTTTTAGAATTACACGAGGTCCCCTGTGAGATATAACAAGGAATGGCTTTCCCCCATGAGCACTGGAGACTGGGAATGCATGCAAGGCACTTTCCACCGCTGCTTCTATTTTTATATTTCTTACTGCACCCTAAATCCCTTCTAGACTTGTCTAGCGTTAAGACCTTTTCCCATGGTCTGGATTTTCAGGTTGTCTCATGGGGGTGTGTATCCTGAAGGCAGTCTGTCCACCCTCACACTTTGGGGACTTACAGATATTTGCCTGGCATGTAGTGTAGGTTGTAGCCTGCTGCTTCTTTCAAAGGGTCTGTGTATTCTTTCAGTTTTCCCAAGTTCCTGCATTGCTTCAAGAAAAAAAAATTACAATGCGAACTTCTACATACTATTACATCCTCCTAGGTGGTAGAGGCATATAACACTGCCTCCAGTCCACCATCTTGGAAAACAAGCCATTATAGATTGGAGTATTAGGCCTTTGTTGGCTGCATAGTTTGTGAATATTTTCTCCCATTCTGTAGGTTATCTGTTTACTCTAGTGGTAGTTTCTCTTTCTGTGCAGAAGCTCTTTCATTTAATTAGGTCCCACTTGTCTATTTTTGGGTTGTGTTGCAATTGCTTTTGGGGACTTAGCCAAAAATTCTCTGCTAAGGTCGATGTTGAGAAGGGTATTTCCTAAGTTTTCTTTTAGTATTTTTAGAGTTTCAGGTCTTACATCTAAGGCTTTTATCCATTGAGTTAAGTTTTCATTAAAGACCAGTTTCATTCTTCTACATATGGCTAGCCAGTTATCCAAGCACCATTTATTGAAAAGCGAGTTCTTTCCCCACTGCTTATTTTTGTCAACTTGTTTAAGGTCAAATGATTGTAGGTGTGTGGCTTTGTTTCTGGGTTCTCTATTTTGTCTCGTTGGTCTCTGTGTCTATTTCTGTAGCACAAGTTGAGGTATTGTCTTGTATGCTTCAAATTATACTTGAAGTATAGTATGGCCTTGTATTATAGTTTGAAGCTGAGTGAAATGATGCCTCCAGCTTTGTTTTTGTTTGTTTTTTAACTTATGATTACTTTGGCTATTGAGACTCTTTTAAATTCCATATGAATTTTAGAATAATTGTGTCTAATTCTGTGAAAAGTTACATTGGTAGTTTCATAGGAATTGTGTTAAATATGTAAATTGCTTTTGGAAGTATGGTAATTTTCACGATGTTGATTTTTCCAGTTTATTCACATGGAATGTTTTTCCATCAGTTTGTGTCATTTCTGATTTTTTTTCAGCAGAGTTATATAATTCTTCTTGTAGAGATCTTTGTTTCCTTGTTTAGATTTATTCCTAGGTATTTTATCTATTTTGTGTCTATTGTACATGGGGTTGGGTTCTTGATTTGACTCTCAGGTTGAATGTTATTGGTATACGGAAATCCCACTGATTTTTGCACATTCATTTTTACTGAATTCCTTGTCAGTTTTAGGAGTCATTTAGCAGAATCTTCAGGGTTTTCTGGGTATAGAATAATATTATCAGCAAAAAGAGATAGTTTGACTTCTTTTCCTATTTGGACACCTTTTTATTTGTCTTGTCTGGTTGCTGTGGCTTGGACTTCCAATACTATGTTAAATAGAAGTGGTGAGAAGGGGCATCCTTATCTTGTTTTAGTTCTCAAAGGGATGCTTCCAGCTTTTGCCCATTCGGTATGCTATTGGCTATAGTTTTGCCACAGATAACACTTATTACTTTGGGGTATGTTTCTTTGGTGCCTAGTTTTTGATGGTTTTTATCATGAAGGGATTTTGGATTGTATTGAAAGATTTTTTGAATCTATCGAGATGATTGTATAGTAGTTGTTTTTAATTCTGTTTATGGGATGGATTACATTTATTTGTTTGCATTTATCGACCCAATCTTGCATTCCAGGAATGAAATCTACATGATCATGGTGAATTAACTTTTTGTTGTGCTGAGCAATTCAATTTGCTAGTATTTTGTTGAGGATTTTCCTGTCTGAATTCATTGGTCATATTGGTCCATATTTTTTATCATTTTCATTATATTTCTCCCAGATTTTGCCATCAGAATGATGCTGGCTTAGTAGAATGAGTTAGAGAGGAGTTCCTCCTCCTTGAATTTTTGCAAAAATTCAGTAAGGTTGGTACCAGCTCTCTTGTTGTTGTTGTTCTGATAGAATTTATCTGAGAATCAATCTTGCCCAGGGCTTTTTTTGTTGGTTGTGGATTTATTACTAATTTAATTTTGGAACTGATTATTGGTCTATTCTGAGTTTCAATAACTTTCTGGTTTGAACTTCAAAGTTTCTGTGTTTACAGGAATTTAATAATTTTTTCCTAGATTTTCTAGTTCGTGTGCATACACATATTCATAATAGTCTCTGAGGACCTTTTATATTTCCTTGTCTTTGATTATAATGTCATAGTTGTCATTTCTGATTATGCTTATTTGGATCTTCTCTTTTTTCATTGTTATTCTAGCTAATGGTCTATCAATACTGTTTATTTTTTCAAATAGCTTTTGGTTTCATTGATCATTTGTATGGATGTGTGAGTCTTAATTTCATTCAGTTATGCTCTGATTTTAGTTATTTCTTTTCTCTACTAGCATTACGGTTACATTTTCTTGTTTTTCTAGTTCCTCTGGGTGCAATGTTAGATTGTGAGTTGGAAATCATTCTAGGGAGGGGCCAAGATGACCAAGTAGAAGAAGCTGTGTTGTGTGTTCCTCATGGAGAGGAACGAAAGGCATGAAAAATCCATGTACTCCCATTGGGACTGATCAGGAAAACAACTACAGCCATGGAGAATGAAGAAAAGCAAGGCAGGGTGATGGCCCACCTGGTAGTGACACGGAGGCAATGGAACACCTACCCACAGCCAAGGGAAGTGGTGAGTGAATGTGCGACACTGGAAAACCATGCTTCTCCCATGGCTTTTTGCAACCCTCAGATCTAGAGATCCCCTCATGAACTCATGCCACCAGGGCCTTGGGTGTGACACACAGAACTGTGTGGAGTGTCAGCAGAGCAGCTGCTCATGCATGCACAGAGACCTGGGAACTTTACATACCCTAGCCCTGGGATGCTTGGCAAGGCAGGAGGTCTGTATATACCCCTAGGAAGGGGTCTGAATCTAAGTGAGTGAGCAACATTGGTCTGCTGGCCTCACTTCTATCACACCTCACAAGATAAGACCAACAGGCTTGGAATTCCAGCCAGCCACCAACAACAGGGAAGGGCCTGCCTGAGATTAAACAAAGCCCCCAGAGGGAGGGGTGGGCCATCTTTGCTGCTTGGTCAACTCAGTCATTCAAGCCTGTGGGCTTTGGTGCATCCAAATGGTCTGGGTGAGGAAGGGTCCTCCCAGCACAGCACAGCTGCCTTGCCAGAACATGGCCAGAGTGCTGCTTTAAGTGGGACCCTGATCCATTTCTCCTCATGGGGTGGGACTTCTCAGCTGGGGCCTCCAGATACCCCTGCCTTCCCATATTTTACAGACAGAGCTTAGATCTCTCCTTGGGATGGAGTGCCTGGATGGAGGGTCTGGCCACCACCATGGTTGTTTGGATGACTCAACTGTTCCAGCCTGCGGGCTTTGGAGAGTCCAAGCCAACAAGGGAAGAGGGAGTTCCCCAACACAGCAGGGCTGTTTTGTCGAGGCATGGCGAGACTGTTTCTTTAAGCAGAGCCTTGATCCATTCCTTCACACTGGGCAGGCGCTCTCAGCTGGGGCCTCTAGCCACCCCTACCCACTCATATTCTACAGACAGAGCTTTGATCACTCCCTAGGACAGAGTCCCTGTGGGAAGGGGTGGGCTGCACCTTAGTTGTTTGGATGACTCAGCAGTTCCAGCCTGTGGGCTTTGGAGAATTCAAGCCGACCTGGGCGGAGATGGTTCCCCAGAACAGCATGGCTTTTCACTGAGGTATGGCCAGACTGCTTCTTGAAATGGGATTCCAATCCATTCCTCCTTGTGGGGTGGCTCCTCCCAGCTAAGGACTCTGGCTACCCCCACCCGTATCCTATGGACAGACTTCTAATTTCTCTCTGAGATGGAGTGCTCAGGGAGAGAGGTAGGCCACCATCTTTGCTGTTTGGGTGATTCAGCCATTCCAGTCTGCAGGCTCTGGAGAGTGCAAACTGATTGGGGACTGAAGGGATCCTCAACACAGCAAAGATACTCTATGTAAACACTGCCAGACTGCTTCTTTAAGTGGGTTTCTAATCCCATTCTTCCTGACTAGGTGAGACCTCCCAACTGGGGTCTCCAGCCACCACATACAGGCAAGTTTGGGCTGGCAACAGGTCAGTAGCTCCCTGGGACAGAGCTTTCAGAGGAAGGGGCAGGCTGCCATACTTGTTGTTTCACAGACTTCACTTGTGATACCTCCAGGTACTAGAAAAACCAAGGCACTAGGGTCCGGAGGGGAAGCCCAGCAAACCACAGCAGCCCCACAGAAGAGTGGCCAGACTGTTAAAAGAAAAACAAACAACAAAAACAACAACACACCCACAAAAACGTCACCCAAAGGTCAGCAACCTCAAAGATCGAAGGTAGATAAACCCACAAAGATGAGAAAGTATCAGCGGAAAAATGCTGAAAACTCAAAAAGCCCAAGTGCCTATGTTTTTCCAAATGACTGCAACACTTCTCCAGCAAGGGCTCAGAGCTAGGCTGAGGCAGAGATGAGTGAAATGACAGAAGTAGACTTAAGAATGCAGATAAAAGCAAACCTTGCTGAGCTAGAGGAGCACATTGCAACCCAATGCAAAGAAGCTAAGGATCATGATAAAACAATGCAGGAGCAGAAGCCAGAATAGTCAGAATAGAGAGGAGCCTAAGTGACCTGATAGAGCCGAAGAATACAGTACAAGAACCTCACAATGCAGTTACCAGTATTGATACCAGAATAGACCAAGCAGAGGAAAGAGTCTCAGAGCTTGAAGACTGTCTTTTTGAAATAAGACAGGCAGACAAGAATAGAGAAAAAACAATGAAAAGGGATCAACAAAAGCTCCAAGAAATATGGGATTATGTAAAGAGACAAAATCTAAGACTGACTGGGGTACCTGAAAAGATGGGGAGAATGGAACCAATTTGGACAACGTATTTCAGGATATTATCCAGGAGAACTTTTTCAACTTAGCTAGACAGGCCAGCATTCAAATTCAGGAAAGGCAGAGAATCCCAGTAAGATACTCCAAGAGGAGATCATCACCGAGACACATAATTGTCAGATTCTCCAAGGTCCAAATGAAAGAAAAAATGTAAAGGACAGCCAGAGAGAAAGCCCAGGTAACCTACAAAGGGAAGCCCATCATAGTAACAGTGAATCACAAATGATCTTCCATTCATAATTGCTACAAAAAAGGATAAAACACCTAGGAATACAGCTAACAAGGGAAGTAAAGGACCTTTTCAAGGAGAACTACAAACCACTGCTCAAAGAAATCAGAGATTACACAAACAAATGGAAAAACATTCCATGCTCACAGATAGGAAGAAACAATATCATTACAATGGTCATACTGCCAAAAGTAATTTATAGATTCAATGTGATTCCCATTAAATTACCATCAATATTCTTCACAGACTTAGAAAAACCTATTTTAAAATTTATATGGAACCAAAGAAGAGCCCGAATAGCCAAGAAAATACTAAGCAAGCTGAACAAGCTTCATGCATCATGCTAGTCGACTTCAAACTATACTCCAGGGCTACAGTAACCAAAACAGCACGGTACTGGTGGAAAAACAGACTGAAACGAACAGAATACAGAACCCAGAAATAAGACTGTACACCTACAGCCATCTGAACTTTGATAAAGCTGACAAAAACAAGCAACAGGGAAAGGATTCCCTATTTAACAAACAATGCTGGGAGAACTGGCTAGGAATATGCAGAAAATTGAAACTGAAACCTTTAGAATGTAGGCATGGACAAAGATTTCATGATGAAGACACCAAAAGCAATTTCAACAAAAGAAAAGCAGTTAACAAATGTGATCTAATTAAACTAAAAGCTACTGCAAAAGAACTCTCAAAAGAGTAAACAGACAACCTACAGAATGGGAGAAAATATTTGTAAACTCTGCATCTGACAAAGCTCTAATATTCAGCATCTGTAAGGAACTTTAACAAACTTACAAGAAAAAACACCATTGAAAAGTGGGCAAAGGACATGAACAGACATTTTTCTTTTTTTATTTTTTAATTATACTTCAAGTTCTAGGGTACATGTGCACAACGTGCAGGATTGTTACATATGTATACATGTGCCATGTTGGTGTGCTGCACCCATTAACTCGTCATTTACATTGGGTATATCTCTTAATGCTATCTCTCCCCTCTCCCC
Organism: Homo sapiens; assembly: GCF_000001405.40. NCBI lineage: Eukaryota > Metazoa > Chordata > Mammalia > Primates > Hominidae > Homo > Homo sapiens. The sequence goes on along the minus strand of NC_000023.11, from coordinate 57,869,150 downwards.
CTGCCCCACAACAGGCCCCGGTGTGTGGTGTTCCCCTTCCTATGTCCAAGTGTTCTCATTGTTCAATTCCCACCTATGAGTGAGAACATGCGGTGCTTGGTTTTTTGTCCTTGCGATAGTTTGCTGAGAATGATGGTTTCCAGCTTCATCCATGTCCCTACAAAGGACATGAGCTCATCCTTTTTATGGCTGCATAGTATTCCATGGTGTATATGTGCCACATTTTCTTAATCCAGTCTTATCATTGATGGACATTTGGGTTGGTTCCAAGTCTTTGCTATTGAGAATAGTGATGCAATAAACATACGTGGGCATGTGTCTTTATAGCAGCATGATTTATAATCCTTTGGGTATATACCCAGTAATGGCATGGCTGGGTCAAATGGTGTTTCTAGTTCTAGATCCTTGCAAAATCGCCAAACTGTCTTCCACAATGGTTGAACTAGTTTACAGTCCCACCTACAGTGTAAAACTGTTCCTATTTCTCTGCATCCTCTCTAGCACCTGTTGTTTCCTGACTTTTTAATGATCACCATTCTAACTGGTGTGAGATGGTATCTCATTGTGGTTTTGATTTGCATTTCTCTGATGGCCAGTGATGATGAGCATTTTTTCATCTGTCTATTGGCTGCATAAATGTCTTCTTTTGAGAAGTGTCTGTTCATATCCTTTGCCCACTTTTTGATAGGGTTGCTTCCTTTTTTCTTGTAAATTTGTTTGAGTTCATTGTAGATTCTGGATATTAGCCCTTTGTCAGATGAGTAGATTGCAAAAGTTTTCTCCCATTCTGTAGGTTGCCTGTTCATTCTGAGGATAGTTTCTTTTGCCATGCAGAAGCTCTTTAGTTTAATTAGATCCCATTTGTCAATTTTGGATTTTGTTGCCATTGCTTTTGGTGTTTTAGTCATGAAGTCCTTGCCCATGCCTATGTCCTGAATGGTATTGCCTAGGTTTTCTTCTAGGGGTTTTATGGTTTTAGGTCTAATATTTAAGTCTTTGATCCATCTTGAATTAATTTTTGTATAAGGTGTAAGGAAGGGATCCAGTTTCAGCTTTCTACATATGGCTAGCCAGTTTTCCCAGCACCATTTATTAAATAGGGAATCCTTTCCCCATTTCTTGTTTTTGTCAGGTTTGTCAAAGATCAGAAGGTTGTAGATGGGTGGTATTATTTCTGAGGGCTCTGTTCTGTTCCACTGGTCTATATCTCTGTTTTGGTACCAGTACCATGCTGTTTTGGTTACTGTAACCTTGTATAGTTTGAAGTCAGGTAGCATGATGCCTCCAGCTTTGTTCTTTTGGCTTAGGATTGACTTGGCAATGTGGGCTCTTTTTTGATTCCATATGAACTTTAAAGTTGTTTTTTCCAATTCTGTGAAGAAAGTCATTTGTAACTTGATGGGGATGGCATTGAATCTATAAATTACCTTGGAGAGTATGGCCATTTTCACCATATTGATTCTTCCTATCCATGACCATGGAATGTTCTTCCATTTGTTTGTGTCCTCTTATATTTCTTTGAGCAGTGATTTGTAGTTCTCCTTGAAGAGGTCCTTCACAACTCTAGTAAGTTGGATTCCTATTTATTTTGTTCTATTTGAAGCAATTGTGAATGGGAGTTCACTCATGATGTGGCTCTCTGTTTCTCTGTTATTGGTGTATAAGAATGCTTGTGATTTTTGCACATTGATTTTGTATCCTGAGACTTTGCTGAAGTTGCTTATCAGCTTAAGGAGATTTCGGGCTGAGACAATGGGGTTTTCTAAATATACAATCATGTCATCTGCAAACAGGGACAATTTGACTTCCTCTTTTCCTAATTGAATACCCTTTATTTCTTTCTCCTGTCTGATTGCCCTGGCCAGAACTTCCAACACTATGTTGAATAGGAATGGTGAGAGAGGGCCTCCCTGTCTGGTGCCGGTTTTCAAAGGAAATGCTTCCAGTTTGTGCCCATTCAGTATGATATTGGCTGTGGGTTCATCATAAATAGCTCTTATAATTTTGACATACGTCCCATCAATACCTAATTTATTGAGAGTTTTTAGCATGAAGGGTTGTTGAATTTTGTCAAAGGCCTTTTCTGTATCTATTGAGATAATCATGTGGTTTTTGTCTTTGGTTCTGTTTATATGCTGGATTACATTTATCGATTTGTGTATGTTGAAACAGCCTTGCATCCCAGGGATGAAGCCCACTTGATCATTGTGGATAAGCCTTTTGCTGTGCTGCTGGATTCAGTTTGCCAGCATTTTGTTGAGGATTTTTGCCTCAATGTTCATCAGGGATATTGGTCTAAAATTCTCCTTTTTTGTTGTGTCTCTGCCAGGCTTTGGTATCAGGATGTTGCTGGTCTCATAAAATGAGTTAGGGAGGATTCTCTCTTTTTCTATTGATTGGAATAGTTTCAGAAGGAATGGTACCAGCTCCTCCTTGTACCTCTGGTAGAATCTGGCTGTGAATCCGCCTGGTCCTGGACTTTTTTTTGGTTGGTAGGCTATTAATTATTGCCTCAATTTCAGAGCCTGTTATTGGTCTATTCAGGGATTCAACTTCTTCCTACTTTAGTCTTACCAGGTTGTATGTGTCCAGGAATTTATCGATTTCTTCTAGATTTTCTAGGTTATTTGCATAGAGATGTTTATAGTATTCTCTGATGGCAGTTTGTATTTCTGTGGGATCGGTGGTTATATCCCCTTTATCATATTTTATTGCATCTAATTGGTTCTTCTCTCTTTTCTTCTTTATTAGTCTTGCTAGTGGTCTATCAATTTTGTTGATCTTTTCAAAAAACCAGCTGCTGGATTCACTGATTGTTTTGAAGGGTTTTTTGTGTCTCTATCTCCTTCGCTTCTGCTCTGATCTTAGTTATTTCTTGCCTTCTGCTAGATTTTGAATGTGTTTGCTCTTGCTTCTCTAGTTCTTTTAATTGTGATGTTAGGGTGTCAATTTTAGATCTTTCCTGCTTTCTCTTCTGGGCATTTAGTGCTATAAATTTCCCTCTACACACTGCTTTAAATGTGACCCAGAGATTCTGGTATTTTGTGTCTTTGTTCTCATTGGTTTCAAAGAAGTTATTTATTTCTGCCTTCATTTAGTTATGTACCCAGTAGTCATTCAGGAGCAGGTTGTTCAGTTTCCATGTAGTTGAGCAGTTTTGAATGAGTTTCTTAATCCTGAGTTCTAATTTGATGGCACTGTGGTCTGAGAGACAGTTTGTTATAATTTCGTTGTTTTACATTTGCTGAGGAGTGCTTTACTTCCAAATATGTGGTCAATTTTGGAATAAGTGCGATTTGGTGCTGAGAAGAATGTGTATTCTGTTGATTTGTGGTTAAGAGTTCTGTAGATGTCTATTAGGTCCACTTGGTGCAGAGCTGAGTTCAATTCCTGGATATCCTTGTTAACTTTCTGTCTCGTTGATCTGTCCAATGTTGACAGTGGTGTGTTAAAGTCTCCCATTATTATTGTGTTGGAGTCTAAGTCTCTTTGTAGGTCTCTAATGACTTGCTTTATGAGTCTAGGTTCTCCTGTTTTGGGGTGCATATATATTTAGTATAGTTAGCACTTCTTGTTGAATTGATCCCTTTACCCTTATGTAATGGCCTTGTCTCTTTTGATCTTTGTTGGTTGAATGTCTGTTTTATCAGAGACTAGGATTGTGACCCCTGCCTTTTTTTTTATTTTCCATTTGATTGGTAGATCTTCCTCCATCCCTTTATTTTGAGCCTATTTGTGTCTCTGCACATGAGATGGGTCTCCTGAATACACCACACTGATGGGTCTTGAATGTTTATCCAATTTGCCAGTCTGTGTCTTAATTGGAGCATTTAACCCATTTACATTTAAGGTTAATATTATTATGTGTGAATTTGATTCTTTCATTATGATGTTAGCTGGTTATTTTGATCGTTATTTGATGCAGTTTCTTCCTAACCTCGATGCTCTTTAAAATTTGGCATGTTTTTGCAGTGGTTGGTACTGGTTGTTCCTATGTTTAGTGCTTCCTTCAGGAGCTCTTGTAGGGCAGACCTGGTGATGACAGAATCTTTCAGCATTTGCTTATCTGTAAGGATTTTATTTCTCCTTCACTTACGAAGCTTAGTTTGGCTGGATATGAAATCCTGGGTTGAAAATTATTTTCTTTAAGAATGTTGAGTATTGGCCCCCACTCTCTTCTGGCTTGTAGAGTTTCTGCCGAGAGATCTGCTGTTAGTCTGATGGACTTCCCTTTGTGGGTAACCCGACCTTTCTCTCTGGCTGCCCTTAACATTTTCTCCTTCATTTCAACTTTGGTGAATCTGACAATTATGTGTCTTGGAGTTGCTCTTCTTGAGGAATATCTTTGTGACATTCTCTGTATTTCCTGAATTTGAATGTTGGCATGCCTTGCTAAGTTGGAGAAGTTCTCCTGGATAATATCCTGCAGAGTGTTTTCCAACTTGGTTCCATTCTCCCCATAACTTTCAAGTACACAAATGAGATGTAGATTTGGTCTTTTCACATAGTCCCATATTTCTTGGAGGCTTCGTTCATTTCTTTTTACTCTTTTTTATCTAAACTTCTCTTCTCGCTTTATTTGATCTTCAATCACTGATGCCCTTTCTTCCAGTTGATCAAATCAGCTACTGAAGCTTGTGCATTCGTCACATAGTTCTCGTGCCGTGGTTTTCAGCTCCATAAGGTCATTTAAGGACTTCTCTACACTGGTTTTTCTGGTTAGCCATTCGTCTGATCTTTTTTCAAGGTTTTTAGCTTCTTTGCGATGGGTGCGATCTTCCTCCTTTATCTCAGAGAAGTTTAATCATCTGAAGCCTTCTTCTCTCAACTTGTCAGAGTCATTCTCCATCCAGTTTTGTTCCATTGCTGGTGAGGAGCTGTGTTCCTTTGGAGGGGGAGAGGCACTCTGATTTTTAGAATTTTCAGTTTTTCTTTTCTGTTTTTTCCCCATCTTTGTGGTTTTATCTACCTTTGGTCTTTGATGATTGTGATGTACAGATAGGATTTTGGTGTGGATGTCCTTTCTGTTTGTTAGTTTTCCTTCTAACCATCAGGGCCCTCAGCTGCAGGTCTGTTGGAGTTTGCTGGAGGTGCAATCCAGACACTGTTTGCCTGGGTATCAGCAGCAGAGGCTGCAGAACAGCGAATATTGCTGAACAGCAAATGTTGCTGCCTGATCGTTCCTTTGGAAGCTTCATCTCGGAGGGGTACCCAGCCTTGTGAGGTGTCAGTCTGCCCCTACTGGGGAGTGTCTCTCAGTTAGGCTACTCGGGTGTCAGGGACCCACTTGAGGAGGCAGCCTGTCTGTTCTCAGATCTAAAACTCCATGCTGGGAGAACCACTGCTCTCTTCAAAGCTGTGAGATAGGAACATTTAGGTCTGCAGAGGATTTTGCTGCCTTTTGTTCGGCTATGCCTGCCCCCAGAGGTGGAGTCTACAGAGGCAGGCAGGCCTCCTTGAGTTGCGGTGCGCTCTACCCAGTTCAAGCATCCCGGCTGCTTTGTTTACCTTCTCAAGCCTCAGCAATGGCAGGCACCCCTCCCCCAGCCTCACTGCCACCTTGCAGTTGGATCTCAGACTGCTATGCTAGCAATGAGTGAGGCTCTGTGGGTGTGGGACCCTCCTAGCCATGCACAGGATATAATCTCCTGGTGTGCCGTTTGCTAAGACCATTGGAAAAGCACAGTATTAGGGTGGGAGTGACCTGATTTTCCAGGTGTCATCTGCCACAGCTTCCCTTGGCTAGGAAAGGGAATTCCCTGACCCCTTTGCCTCACCCTGCTTTGGCTCACGCTCAGTGAGCTGCACCCACTGTCCTGCACCCACTGTCCAACAAGCCCCAGTGAGATGAACCTGGTACCTCAGTTGGAAATGCAGAAATCACCTGTCTTCTGCATCGCTAATGCTGGGAGCTGTAGACTGGAGCTGTTCCCATTCGGCCATCTTGGAACCGCCCTTCGATACTTATAATTGTAATAATCTATTGCTGGATTGATGACTTTTTTATTACGTAGTGATCTACTTTGTCTCTTTTTACAGTCTTTCACTTGTGGTATATTTTATCTTATATAAGTATAGCTACACCTGCTCTTTTTGGTTTCCATTTACATGGAATAGCTTTTTTCCATTTCTTCATTTTCTGTTTATGTGTGCATCTGTAAGTGAAGTGAGTTTCTTGTAGGCAGTTGTGTCTTAGTTTTCTTTTTTTTTTTAAGCCCATGCAGCCACTCTATGGCTGTTAATGGAGATATTCATTTACATTCAATGTCATTATTGATAGGTAAGGACTTAATTCTGCCATTTTATTACTTTACTCTGTTCATTTTGGAGATTTTCTATTGATTTCTTCCTTTCTTACTGACTTGTGATTAAATTTTATTTTGGATTTGGGACTACATGTGCACATTTGACATAGAAAGATATTGCATGATGTTTGCGGTACCCCAAATCTCATCACCCAGATAGTGTGCATAGTACCCAACAGGTAGTTTTTCAACCCATGCTCACATCTGTCCCTCCCGCTATAGTAATCCCTAGTGTTTTTTGTTCCCATTTTTATGTCCATTTGTACTCAGTGTTTAGCTCCCACTTGTAAGTGAGAACATGCACTATATTATTTTCTGTTCCTGAATAATTTGCTTAGGATAATCACCTCCAGCATGATCTATGTTGCTGCAAAGGATGTGATTTATTCTTTTTATGGCTGTGATGTATTTCATGGTGTATAAGTACCACAATTTCTTTATCCAGTCCACCATTTATGGTCACCTAGATTGGTTTTGTATTATTCCTATTATGAGTAACACTGCAATAAACATAGGAGTGTACATACCTTTTTGGAAGAACAATTTACTTTCCTTTGGTTGTATACCCAGTCATGGGATTGTTAGGTTGAATTCTAGCTCCGTTTTAAGTTGAGAAATCTCCAAACTGCTTTTGCAGTGGCTGGACTAGTTTACGTCTTTACCAACAGTGTGTAAGCATGTTTTTGTTTGCAGCCTTGCCAGCATCTGTAATTTTTTGACTTTTTAATATTAGCCATCTGACTGGTTGGAGCTAGTATCTCATTATAGTTTTTATTTGCATTTCTCTGATGATTGATGATGATAAGCGTTTTTTTGTGTTTGTTGGCTGCTTGTATGTCTACTTTTGAGAAATTTCTTTTCATATCTTTTGTCCATTTTTTAAAAGGGGTTGTTTTTTTGCTTGTTGATTTGTTTATGTTCCTTATAGATTCCGAATATTAGTCCATCTTCAGATGCATAGTTTGAAAGTATTTTCTCCCATTTTGTTTTCTGTTTACTCTGTTGATTATTTCTTTTGCTGAATGCTCTTTAGTTTAATTAAATCTCACATGTCAGTTTTTGTTTTGGTGCAATTACTTTTGAGAATTAGCTAAAAATTCTTTGCCAAGGCTGATGTTGAGAGGTTATTTTTTTTTATTATACTTTAAGTTTTAGGGTACATGTGCACAATGTGCAGGTTTGTTACATATGTATACATGTGCCATGTTGGTGTGCTGCACCCATTAACTCGTCATTTAACATTAGATATATCTCCTAATGCGATCACTCCCCCTTCCCCCCACCCCACAACAGACCGCGGAGTGTGATGTTCCCCTTCCTGTGTCCATGTGTTCTCATTGTTCAATTCCCACCTATGAGTGAGAACATGTGGTGTTTGAGAGGTTATTGCGTAGGTTTTATTCTTGGATTTTTATAGTACTTGGTCTTACATTTAAATATTTTATCCATTTTGCATTAATTTTTGTACGTGGTGAAATATATGAGTCCAGTTTATTTCTTCTGGATATTGCTAGCCCGTTATTTCAACACCATTTATTGAATAGCCAGTTCTTGCCCCATTGCTTTTTTTTTTTTGGTCAGACTTCTTGAAAATCAGGTGTTGGTAGGTGTGTGGCATTCTTTCTGGGTTCTCTATTTTGTTCCATTGGTCTATGTTGTCTGTTTTTGTACCAGTACCATGCTGTGGCCTTGTAGTATAGTGTTTTTTTATTATAATTTAAGTTCTGGTATACATGTGCAGAACATGCAGGTTTGTAACATAGGTATACACATGCCATGGTGGTTTGCTGCACCCATCAACCTGTCATCTACATTAGGTAATTCTCCTAATGCTAGCCTTCCCCTAGCCCCCAACTCACTGACAGGCCCCAGTGTGTAATGTTCCCTTCCCTGTGTCCATGTGTTCTCATTGTTCAACTCCCACTTATAAGTGAGAACATGCAGTGTTTGGTTTTCTATCCCTTTGTTAGTTTGCTGAGTATGGTGGTTTCCAGCTTCATCCATGTCCCTGCAAAGCTCATGAACTCATTTTTATGGCTGTGTAGTATTCCATGGTGTATATGTGCCACATTTTCTTTATCCAGTCTATCATTGATGGGCATTTGGATTGATTCCAAGTCTTTCCTATTGTGAACAGTGCTGCAATAAGCATACATGTGCATGTGTCTTTATAGTAGAATGATTTATAATTCTTTGGCTATATACCCAGTAATGGGTTTGCTGGGTCAAATGGTATTTCTGGTTCTAGATTCTTGTTGAATTGCCACACTATCTTCCACAATGGTTAAACTAATTTACACTCCCACCAACAGTGTAAAAGCATTCCTGTTTCTCCACATCCTCTCCAGCATCTGTTGTTTCCTGACTTTTTAATGATCACCATTCTAACTTGCGTGAGATGGTATCTTATTGTGGTTTTGATTTGCATTTCTCTCATGACCACTGATGATGAGCTTTTTTCATATGTTTCTCAGCTGCATGAATGTCTTCTTCTGAGAAGTGTCTGTTTATATATTTCACCCACTTTTTGATGGGATTGTTCGTTTTTTTTTTCTTGTAAATTTGTTTAAGTTCCTTGTACATTCTGGATATTAGCCCTTTGTCAGATGGATAGATTGCAAAAAATTTCTTCCATTTTGTAATTTGCATTTTCACTCTAATGATAGTTTATTTTGCTTTGCAGAGCTCTTTAGTTTAATTAGATACCATGTGTCAATTTTGGCTTTTGTTGCCATTGCTTTTGCTGTGTTAGTCATGAAGTCTTTGCCAATTCCTATGTCCTGAATGGTGCTGCCAAGGTTTTCTTCTAGGTTTTTTTATGGTTTGGGTCATATATTTAAGATTTTAATCCATCTTGAGTTAATTTTTTATAAAGTGCAAGAAATGGGTCCAGTTTCAGTTTTCTGCATATGGCTGGCCAGTTTTCTCAACACCATTTATTAAATAGGGAATCCTTTCCCCATTGCTTGTTTTTGTCAGGTTTGTCAAAGATCAGATGGTTGTAGATGTGTGGCGTTATTTCTGAGGCCTCTGTTCTGTTCCATTGGTCTATATATCTGTTTTGGTACCAGTACCATGCTTTTTTGGTTACTGTAACCAGGTAGTATAGTTTGAAGTCAGGTGGCATGATGTGTCCAGCTTTGTTCTTTTTGCTTAGGATTCTCCTGGCTATATGGGTTTTGTGTGTGTGTGTGTGTGTGTGTGTGTGTGGTTCCTTATGAAATTTAAAGTAGTTTCTTCAAATTCTGTGAAGAAAGTAAATGGTAGCTTGATGGGGATAGCATTGAATTTATAAATTACTTTCAGCAATATGGCCATTTTCACAATATTGATTCTTCTTATCCATGAACATGAAATGTTTTTCCATTTGTTTGTGTCCTCTCTTATTTCCTTGAGCAGTGGTTCCTAGTTCTCTTTGAAGAGGTCCTTCACATCCCTTGTAAGTTTTATTCCTAGGTATTTTATTCCCTTTGTAGCAATTGTGAATGGGAGTTCACAGATGATTTGGCTCTCTGTTGGTCTATTATTTGTGTATAGGATTGCTTTTGATTTTTGCAAATTAATTTTGTATACTGAGACTTTGCTGAAGTTGCTTATCAGCTTAAGGAGATTTGGGGCTGAGATGGTGGGGTTTTCTAAATATACAATCATGTCATCTGCAAACAGAGACAGTTTGACTTCCTCTCTTCCTATTTGAATACCCTTTATATCTTTCTCTTGCCTGATTGCCCTGGCCAGAACTTCCAATACTATGTTGAATAAGAGTGGTGTGAGAGAGTATCCTTGTCTTGTGCTGGTTTTCAAAGGGAATGCTTCCAACTTTTGCCCGTTCAATATGATATTGGCTGTGGGTTTGTCATAAATAGCTCTTACTATTTTGAGATACGTTCCATCAATACCTAGTTTATTGAGAGTTTATTGCATGATGGGGTGTTGAATTTTATTGAAGGCCTTTTCAGCACCTATTAAGGTAATCATTTGGTTTTTGTCATTGGTTCCGTTTATGTGATGGATTACGTTTATTGATTTGCATATGTTGAGCCAGCGTTGCATCCCAAGGATGAAGCCTACTTGTTCGTGGTAGGTACGCTTTTTGATGTTGTGCTACTCGATTTGGTTTTCCAGTATTTTATTGAAGATTTTCACATCGATGTTCATCAGGGATATTAGTCTGAATTTTTGTTCTTGTTGTTGTGTCTCTGCCAGGTTTGGTAACAGGATGATGCTGGCCTCATAAAATGAGTTAGGGAGGAGTCCCTCTTTTTTTATTGTTTGAAATAGTTTCAGAAGAAATGGTACCATCTCCTCTTTGTACCTCTGGTAGAATTTGACTGTGAATTCATCTGATCCTGGGCTTTTTTTCTTTCGTAGATTATTAATTACTGCCTCAATTTCACTTGTTATTGGTCTATTCAGGGATTTGACTTCTTCCTGGTTTTGAAATGGGAGGATGTATGCGTCCCGGAATTTATCAATTTCTTCTAGATTTTCTAGTTTATTTACATAGAGGTGTTTATAATATTCTCTCATGGTAGTTTGTATTTCTGTGGGATCAGTGGTGATATCCCCTTCATCATTTTTATTGTGTCTATTGATTCTTTTCTCTTTTTTCCTTTATTAGTCTGGGTAGTGGTCTATTTTGTTAATCTTTCTAAAAACCAGCTCCTGGATTCATTAACTATTTGAAGCATGTTTCTTGCCTCTGTCTCCTTCAGTTCTGCTCTGATCTTAGTTACTTCTTCTGCTAGCTTTTGAATTTGTTTGCTCTTCTTCTCTAGTTCTTTTAATTGTGATGTTAGGGTGTCGATTTTAGATCTTTCCTGCTTTCCCTTGTGGACATTTAGTGCTATTAATTTCTCTCTAAACAGTGCTATAGCTGTGTCCCAGCAATTCTGGTACATTCTGTCTTTGTTCTCATTGGTTTCAAAGAAGTTATTTATTTCTGCCTTCATTTTGTTTTTTACCCAGTAGTCATTCAGGAGCAGGTTGTTCTGTCTCTATGTAGTTGTGCAGTTTTGAGTGAGTTTCTTAATCCTGACTTCTAATTTGTTTGCACTGTCACCTGAGAGACTGTTTGTTATGATTCTCATTCTTTTGCAGTTGTTGAGGAGTGTTTTACTTCCAATTATGTGATCAATTTTAGAATAAGTGCGATGTGGTGAGAAAAATATATATTCTGTTGATTTGGGGTGGAGAGTTCTGTAGATGTCTATTAGGTCTGCTTGGTCCAGAGCTGTGTTTAAATCCTGAATATCCTTGTTAATTTTCTTTCTCATTGATTTGTCTAATATTGACAGTGGGGTGTTAAAGTCCCCCACTCTTGTGTGGGAGTCTAAGTCTCTTTGTAGGTCTCTAAGAGCTTGCTTTATGAATCTGTGTGCTCCTGTATTGGGTGCATATATATTTGGTATGGTTAGCTCTTCTTGTTGCATTGATACCTTACCATTATGTAATGCCCTTCTTTGTCTTTTTTGATTTTGTTGGTTTAAAGTCTGTTTTATCAGAGACTAGGATTGGAACCCCTGCTTTTTTTTTTCTTTCTATTTGCCTGGTAAATATTCTTCCATCTCTTTATTTTGAGCCTATGTGTGTCTTTGCATGTAGATGGGTCTCCTGAATACAGCTCACCGATGAGCCTTGACTATCCAATTTGCCAGTCTGTGTCTATTAATTGTAGCATTTAGCCCATTTACATTTAAGGTTATTATTGTTATGTGTGAATTTGATCCTGTCATTATGATGCTAGCTGGTTATTTTTGCCTGTTAGTTGATGCAGTTTATTCATAGTATCAATGGTCTTTACAATTCGGTATGTTATTGCTGTGGCTGATACTGTTTTTTCCTTTCCATATTTAGTGCTTCCTTCAGGAGCTCTTTTAAAACAGTCCTGGTGGTGACAAAATCTCTCAGCATTTGATTGTCTGTAAAGGATTTTATTTCTCCTTCAGTTTTGAAGCTTAGTTTGGCTGGATATGAAATTCTGAGTTGAAAATTCTTGTCTTTAAGAATGTTGAATATTGGGCCCACTCTCTTCTGACTTGTAGGGTTTCTGCAGAGAGATCTGCTGTTAGTCTGATTGGTTTCCCCTTGTGGGCATTCCGACCTTTCTCTCTGGCTGCCCTTAAGATTTTTTCCTTCACTTCAACCTTGGTGAATCTGACGATTCTGTGTCTTGGGGTTGCCCTTCTCGAGGAGTGTCTTTGTGGTGTTCACTGTATTTCCTGAATCTGAATGTCAGCCTGTTCTGCTAGGTTGGGGAAGTTCTCCTGGTAATATCCTGAAGAGTGTTTTCCAACTTGGTTCCATTTTCCTTGTCACTTTCAGGTACACCAATCAAACGTAGGTTTGGTCTTTTCACATAGTCCCATATTTCTTGGAGGATTTGTTTGTTCCTTTTCATTCTTTTTTCTTTAATCTTGTCTTCATGCTTTATTTCATTAAGTTGATCTTCAATCTCTGCTATGCTGTCTTTTGCTTCATCAATTCAGCTATTGATACTTGTATATGCTTCACGAAGTTCTTATGCTGTGTTTTTCAGCCTCGTCAGGCCATTTATGTTCTTCTCTTAACTGGTTATTCTAGTTAGAAATTCCTCTAACCTTTTTTCAAGGTTCTGAGCTACCTTCCGTTGGGTTAGAACATGCTCTTTTAGCTCAGAGGAGTTTGTTTTTACCCACCTTTTGAAGTTTACTCCTGTCAATTCGTCAAACTCATTCTCTGTCCAGTTTTGCTCCAGTGCTGGTGAGGAACTGTGATCCTTTGAAGGAGAAGAGGCATTCTGCGTTTGTAAATTTTCAGCCTTTTTGCGCTGGCTTTTCCTCATCTTCAGGATCTATCTACCTTTGGTCTTTGATGGTGGTGACTTTCGAATGGGGTTTCTGTGTGGACATCCTTTTCGTTGCTGTTGATGCTACTCCCTTCTATTTGTTAGTTTTTCTTCTAACAGTCAGGGCCCTCTGCTGCAGGTCTGCTGGAGTTTTCTGAAGGTCCACTCAAGACCCTAGTTTCCTGGGTATCACGAGCGGAGGCTGCAGAACGGCAAAGATTGCTTCCTTTTCCTTCCTCTAGAAGCTTTGTCCCAGAGGGGCACCTGCCAGATGCCAGCTGGAGCTCTCCAGTATGAGGTGTCTCTTGGCCCCTGCTGGGAGATGTGTCCCAGTCAGGAGGCACGGGGATCAGGGACCCACTTGAGGAGGCAGTTTGTCCCTTAGCAGAGCTCGAGCACTGTGCTGGGGATTCACTGCTCTCTTCAGAGCTGGAAAGCAGGAACGTTTAAGTCTGCTGAAACTGCACCCACAGCTGCCCCTTCCCTCAGGTGCTCTTTCCCAGGGAGTTGGGCGTTTTGTCTATAAGCCCCTGAATGGGGCTGCTGCCTTTCTTTCAGGGATGCCCTACCCAGAGAGGAGGAATCTATAAAGGCAGTCTGGCTATAGCGGCTTTGCCAAGCTGCAGTGGGCTCCGCCCCATAGTATAAAGTCAGATAGTGTGATGCCTCAGACTTTGTTCTTTTTGCTTAGGATTGCTTTGGCTATTAAGACTCTTATGGTATTTATATTAATTTTAGAATAATTTTGTCTAATTGTCTAAAAATGTCATTGGTAATTTGATAGGAATAGCGTTGAATCTGTAAACTGTTTTGGGCAGTGTGGCCATTCTCATGATATTGAGTCTTCCTATTCATGAGCATGAAGTGTTTTTTGCTTGCTTGTTTGTTTTTAAGACAGAGTTTCATTCTGTCACCCAGGCTGGAGCGCAGTGGCACAATCTCGGCTCACTGCAACCTCTGCCTCCTGTGTTCAAGTGATTCTTCTGCCTCAGCTTCCCAAGTAGTTGGGACTACAGGCGTGCACCACCACACCCAGCTAATTTTTGTATTTTTAGTAGAGACGGGGTTTCACCATATTGGCCAGGCTGGTTTCGAACTCCTGACCTCCTGATCCGCCTGCCTCACCCTCCTAAAGTGCTGGGATTACAGGCGTAAGCCACCATGCCCAGCTGTGGGTTTTTTTTTCCATTTATTTGTGTTATCTCTGATTTCCTTCAACAGTGTCTTGTCATTCTATTTGTTGAAGTCTTTCAGCTCCCTTGTTATCTGTATTCCTAGATATTTCATTTATATTGTAGCTATTATAATTGGGATTATGCTATTGATTTTACTCTCAGCTTGAATGTTATTGGTGTATAGACATGCTACTTATTTTGTGCATTGATTTTGTTTCCTAAAATTTTACTAAAGTCTTTACCAGTTCTAGGACTCTTTCAGTACAGTCTTTAGGGTTTTGTATGTATAGAATCATATTATTAGCAAAAAGAGATGGTTTGGCTTCCTTTCCAATTTGGATGGCTTTTATTTCTTTCTCTTGCATGATTTTTCTGGCTAGGACTTCCAATACTATATTTAGTAGGAGTGGTGAGAGTGGGCATCCTTGTCTTCTTCCAGTTGGCAGCATGTTTAATGCCTTGCTTTTTATTTTTAGTGTATCTATTATGGTTTTTGCTTTGTGATTACTATGATATAAGAAACATCTTATAGACGAAGGCATTGAGAGTGGACAGAGGGAAGACACAGATGCTGGGCTGAAGGGGGAGGAAGATTGGACCCTTCAGGGGTCTACTGTGCACGAGGACTCATTCCTGGCCCCCAACAGCTCTTAAACAGGAGCTGTTGAGCAAGCTTGTGGTGGCCTACTTTCACCAAAATCCTCTGGAATCCTGGCAGCAAGAGACCCCATGACCACCATGGACAATTGAGCTGGCAGAGAGAGCTCTTTGGAGAGGTGGTGTGGGCAGAACTCCATCTGGTGCAGAGCCCAGGGGGTTTGGTGTGGGACAGTGTGTGGTGGAGCATGTCCGAGAATGCCCATCCCCCAAGGCTCATCTTACCCCCCTAAGAGACTTTAGCTTTAGGGGAACTGTCGGACCTGCATAGTTCAGGACGATCTTGCCCATGAGATGGGGCTGCTCTGACCTGAGTGCCCCCCTATCTGCTAGTCCCTCCCAGGGCACCAGTCTGGCCATTATGGCTTACAGTCAAGCCTCAGATCTGCAGTTGTGGTGCCTCACAGAGACCCACATGATAGCTTCAGCACTGGCAGACTGTGCCTGACCATTGAAAAGCTCCAGCCAAATGACCTCCACACACCAGCCCACCCATGCCCTCACCCCACTGCTGCTTCCCCTATGCTGCTTTGCTGGCATGCACTGGCCCACAGTCATCTTCCACATTAATTTGCTGGTGCATGTACACATGGGTGGACTTCAACTCTCTTTCCCTGCTGGTGTACATGTGCATGTGCATTGCACTAAGCCACTGTTGCTGGCATAAGCACACCCTGCCCTGCCCCCAATTGTGCCACCATTGCCAATGTAAAGGTGCATAAGGAGACCAGCAGCCTCACCTGCCCCTTGCCACCATCATCACTGGCACATTAATGCATACAGAGACTGTCAGCTCCATGCCCATCAGTGCCCTGCTCCCATGTTGATACTGCCACAGGCAGGAATCTGTGCACAGAGACCAGCAGCCCCATGTCCCATTCTGTGTGGCTTCTGCTACTGGCATGAACATGTGCACAGAGGTTGCCATCCCTGTGTTCACCAGTGCCCTGCTTCATGCTGATACCACCACTGGTGCAAATGCAAACACAGATGCCTACGGTCCACCCCTCCACCACGGTGCTGCCATCACTGCCACTGCAAACATCCACATGGTGGCCAGCAACCCTGTGCACACCAATGCCCCCCCACAGCCAATGAGCAATCACACCACCACATTGCCATTGCTGCTGGTACATGAAAATGAGCATGGATCTAGGTAACACCAGATGACAAAGCAATTTGCCTGGTACCACCCATCGGAGTGTTTTGAACAGTGATCCAGGAACACCTAGGTCCCTCCCGCACAGCAGGTTTCTAACCTCAAGAGGCCAGAAAACAAAGCCAATGGCTTGATATTAGCGGGCCTAGAGTTAAAACATGCATTCCAGGCATCCTGAGCTCAGCCTTGGCGTCCTAAAATTTTCCAGAAATGTAGCCAGTTGGCTAAACCCACCTATACTACAATCAAATTCCCAGGGACATTAAGGAGGGTAGAAGAACAAAAAGCCCATCCAAAGGAAAGCAAATTCAGACTGAAAGAACATCAACCCACAAAGATGAGAAAGAACCATCACAAGAACTCTAGTAACTCAAAAAGCCAGAGTGTTTTTTTAACTCTAAATGGCTGAACTAGTTCCCCAACAATGGTTCTTAACCAGGCTGAAATGGCTGAAATGACAGATATAGAATGTCAGTAGAAATGAAGATTACTCATATCCAGGAGAACATCAAAACCCAATCCAAGGTTTCTAAGGAATAAAATAAAATAAGATGTAGGAAATAAAATGTGAAATGGACTTTATAAGAAAAAAATCCTGATAAGATGGAACTGAAAAACTCACTGCAAGAATTTCATTATACAATCACAAGTATTAGCAGTAGAATTGACCAAGCTGAGGGAAGAATCTCAGAATTAGAAGACTGGCTCTTTCAAATAACTCAGACAAAAATAAAGAAAAAAGAATAAAGAAGAAAGAACAAAACCTGAGAAATATGGGATTTTGTAAAGAGACCAAATTTATGACTCATTGGTGTCTCTGAAAGAGGAAACAAAGCAAGCAACTTGCAAAACACATTTTAGGATATTGTCCATGAAACATTTCTCTGCTAGATAGGACAACATTCAAACTTACTTAGGAAATGCAGAGAACCTCTATGAGATACTACAAAAGACAGCCACCCCCAAGACGTGTAATCATCAGATTCTCCAAGATCTAAATGAAAGAAAAAAATGTGAAGGTAGTTGAAGAGGTTGTTTACCTACAAATGGAATCTCATCAGGCTAACAGTGGACCTTTCAGCAGAAATCCTACAAGCCAGAAGGGATTAAGGGCCTATATTTAGCATTCTTTTTTTTTTTAATTATACTTTAAGTTTTAGGGTACATGTGCACATTGTGCAGGTTAGTTACTTATGTATACATGTGCCATGCTGCTGTGCTGCATCCACTAACTCGTCATCTAGCATTAGGTATATCTCCCAATGCTATCCTTCCCCCCTCCCCCCACCCCCCCACATTCCCCAGAGTGTGATATTCCCCTTCCTGTGTCCATGTGATCTCATTGTTCAATTCCCACCTATGAGTGAGAATATGCGGTGTTTGGTTTTTTGTTCTTGCGATAGTTTACTGAGAATGATGATTTCCAATTTCATCCATGTCCCTACAAAGGACATGAACTCATCATTTTTTATGGCTGCATAGTATTCCACGGTGTATATGTGCCACATTTTCTTAATCCAGTCTATCATTGTTGGACATTTGGGTTGGTTCCAAGTCTTTGCTATTGTGAATAATGCCGCAATAAACATACGTGTGCATGTGTCTTTATAGCGGCATGATTTATAGTCCTTTGGGTCTATACCCAGTAATGGGATGGCTGGGTCAAATGGTATTTCTAGTTCTAGATCCCTGAGGAATCACCACACTGACTTCCACAATGGTTGAACTAGTTTACAGTCCCACCAACAGTGTAAAAGTGTTCCTATTTCTCCACATCCTCTCCAGCACCTGTTGTTTCCTGACTTTTTAATGATCACCATTCTTAAAGAAAGGAATTTTCAACTGAGAATTTCTTATCCAGACAAACTAAGCTTCATGAGCAAAGGAGAATTAAGATCCATCTCAGACAAACAAATGCTAAGGGAATGAATTTCCACAAGACAAACCTTACAAGAAGTCCCGAAGTGATTGCTAAATATGGAAAGGAAACAACATTACTGGCCACTACAAAAACTCACTTAAGTACATAGACCAGTGACACTATAAAGCAACCACACAAACAAGTCTGCATAATAACCAGTTAACAACATGTTGACAGGATCAAATTTGCACATATGAATACTAACCTTGATTTCAAATGACCTAAATGCCCCAATTAAAAGGCACAGAGTGGCAACTTGGATAAATAAGCAAAACCCAGCATTCTGAATTTAAGAGACTCATCTCACAAGCAATGACATGCATAGATTCAAAGTAAAGGGATGGAGAATAATCTACCAAGCAAATAAAAAACAAACAAACAAATGAAAAACTTGGGTTTCTATTCTAATTCTAGGCAAACCAGACTTTCAAACAACAAAGATCATAAAAGACAAAAGGAGGCAGAGCAAGATGGTGGAATTGAAGGCTACACCAATTGTATTTCTATAAGGACACCAATTTACAACTATCTACACAGAGAAGACCCCTTCATGAGAACCAAAAATCAGGTGAGCCCTTGTAACACCTGATTTTAACTTCATATCACTGAAAGAGGCAAAGAAAATATAGAAAAAAAAACGCCTTAAGTTGCCAATGCCACCTCTCCCCAATCCCATCCTCCTGTCCCGGCAGTAGCAGCATGGTATAGAGATCATCTCTGGGTGCTGAGGGAGGGAGAACAGCAATTGTGAGGCATTGAACTCAGTGCTATCCTGTTAGAGCAGAAAGGAAAACCAGGCCAAACTCAGCCAACACTTGCACACAGAGGTAGTATTTAAACCAGCCCTTGCCAGAGAGGAATTGCTGATTCTAATGTTCTGAACTTGAGTACCCACAAACCTTACCACTAAAAGCCAAAGTGCTCTGGGTCTTTAAGTAAACATGAAAGGCATCTTCAGACATAAGGACTGCAAGTCTTAGACTAGTCCTAGGGTTGACCTGGGCCCAGAGACAGTGAACTGAGGGTGCGGTGTGGGTTATGTGACTTAATAAACCACCAGCTGGGGTTGCTAAGGGAGTGCTGGCATCATCCCTCCCCTAACCTCAGGCTGCACAGCTTGTGGCTCCAAAAAAGACATGCTTCTTCCTCATGAGGATAGGAGAGGAAAGAGTGGGAAGGACTTGGTCTTGCATCTTGGATACCAGCTTAGCTACAGCAAGATAGGGCACTGGTCAGAGTTGTCAGGTCCCCATTCCAGGCCCTCACTCCCAGGTGACATTTCTAGACACACTCTGGGACAGATGGGAACCTGCTGCCTTGAAGCGGGGGAAAAAACAGTCCTGGCAGCATTTATTACCCACTAAGTAAAGAGCCCTTGGGCCTTGAACAACCAGGTACTACACTGAGGGCCTTGGCTGAGCCTCGGAGACTTGCTAGCTTCAGATGAGATTCAGCACATTATCAGCTATGGTGGCTATGGGATGAAACTCCTGCTTAAGAAAGGGGGACTTTGTCTTGAACCTTACGTGCTAGAATGTCCACAGTGGGATAGAGAACCATCTGGGCTCTTGGGGTCACTCATGTCAGGAATTAACTCTGGGATGGCATCTCTGGACGTGCCCTGGCCCAGAGGGGAGCCCACTGCCCTCAAGGGTGAGCCCCAGGCCAGGAAGCATTCACCACAAGCTGACATAAAACTCCTTGGATCTTAAGAGAACATGAGTGGTAGTCTGGAAGAACTCCCCATGGACTTTGATGGTGGTGGCTATGGGGTGAGGCTCCTCTGCCTTTGGAAAGGGGAGGGAAGAGTGGAAAGGACTACCTCTTATGGTATGACTGCCAGCTCAGCTGCAGTACAATAGAACACCAGGAAGATGTCTAAGGTTTTTGACTCTAGTCCATGACACCCAGACAGCACTTCTGAGCCCACACAGGGTCTGGGGGAACTCACTGCCCTGAAACGAAGGACACAGACCTGGGTGGATTTACAATTGCTGACTGTAGAGCCCCAGGGCCTTGAGCAAACATAAACAGTAGCTAGGGAGTGGTTACAGCAGGCGTCGGGCAAATCTCAGTCCTGTGCTGGCTTCAGGTCTGACGCAGCATAGTCATAGTGTTGGTGGCCACAGGGGTGCTAATATGACTCCACCCTCAGCTTTAGGAGGCTCAAAACTGAGAGAGATACTCCATTTCTTTGGGAAAATTCAGGCTAGAGAACAAGATATCTGCCTGGTAATCCAGAGAATTTTTCATCTTTTTTCAAAATCATCAAGGCAATAACTCTATGAGTCTGCAAGAACTACAGTTTTATTAGGCTTGAGGTGCTCCTTAAAGCAGATGCTGCTTAGCTCTTGATACTCAAGTCCTTTCAAATATCTGGAAAGCCTTCCCAAAAATGATGGATACAAAGAAGACAAGATATAGAAGATTACAATAAATATCAAATTCTTCAATGCCCAGACACTGAAGAATGTCTACTAGCATGAACACCATCCAGGAAAACATGACCTCATCAGAGGAACTAAATAGGTAACCAGGAACTAATGCTGGATAAGCAGAGATATGTGACCTTTCAGAAAGGGAATTTGGTACAACTGGGTTCAGGGAACTCAAAGAAATTCAAGGTAGCACAGGCAAAATCAGAATTCCACAGATAAATTTAATAAGAGAATGAAATAATTGAAAAGAATCTAGCTGAAATTCTGGAGCTAAAGAAATGCAATTTGCATATTTAAGAATGCATCAGAGTCTTTTTTAATTATACTTTTAAGTTCTAGGGTACATGTGCAGATTGTGCAGGTTTGTTACGTAGGTATACACGTGCCATGGTGGTTTGCTGCACCCATCAACCTGTCATGTACATTAGGTATTTCTCCTAATGCTATCCCTCCCCCAGCCCCTACAACCTGACAGACACCGGTGTGTGATGTTCCCCTCCGTGTGTCCATGTGTTCTCATTGTTCAACTCCCACTTATGAGTGAGAACATGCGGTGTTTGGTTTTCTGTTCTGGTGTTAGTTTGCTGAGAATGATGGTTTCCAGCTTCATCCGTGTCCCTACAAATGACATGTCCCTCCAAAGGACACGCAGGTCTGTGTCCTTTCGTTCAGGGCAGTGAGATCCCCCACACCCTGTGTGGGTCCAGAAGTGCTGTCTGGGTGTCATGGACTACAGTCAATAACCTTAGAGATCTTCCTGGTGTTCTATTTTTTATGGCTGCACAGTATTTCATGGTGTATATGTGCCACATTTTCTTTATCCAGTCTATTATTGCTGGGCATTTGGGTTGGTTTCCAGTCTTTGCTATTGTGAACAGTGCCTCAATAAACTTACATGTGCATGTGTTTTTATGGTAGAATGATTTTTAATCCTTTTGATATACACCCAGTAATGGGATTGTTGCATCAAATGGTATTTCTGGTTCTAGATCCTTGAAGAATCACCACAGTGTCTTCTACAATGGTTGAACTAATTTACACTCCCACCAACAGTGTAAACATGTTCCTATTTCTCCACATCCTCTCCAGCATCTATCGTTTCCTGACTTTTTAATGATCACCATTCTAACTGGTGTGAGATGTAATCTCATTGTGGATTTGATTTGCATTTCTCTAATGACCAGTGATGATGAGCTTTTTTTTCATATATTTATTGGGTGGATAGATGTCTTCTTTTGAGAAGTATCTGTTCATATCCTTCACCCACTTTTTGATGGGGTTCTTTGTTTTTTTCTTGTATATTTGCTTAAGTTCTTTGTAGATTCTGGATATTAGCCCTTTGTCAGATGGATAGATTGCAAAAATTTTCTTCCATTCTGTAGGTTGCCTGTTCACTCTGATGATAGTTTCTTTTACTATGCAGAAGCTCTTTGGTTTAATTACATCCCATGTGTCGATTTTGGCTTTTGTTGCCACTGCTATTGGTGTTTTACTCTCAAAGTCTTTGCCCATGCCTATGTCCTGAATAGTATTGCCTAAATTTTCTTCTAGGGTTTTTATGGTTTTAGGTCTTACATTTAAGTTTTAATCTATCTTGAGTTAATTTTTGTATAAGGCATAACGAAAGGGTCCAGTTTCAGTTTTCTTCACATGGCTAGCCAGTTTTCCAACAGCATTTATTAAATAGGAAATCCTTTCCCCATTGCTTGTTTTTGTCAGGTTTTCCAAAGATCAGATGGTTGTAGATGTGTGGTGTTATTTCTTTGGGCTTTGTTCTGTTCCATTAGTCTATATATCTGTTTTGGTACCAGTACTATGCTGTTTTGGTTACTGTAACCTTGTAGTATAGTTTGAAGTCAGGTAGCGTGATGCCTCCAGCTTTGTTCTTTTTGCTTAGGATTGTCTTGGCTATACAGGGTTTTTTTATTTTAGTTCCATATGAAATTTAAAGTAGTTTTTTTCTAATTCTGTGAAGAAAGTCAATGGTAGCTTGATGGGGATAGCATTGAATCTGTAAACTATCTTGGGCAGTGTGGCCGTTTTTATAATATTGATTCTTTCTATCCATGAGAATGGAATGTTTTTCCATTTGTTTGTGTCCTCTCTTATTTTCTTCAGCAGTGGTTTGTAGTTCCCCTTGAAGAGGTCCTTCACATCCCTTGTAAGTTGGATTCCTAGGTATTTTATTCTCTTTGTAGCAATTGTGAATCAGAGTTCACTGATTATTTGGCTCTCTGTCTATTATTGGTGTATAGTAATGCTTGTGATTTTTGCAATTGATTTTTTATCCTGAGACTTTGCTGAAGTTGCTTATCAGGTTAAGGAGATTCTGGGCTGAGACAATGGTGTTTTCTAGATATACAATCATGTTGTATTGAAACTGAGACAATTTTACCTTCTCTCTTCCTATTTGAATATCTTTTATTTCTTTCGCTTGCCTGATTGTTCTGGCCAGAACTTCCAATACTATGTTGGTGAGAGAGGGCATCCTTGTCTTGTGCTGATTCTCAAAGGGAATGCTTCCAGCTTTTACCCATTCAGTATGATATTGGCTGTGGGTTTGTCATAAATACCTCTTATTATTTTGAGATGCATTCCATCAATACCTAGTTTATTGAGAGTTTATAGCATGAAGGGGTGTTGAGTTTTATCAAAGGCTTTTTCAGCATCTATTGAGACAATAATTTGGTTTTTGTCATTTGTTCTGTTTATGTGATGGATTATGTTTATTGATTTGTGTATGTTGAACCAGCCTTGCATCCCAGGTATGAAGCCAACTTGATTGTGGTGGATAAGCTTTTTGATGTGTCGCTGGATTCGGTTTCCCTGAATTTTATTGAGGATTTTTGCATTGATGTTGATCAGGGATATTGGCCTGAAATTTTCTTTTTTTGTTGTTGTGTCTCTGCCAGGTATTGGTATCAGGATGATGCTGGCTTCATAAAATGAGTTAGGGAGGAGTCCCTTTTTTTATTGTTTTTATAGTTTCAGCAGGAATGGTACCAGCTCCTCTTTGTCCTCTGGTAGAATTTGGCTGTGAATCCGTCTGGTTTCGGCATTTTTGTTTTGGTTGGTGGGCTATTAATTACTGCCTTAATTTCAGAACTTGTTACTGGTATATTCACGGATTTGACTTTTTCCTGGTTTAGGAATAAGAGGGTATATGTGTTCAGGAATTTATCCGTTTCTTCCATATTTTCTAGTTTATTTGCGTAGAGGTGTATTTTGTATTCTCTCATGGTAGTTTTTATTTCTGTAGGGTCAGTGGTGGTATCCCCCTTATCATTCTTTATTGTGTCTATTTGATTCTTCTCTCTTCTGTTCTTTATTTGTCTCACAAGAAGCCAATCTATTTTGTTGATCTTTTCAAAAAACTAGCTTCATTGATTTTTTGATGGGTTTTTCATGTCTCTATCTCCTTCAGTTATGCTGTAATCTTAGTTATTTCTTGACTTCTGCTAGCTTTTGAATTTGTTTGCTCTTGCTTCTCTAGTTCTTTTAATTGTGATGTTAGGGTGTCGATTTTAGATCTTTCCTGCTTTCTCTTGTGGGCATTTAGTGCTATAAATTACCCTCCATGCACTGCTTTAAATATGTCCCAGAGATTCTGGTATGTTGTGTCTTTGTTCTCATTTCTTTCAAATAGCTTATTTATTTCTGCCCCAATTTCATTGTTTACCCAGTAGTAATTCAGGAGCAGGTTATTCAGTTTCCATGTACTTGTGTGGTTTTGAGTGAGTTTCTTCATCCTGAGTTCTAATTTGATTGCACTGTGGTCTGAGAGACTGTTTGTTATGATTATCATTCTTTTGCATTTGCTGAGGAGTGTTTTACTTCCAATTATGTAGCCAATTTTAGAATAAGTACAATGTGGTGCTGAAATGAATGTATATTCTGTTGATTTGTGGTGGAGAATTCTTTAGCTGTCTATTAGGTCTGCTTGGTCCAGAGCTGATTTCAAGTCCTGAATATCCCAATTAAATTTTCTGTCTCATTGATCTGTCTATTATTGACAGGGCGGTGTTTGTTAAAGTCTCCCACTATTATTGTGTGGGAGTCTATATCTCCTTGTAGGTCTGTAAGAACTTGTCTTATGAATCTGGGTGCTTCTGTATTGGGTACCTATATACTTAGGATAGTTAGATCTGCTTGTTGCATTGATCCCCTTACCATTATGTAATGCCCTTCTTTGTCTTTTTTTAATCTTTGTTGGTTTCAAGTCTGTTTTATCGGAGACTAGTATTGCAACCCCTGGGTTTTTTTTTTCTTTCCATTTGCTTGGTAAATATTCTGTCATTCCTTTATTTTGAGCCTATGTGTCTCTTTGCATGTGAGATGGCTCTCCTGAATACAGCACACCGATGGGTCTTGACTCTTTATCCAGTTAGCCAGTCTGTGTCTTTTAATTGGGGAATTTAGCCCATTTACATTTAAGGTTAATATTATTATGTGTGAATTTGATCCTGTCATTATGATGCTAGCTTGTTATTTTGTCCAATAGTTGATGCAGTTTCTTCATAGTGTCAATGGTCTTTATAATTCGTTATGTTTTTGCAGGGGCTGGTACCGGTTGTTCCTCTCCGTGTTTAGTGCTTCCTTCAGGAGCTCTTGTAAGGCAGACCTGGTGGTGGCAAAATCTCTGAGAATTTGCTTATCTATAAAAGATTTTATTTCTCCTTTGCTTATGAAGCTTAGTTTGGCAAGATATGCAATTCTGGGTTGAAAATTCTTTTCTTAAAGAATGTTGACTATTGGCCCCCACTTTCTTCTGGCTTATAGAGTTTCTGCCAAGAGATCCACTGTTAGTCTGATGGGCTTCCCTTTGTGGGTCACCCCACCTTTCTATCTGGCTGCCCTTAACATTTTTTCCTTCATTTCAACCTTGGTGACTCTAATGATTATATGTCTTGGGGTTGCACTTCCCAAGGAGTGTCTTTGTGGTGTTCTCTGTATTTCCTGAAGTTGAATGTTGGCCTGTCTTGCTAGGTTGGGAAGTTCTCCTGGATAATATCATGAAGAGTGTTTTCCACCTTGGTTTCATTCTCCCCATCACTTTCAGGTACACCAATCAAATGTAGGTTTGGTCTTTTCACACAGTCCCGTATTTCTCAGAGGTATTGTTCGTTCCTTTTTACTATTTTTTTCTCTAATCTTCTCTTCATGCTTTATTTCATTAAGTTTATCTTCAATCTCTGGTATTTTTTCTTTTGCTTGATCAATTCAGCTATTGATACTTGTGTATGCTTCACGAAGTTCTTGTGCTGTTTTTCAGCTCCATCAGGTCATTTATGTTCTTCTCTGAACTGGTTATCTTAGTTAGCAATTCCTCTAACCTTTTTTCAAGGTTCTTAGCTTTCTTGCATTGAGTTAGAACATGCTCCTTTAGCTCAGAGTAGTTTGTTTTTACCCACCTTCTGAAGCCTACTTCTGTCAGTTTGTCAAACTCATTCTCCGTCCAGTTTCGTTCCATTGCTGGTGAGGAGTTGTGATATTTGGAGAAGAGGCATTCTGGTTTTTGGAATTTTCAGCCTTTTTGTATTGATTTCTCCCCATCTTCATGGATTTATCTACCTTTGGTCTTTGATGTTGGTGACCTTCAGATGGGGTTTCTGAGTTGACGTCCTTTTTGTTGATGTTGATGCTATTCCTTTCTGTTTGTTAGTTCTCCTTCTAACAGTCAGGCCCCTCTGCTGCAGGTCTGCTTGAGTTTGCTGGAGGTCCACTCCAGACCCTGCTTGCCTGGGTATCACTGGCAGTGGCTGCAGAACAGCAAAGATTGCTGCCTGTGTCTTCCTCTGCAAGTTTTGTCCTAGAGGGGAACCCACCAGATGCCAGCTGGAGCTCTCCTCTATGAGGTGTTTGTCAGCCCCTTTTAGGGGATGCCTCCCAGTCAGGAGACACAGGGGTCAGTAACCCACTTGAGGAGGCACTCTGACCTTTAGCACAGCTTCAGCACTGTGCTGGGAGATCTGCTGCACATAGCTGGCCAGCAGGGACATTTAATTCTGCTGAAGCTGCGCCCACAGCTGCCCCTTCACCCAGGTGCTCTGTACCAGTGAGATGGGAGTTTTATCTGTAAGTCCCTGACTGGGGTTGCTGCCCTTTTTTCAGAGATGCCCTGCCCAGAGCGGAGGACTCTAGAGAGGCAGTCTGGCTACAGAGGCTTTGCTGAGCTACAGAGGGCTCCATCCAGTTGGAACTTCCAAGATACTTTGTTTACACTTTGATGGGAAAACCACCTACTCAAGCCTCAGTGAAAGTGGAAGCCCCTCCCCACACCAAGCTCGAGCTTCTCAGGTTGACTTCAGTCTGCTCTGCTGGCAGTGAGAATTTTAAGCCCGTGGATCTTAGCTTGCTGGGCTCTGTGGGTGTGGAATCTGCTGAGCTAGACCACTCGGCTCCTTGTCTTCAGCCCCCTTTCCAGGTGAGTGAATGATTCTGTCTCACTGTCATTCCAGGCACCACTGGGGTATGAAAAAAAAAAAAAACTGCAGCTAGCTCGATGTCTGCACATACAGTCACCCAGTTTTGTGCTTGAAACCCGGGGTTCTGGTGGCATAGGCACTGGAGGGAATCTCCTGATCTATCGGTTGCAAAGACCATGGGAAAAGCATAGTATCTGGGCCAGAGTGCACTGTTCCTCACGGCACAGTCCCATACGGCTTCCCTTGGCTAGGGGAGGGTATTTTCTGACCCCTTGCAATTCTTGGGTGAGGCAGCACCACACGCTGCTTTGGCTCACCCTCCACAGGCTTCACCCACTGTCTAAGCAGTCCCAATTATTTGAACCGGGTACCTCAGTTGGAGATGCAGAAATCGCCCTCATTCTGCATTGATCTCACTGGGAGCTACAGACTGGAGCTGTTTCTATTCAGCCATCTTGCTAGAAGACCAGAATCTTTTAATAGCAGAATTAATCCAGCTAAAGAATTAGTGAGCTTGAATAACAACTATTTGAAATTACACACTCAGAGGAGACAAAAGAAAAAATAATTTAAAAAAATGAAGCCCTCCTACAGAATCTAGATAACAGCCTCAAAAGGACAAATCTGAAAGTTATTGGCATTAAAGAGGAGGTAGAGAAAAAGACAGCAATAGAGCATTTATTAGGAGAAATAATAACAGACAACTTCCCAAACCTAAAGAAAGATGTCAAGATCCAAATACAAAGAAAGTTATAGAACACCAAGCAGATTTAACTCAAAAAGTACTTCAAGGCATTTAATAATCAAACTCTTAACGATCAAGGATAAAGAAAGGATCCTAAAAGCAGCAACAGAAAAGAAAAAATAACACACAATAGAGCTCCAGTACATCTGACAGCAGAGTTTTCAGTGGAAACATTACAGACTAGAAGAGATAGGCATGACATATTTAAACTGCTGAAGAAAAATAAAGACTTTTAGCTTAGAATAGTATATCCAGTGAAAATATTTTTCAAACAAAAAAGGAGAAATAAAGACTTTCCCAGACAAACAAAAATGGAGGGATTTCATCAACACCAGATCTCACCTACAAGAAATGCTAAAGGAAGCACTTCAATCAGAAAGAAAAGGCGTTAATGAGCAATAAGTAATCACTTGAAGGTAAAAACTCACTGGTAATGGTAAGTAAACAGAAAAACATAATATTATTACACTGAAACTGTGATGTGTAAACAACTCTTATCCTAAGTAGAAAGACTAAATGATGAACCAATCAAAACTAATAACTACAACAACTTTTCAAGACATAGATAGTACAATAAGATATAAATAGAAACTACAAACAGTTAAAAAGCTGGCAGACAAATTTCAGGTGTAGTTTTTTTTATTAGTTTTCTGTTTACTTGCTTGCTTCTTTATGGAAACAGTGTTAAGTTCTCATCAGGTTAAAATAATGAGTTGTAAGATTGTATTCACAAGCCTCATGGTAACCTCAAATCAAAAAACAAAATGTACACACAATAAATAAAAAGGAAGAAACTAAATAATATTACCAAAGAAATCACCTTTGCTGAAAGAAGACAGGAAGGAATGAAGGAAGAGAACACACACACACACGCACACACACACACACACACACGAGAAAACAAATGAGAAAATGGCAGAAGTAAGTTCTTACTGATCAATATCATTGAATGTAAATAGATTCATGTTAATGTAATGGACTAATGTAATAGACGAATATAATGTAAATTTGAAGCATAGTACTCATACAAAAATAGACACATACACTAATTAAACAGAATACAGACCCTGAAATAATGCTGTACACCTTCAATTATCCTTAACAAAAACAAGCATGGGGGAAGGACTCTATTCAATAAAATAGTGCTAGGATAACTGGCAAGCAATATGCAGAAGATTGAAAGTGGACGAGTTCCTTACACCATGTAAAAAAAAATCAACTCAAGATGTATGTATTAGTCAGGATTCTCTAGAGGAACAGAACTAATAGGATAGATGTGTATTTAAAGTGGAGTTTATTAAGGAGTATTGACATACATGATCACAAGGTGAGGCCCCACAATAGGCTGTCTGCAAGCCGAGGAGCAAGGAAGCCAGTCTGAGTCCCAAAGCCTCAAAAGTAGGGAAGCCAACAGTGCAGTCTTCAGTCTGTGGTCAAAGGTCCAACAGTCCTAAAGCCAAAGTACTTGGAGTTCAATGTTCAAGGGCAGGAAGTATCCAGCATGAGAGATAGATGGAGCCTAGAAGATTTAGCCAGTCTGGTCTTTCCACGTTCTTCTGCCTGCTTTTTATTCTTGCTGCATTTTCAACTTATTAGATTGTGCCCACTCAGGTTGAGGGTGGGTCTGCCTTTCCCAGTCCAGAGACTCAAATGTTAGTCTCCTTTGGCAACACCCTAACATACACACCCAGGAACAATACTTTGTATCCTTCAATCCAATCAAGTTGACACACTCGATATTAACCATCACAATGGATTAAAGACTTAAATGTAAAACCTAAAACTATAAAATCCCTCAAAGATAATCTAGAAAATACTATTCTGGACATAAGACTTGACAAGTATTTTATGATGGAGATGCCAAAAGGAATTGCAACCATAATAATAACAATAATAATAATAGTAATAAACAAATGGGACCTAAATCAGCTGAAGAACTTCTGCACAGCAAAAGAAACCATCAGCAGAGTAAACAGACAACCTACAGAGTGGGAGAAAATATTTGCAAGCTATGCATCTGACAAAGGTCTAATATCCAGAATCTACAAAGAACTTAAACAGATTTACAAGCAATGAAACAATTATATTAAAAGATGGGCAAAGGACATGAACAGACACTTCCTAAAATAAGACATACTCGCAGCCAACAAGTATGTGAAAACATTCTCAACATCACTATTTGTTAGAGAAATGCAAATCAAAGCGAAAATGAGATACCATCTCACAACAGTCAGAATGGCTATTATTTAAAACTCAAAAAATAACAGATCATGATGAGGTTATAGACAAAAGTGAACATTTATACACTGCTGGTGAGAATGTAAATTAGTTCACTCTTTTAGAAAGCAGTTTGATCATTTCCCAAAACACTTAAAACAGAATTACTATTTGACCCAGAGATCCCATTATTGAGCACACACTCAAAGCAATATAAATTGCTCTACCATAAAGACACATAACACATATATTTATTGCAGTACTGTTCCCAATAGCAGAGACATGGAATCAACCAAAATGTCTATCAATAGTAGACAGGATAAAGAATATATGGTACATATACACAATGGAATACTATGTAGCCTTAAAAATGAGGTAATATTCTTTGTAGCAACATGGATGGACCTGGAGGGCATTATTCTAAGCAAACTAATTCAGGAACAGAAAGCCAAATACCACATGTTCTCACTTTTTGTGGGAGCTAAATATTGAATACACATAAACACAAAGAAGGGAACAACAGACTCCAGAGCCTACTTGAAAGTGGAGGGTGGGAGGAGGGTGAGAATCAAAAACTACCTATTGGGTACTATGCTTATTACTAGAATGATGAAGTAATCTGTGCACAAAACCCCCATGACACCCAATTTACCCATATGACAAACTTACACATGTACCCCAGACCTAAAATAAAAGTTGAAAAAGGAGCATCTTATAATAAGGTAAGTAGAATACAAGTTAACATTAATCACTACAAAAAAAGGAAACAAGGAAACAAAAACAATATGTTTTAACTCAATGCCCTCGACATTATGACTTTTATTTTCTCCACTTATGTATGTTTTATATTGCCTATCTCTTTACAAATTTTGTAGTTATTATCTTTCATACATTTATATATTTTATTCATGTCAGAGATATGAGTGGTTACATACTGTTGTTACAATATTAGAATATTCTGTACTTTTTGTATACTTACTTTTACCAGTGAAGTTTTTATCTTCAGATCCTTTATTATTGCACACTTGCATTCTTTTCTTTTAGATTGAAGAACTTTATCTTTTATTTCTAATCAAATCTAGTAGTAATTAATGCCCTCAGCTTTTGTTTTTCAGGGAATTTTTTTTTCTCCCTCATGTTTGAAGAACAGCTTTGCTTGGTACAGTATCTCAGTTGACATTTCTTTTTCTTCAGCAGTTGGAAAATGTCACCTCACTCCCTCAAAGTCTGTATCGTTTCCACTGAGAATTCTGTTGCCATATTAATTGAAGCTTCATTATATATTAATAATTTTTCACTTGCTTTTTTAGGGTCCTGTCTTTAATTTGGCTTTTTAGAGTATGATTATTCTGTATCTTGGAGCAATCTTATCTTGGTTTAATCTTTTTAGTGATGTTTTGACCTTTTCATACCTGGATATGTATATACCTTTTTGTAGATTCAGAAAGTTTTCTGTTACGATTTTTTTAATAAGCTTTCTACCACTTGATGTGCCTTAACTCCATATTGAAAGCCAGTGAGTCTTAGATCTGCTCTTTTCAGGCTGTTTTCTAGATCTCATAGCTGTTCTTTTTCCTTTTTATTATTTTTTTCATCTCCTCTGGTGTTGTGTTTTCAAATATTCTGTCCTTGAGCGCACTGATTCTTTCTTCTGCTTGATTAATTCTGTTTTTGAGAACCTCTTATGTATGTTTTTATTTCTTCCAATGTATTTCTCCATTCCAGGATTTCTGTTTGATTTTTTAAATTATTTAAATCTCTTTGTTCAATTTCTCTCATAAATTTCTTATTTACTTTCCTGTGTTATCATAGAATTCACTGAGTTTCTTCAAACTTCAATTTTAAATTTTTGATTTGAGAGTTCACACTTCACCATCTAGTTAGGGTTAGTCACTCTTTCCTTGCTTTTTTTTTTCATTTATGGAGGTCATGATTCCATGTATGCTGTGGTTTTCTATGAAAGTATGTTAATGTCTTCACATCAAAGAATTATTTATTCCAGTCTCCTCTATCTGGGTTGGTTTGCACATGTCTAGCACATGTGTATTTAGTGGTTCTGTATAATTTACCTGTTGAGTTGCCTTGGCCCTGAATCACCACTTCCTTTTCAGCAGTAAATGGTTCCCTAATTCCATATTTGCTGTGCTTTTCACAAAAGTTCAGATTGATGCCCATTGCAGCTTGGATGAAGCATACAATAGGAGATTCTCCAGCTGTGTGGGAAGGTTATCTAGGAGCTTTTTGCCCAGAGTGAGAAGTGAAGCCAGTTCGACTTCTAGGTTGGGTGGGGACTTGGAGAACTTTTTGGTCTTACAAGAGAGTTGTAAAATGTACTAATCAGTGCTCTGTAAAAACACACCAATCAGTGCTCTGTGGCTAGCTAGAAGTTTGTAAAATGGACCAATCAGTGCCTTGTAAAATGGACCAATCGGTGCTCTCTACAATGGACCAATCAGCACACTGTAAAATGGACCAATCAGCAGGACATGGGTGGGGACAAATAAGGGAATAAAAGCTGGCCACCCCAGCCAGCAGCAGCAACCCGCTCGGGTCAACTTCCACGCTGTGGAAGCTTTATTCTTTTGCTCTTCACAGTAAATCTTGCTGCTGCTCACTCTTTGGGTCTGTGCCACCTTTAAGAGCTGTAACACTCTCTGCGAAGGTCTGTGGCTTCATTCTTGAAGTCAGCGAGACCAAGAACCCAGTGGAAGGAACCAACTATGGACACATCTTGGTGACCCAGATGGGACTATCGCCAAGCGGTGAGTACCATTGCACCCCTTTTGCTTGCTATTCTGTCCTATTTTTCCTTAGGATTTGGGGGCTAAACACCAGGCACCTGTCAGCCAGTTAAAAGCTACTAGCGCGGCCACCAGACTAAAGACACGGTTGTCAGGCTTTCTGGGAAAGGGCTCTCTAACAACCCCTGACTCTTTGAAGTTGGGAGCATTGGCTTGCCTGGAACCAGCTTCCGCTTTTCCTGTACTTCTGGGCTGAGCTGAGGGTCAACAGACAGGAAAGCTGTTCAGCTCCGGGGTCCCAACAAAAAGTTGGTTGACCCTGTAGTCATGAGTGGAACTCTCAAAGTCACGTCGCCCAAGGGAGACTCACCCATCTATCCTATCTATCCTGACCCTTGCCTCCTGGGTCCTAATGCCTGTCAGACACACTTCCTCCTGCCTCTCTTCTCTGAGGCTAGTCCTGCTTCTAAAAACCACTCCCTGTCTCTGGTGCTTTACTAGTTTCTCCTATAAGAATGATTTCTAGTATAAATTTTGGGACTCTGTTCCTTTCTTTAGGCAGCTAGGCTCACCAATCAGAAAGATATAATTTTTGCCCAAAGCCCCATCATGGGAGGGAGACTATCTGGAATTTTAGGATCCCTCCTCAGACAAGCAGGCCTAACAAAAGCTATTCCCGAAGCTAGGATATGGGGAGCCTCAGAAATGATATCCTTTCTATTCATATGATGAGAAGTGAGGACAAAACACATCACTCTTCCAACCCTGGAGATCCCTTCCCTCCCTCAGGGTATAGCCCTCCACTCCATTTTTGGGGCATATCATCTTTATAGGACAGGGGTAAGGTCCCAA
This sequence comes from Homo sapiens, assembly GCF_000001405.40. Classification (NCBI taxonomy): domain Eukaryota; kingdom Metazoa; phylum Chordata; class Mammalia; order Primates; family Hominidae; genus Homo; species Homo sapiens. The sequence goes on along the minus strand of NC_000023.11, from coordinate 57,835,689 downwards.
TACTAACAGGAGAAAATGCTTAGGACTCTAATAGATTTTCGAGAATGTGTCGGTAAGCGCCACTAAATCCGATTTTTCTCAGTCATCTTTGTGGTCTAAGAGGAAAGGCAAGGGTGCAGGTTTTCGAGAATGCATCAGTAAGGGCCACTAAATCCGACCTTCCTCAGTCCTTCTTGTGGTCTAGGAGGAAAACTAGTGTTTCTTCTGTTGCATTGGTGAGGACAACTATTCCGATCAGCAGGGTCCAGGGACAGTTTGGGGTTATTGGGCAAGAGGGGGATCAGCTGCTGCATGGATAAGCACAACTATTCTGATCATCAGGGTCCAGGGACCATTGTGGGTTCTTGGGTGGGGGGGATAAAACAAACCAAAACCACAGGCAGTTGTTTCTTTCAGATGGGAAACACTCAGGCATCAACAGGCTCACCCTTGAAATGCTTCCTAAGCCATTGGGACCAATTTGACCTGCAAACCCTGAAAAAGAGGTGGCTCATTTTTTCTGAACTATAGCCTGGCCCCAATATTCTCTCTCTGATGGGGAAAAATGGCCACCTGAGGGAAGTATAAATTACAATGTTATCCTGCAGCTTGACCTTTTCTGTAAGAGGGAAGGCAAATGGAGTGAAATACCTTATATCCAAGCTTTCTTTTCATTGAAGGATAATCCACAACTATGCAAAGCTTGCAATTTACATCCCACAGGAGGACATCTCAGCTTACCTCTATATCCTAGCCTTCCTATAGCTCCCCTTCCTATTAATGATAAGCCTTCTCTAATCTCCCCTGCCCAAGCAAAGAAATCTCCAAGGGACCACAAACCACCCTCCAGGCTATTTGTTGTGTCCCTTTCAAGCTGTAGGGGGAGTGGAATTTGGCCCAACCCAGGTACATGTCCCCTTCTCCCTCTCTGATTTAAAGCAGATCAAGGTAAGACCTGGGGAAGTTTTCAGATGATCCTTGTTGGTACATGATGTCCTACAGGGTCTAGGGCAAACCTTTGACCTCACTTGGAGAGATGTCATGCTATTGTTAGATCAGACCCTGGCCTTTAATGAAAAGAATGTGGCTTTAGCTGCAGCCCTAGGTTTTGGAGTTACCTGGTATCTTAGCCAAGTAAATGATAGGATGACAGCTGAAGAAAGGGACAAATTCCCTACCAGTCAGCAAGCCATCCCCAGTATGGATCCCCACTGGGACCTTGACTCAGATCTTGGGGACTGGAGTCATAAACATCTGTTGACCTGTGTTCTAGAAGGACTAAGGATAATTAGGAAGAAGCCCATTAATTATTCAGTGATGTCCACCATAACTCAGGAAAAGGAAGAAAATCCTTCTGCCTTCCTCGAGTGGCTACAGGAGGCCTTAAGAAAATATACTCCCTTGTCATCTGACACCAACAAATTTACAAGAAAAAAACAAACAACACCATCAAAAAGTGGGCAAAGGATATGAACAGACACTTCTCAAAAGAAGACATTTATGCAGCCAAAAAAACACATGAAAAAATGCTCATCATGACTGACCATCAGAGAAATGCAAATCAAAACCACAATGAGATACCATCTCACACCAGTTAGAATGGCGATCATTAAAAGTCAGGAAACAACAGGTGCTGGAGAGGATGTGGAGAAATAGGAACACTTTTACACTGTTGGTGGGACTGTAAACTAGTTCAACCATTGTGGAAGTCAGTGTGGCGATTCCTCAGGGATCTAGAACTAGAAATACCATTTGACCCAGCCATCCCATTACTGGGTATATACCCTAAGGATTATAAATCATGCTGCTATAAAGACACATGAACACATATGTTTATTGTGGCACTATTCACAATAGCAAAGACTTGGAACCAACCCAAATGTCCAACAAAAATGCAACATTTTGGTCTGAAAACAGGAGTGTCTGTTTTCACTTAGGTCCATGGGCACAGGCCCAAGGGTGGAGCCCTTTCCGGGGACACTCCTCTTCTCTACCCAGCACGTCCATGCCCTCCCGTATCACTGGCACCAGGTTACAGTTCTGAAATGATGTATCTGATCATGTCAGTTTTGCGTTTTAATCCTCCTGTGGCTCTCTGTTTTGTGGCACCCAATGTGGCAGGGTCACCCAAGCCACATTGTAGAACATAGCTTCTATGTGATCTGTTTAGCCTTATCCTCCCAACACCTTTGCTCAAACCAGAATCCTACCAACACCTTTGCTCCAACCAGACTTCTCACTCTAGCTCAGATAACACACTCTTTTTTGTCCCTGCACCTTTTTTTCCCTTTATTATACTTTAAGTTATAGGGTACATGTGCACAAAGTGCAGGTTTGATACATAGGTATACATGTGCCATGTTGGTTTGCTGCACCAATCAACTCATCATTTACGTTAGGTATTTCTCCTAATGCTATCCCTCTCTCAGCCCCCCACGCCATGACAGGCCCCAGTGTGTGATGTTCCCTTTGTCCAAGTGATCTCATTGTTCAATTCCTACCTATGAGTGAGAACATGTGGTGTTTGGTTTACTGTCCTTGTGATAGTTTGCTGAGAATGATGGTTTCCAGCTTCATCCATGTGCCTAAAAAGGAGAGGAACTCATCCTTTTTTATGGCTGCATAGTATTCCATGGTGTATATGTTCCACATTTTCTTAATCTAGTCTATCATTGATGGACATTTGGGTTGGTTCCAAGTCTTTGTTATTGTGATTGTGCTGCAATAAACATATGTCTGCATATGTCTTTACAGTAGAATGACTTATAATCCTTTGGGTATATACCCAGTAAGGGGATTGCTGGGTCAAATGGTAATTCTAGTTCTAGATCCTTGAGAAATCACCACACTGTCTTCCACAATGTTTGCACCGATTTACACTCCCACCAACAGTGTTAAAGTGTTCCTATTTCTCCACATCCTGTCCATAATGTGTTGTTTCCTGAGTTTTTAATGACTGCCATTCTAACTGGCATGAGATGGTATCTCATTGTGGTTTTGATTTGCATTTCTCTGATGACTGGTGATGATCACCATTTTTTCACGTGTCTATTGACTGCATAGATGTCTTCTTTAGAGAACTGTCTGTTCATATCCTTTGCCCACTTTCTGATTTTTTTTCTTGTAAATTTGTTTGAGTTCTTTGTAGATTCTGGATATTAGCCCTTTGTCAGATGGGTAGATTGCAAAAATTTTCTCCCATTCTGTAGGTTGCTGTTCACTCTGGTGGTAGTTTTTTTGCCGTGCAGAAGCTCTTTAGTTTAATTAGATCCCATTTGTCAATTTTGGCTTTTGTTACCATTGTTTTTGGTGTTTTAGACATGAAGTCCTTGCCCATGCCTATGTCCTGAATGGTATTGCCTAGATTTTCTTCTAGGGTTTTTATGGTTTTAGGTCTAACATTTAAGTCTTTAATCCATCTTGAATTAATTTTTGTATAAGGTGTAAGGAAGGGATCCAGTTTCAGTTTTCTACATATGGCTAGCCAGTTTTCCAAGCACCATTTATTAAATAGGGAACCCTTTCCCCATTGCTTGTTTTTGTCAGGTTTGTCAAAGATCGGATAGTTGTAGATATGCAGCATTATTTCAGAAAATGTGGCACATATACACCATAGAATACTATGCAGCCATAAAAAATGATGAGTTCATGTCTTTGTAGAGACATGGATGAACCTGGAAACTATCATTCTCAGCAAACTATCGCAAGGACAAAAAACCAAACACCGCATGTTCTCACTCATAGGTGGGAATTGAACAGTGAGAACACATGGACACAGGAAGGGGAACATCACGCACCGGGGACTGTTGTGGGGTGGGGGGAGGGGGGAGGGACAGCATTAGGAGATATACCTAATGCTAAATGATGAGTTAATTGTTGCAGCACACCAACATGGCACATGTATACATATGTAACAAACCTGCACGTTGTGCACATGTACCCTAAAACTTAAAGTATAATAATAATAAAAAAAGTTAATTTATAGTTTATCATTTATTTTTTCCTGTGTATGATAGTTTGAGGTTGCAAAATTGACATTTACCTTTTAAATCATACTCCCAAGATGTGATGAATTATCAATAAGGTTTTTTACAAATGTTTTGCCTAAATGGAAGTAAAGAGCCATATTTTAAATTCTTAAACTTTAAGTTCTTAAAAGTTTATTTTATTTGGTGTTATAATTGTTCATACACCAAACAATTCTGCTAAATTCGAATTAATATGTAATGTAATCTCTTTTTTCAGTCTTTTATTATTATTTAAATTGTATAAATAATTATTAGACAAAAAAGAAATGTGTTCTTTCTAATGTTATTTTCTTCATGCATTTTCATAATATTTATAATAACTGTCAACCTTTTTCCTTATTCATTTAACTCTGAAAACTCTTAATAACGGTTCTATACATAAAAATTAATGGTTTTCACAGCCATCATTAATTATTATAGGATTTTACTTTTGCAATAAAAATACACATTTATATTACAATTGACTGTTAGAATTTCAACAAATAAAGCACACACACACACAAAAAAATGTTGCATTTTTCCAAGACCACTCTGGCCCACCACCTCCCCCATCCTGTGCCCATATAAACTCCAGACATTAGCGGGCACAGACACAAGTAGCTGAATGTTGAGAGGAACAGAGGAATAGACCAGTAGACACCAGCAGACTGCAGACCAGTGACGACTGAAAGACACGGCAGAGAAAGACAGAAGAGAAGGCACGGACTTCTGGGCATCTGTTTGGCTGGGGGTGGTCAGGGAAGAGTCTGGCCACTGGGCAGCCCAACTCTAGGGGAAGACCACCTTACGGCTCCCCATCCATCTGGCCGAGAGCCATCTCCACCACTCAATAAAACCTTGCACTCATCTTTTGAAAAAAATAAATAATAGATACAGACAAAATTCAACAATCATTGCAAATAAATGGTGCATTGGAGGTATTTCATTTTCTTAACCTTAGATGTGATATGAATTACTTTGGTCTTTCTTAAATTTGTTATCACATAAGCAATTGTCTAGGTGACATTACAAAGACATCTGGTACACACTCCTGTTCATGCGATTCTTGCCAGTGAAGTTATCTCTAACTCAAATTTAATACCCCTAGGATACATTTCAAATAACTTTTGAGTTTGCCTACAGTTTTACTATAGTTTAAATTCCATTATATTTTTGGTGACTTAAGTCATTTATGAATTTTTCTTTAAAAAATAGCCTGAGATATTTATGGGGCTTGGAAACCAAATGGAATTTTTCCAAAGCATCATTTTAAGACAATCCCAGGAAATCATGGTAATACTGAAATGATAATAGTGACCCTTTTCCACCTGGGTAATAGCAACTCAAGTACAGCAGTGGATCAATTTTGCTTTATTAATATATTGAAAAGATTCAAAGACAAAAAGAATCTGTTAAGTTTTGCCACATATCATTGCTTCAGAATAATGAGTTCATTATGTTGATTGCTTTCCTCTCTATATATAATTTGTTAATGTGGGTCAGACAATGGCAATAGTTGAACTAATCTACGTATCTGCCATAATTTCAACACATTAAATTCTTAAATTAAATGTATTTTAATAAAATGCTAATATTCAAGAAGATGAATAAATTGTTGCTAAGGATTGGATGCTGGCTTTAGAGCAAAGAAGAACACTTGGAAAATTAATGAATTAATATTTTGCTTCCACCCTTGTGAAATACAATTACTCAACCTAAGACAATTCTGATTTATTGGCTAGAGATAATAGTACTAACTAAAATTTGACTAACCCTGAATTCCTGCTGAAAAATGCCAATAGCCTGAAGTTCAAATATTGCATGAGTTAGACTATGAACAGAATCACTATGGTTTACATTGACAACGTGAGATATGCTAGATTCCAATGAAATTATTTGTCAATTTGTCACCCCAGATATGGCCATTTTCTATAGGCAGTCTTGTTTTAAGCCACTTTATTGAGGAGTGATTGACACACAAAATGCTGCACATATTTAATATATAAAACTAGGTTAGTTTGGAGATAAGTACATACTTGTGAGATCATCTCTATAAACAAAGCCATAAACCATCCATTATCTCCAATAATTTTCTTTTACTCCATTTATTTAACTTTAAAATTGTTTTCTTTTGTTATAACATAAAATCTATTCTCAGCAAATGTTTATGTATGCAATACAGTATTGTTATTTATAGGCACTATTCTATACAATCGATCTGCAGAACTTAGTCATCTTGCATGACAGAAACTTCTTGCCCTTGAACTGACCCCTCCCCATTTCTTCCTTTCCTTAGCTGCTGGTAAACAGTATCCACTATCTAGTTTCATGAGTTTGACTATTTGTGACTATTTTGAAGTCCTCATAAAAGTGTCATCATGCAGTATTTGTCCTCTCTCGTTTATTTTACTTAGCATGATGTCCTCAAGGTCTGTCCATATTGTCACAAAGGACAAAATTTCCTTCTTTCTTAAGGCCTAATAACATTTCATTTTATACATACACGCATGCACATACACACACACACATATGTGTATATATGTATATATGTGTATATGTGTATATATGTGTATATGTGTATATATGTGTGTGTGTGTGTGTGTGTGTGTGTGTGTGTGTATACAGGTTGAGTGTCCTTTATCTGAAATGCTGAGTTGCTTGGAATTAGAAGTATTTTTGGATTACGGATTATTTTTTGGATCTTGAAATAGTTGCATATACATATTAATATACCTTGGGGATGGGACAGAAATCTGAACAATAAATTTATTTATGTTTCATATGTGCTTTATACACATAGACTGAACATCATTTTATTTTACCTTTGGAGATAAATTTTACTTTACCTATGTTTTGATAGATTTTATTTTACCTGTATTTTGACTGGAGCCTATCACATGAAGTCAGGTATGAAAATTTATACTTGTGACATCATGTTGGTGCTAAAAATGTTTCAGATTTTGGAGCATTTCAGATTTAAGATATTTGGATTAAGGATTTGACTTGTACCACATTTTCTTTATCCATTCGTCTGTCAATGGACATTTAAATTGTTTTTATAACTTGGCTATTGTGAATAAGGGAGCTAATCATCTCTTTAAAAGACACAAACCCAAACACCATAACTCTGAATATTGAAATCCCAAAAGATCAAAATTCTGAAATATAATTCTGGATTTAAAATATTTTTAGGCCAGGCACGGTGGTTGATGTCTGTAATCCCAGCATTTTGGGAGGCTGAGGGGATGGATCACTTGAGGTCAGGAGTTCAAGACCAACCTGGCCAATGTGGTGAAACCTTGTGTCTACTAAAAAAAACACAAAAATTAGCCCAGCATAATGGTGCATGCCTGTAGTCCCAGCTACTCAAGAGGCCAAGGTGGGAGAATTGCTTGAACCTGGAAAGTGGAAGTTGCAGTAAGCTGAGACCATGCCACTGCATTCCAGCCTCTGTGACAGAGTGAGACCGTGCCTCAAAGTGAAACAAAGCAAAACAAAACAAGACAAAAAATTACTTAAAGACGTTCCTCTGGAACTTTTGTCTCAGAGGAGTACCCGGCCATGTAAGGTGTCAGTCCGTCCCTACTGGGGGGGTGCCTCCCAGTTAGGCTACTCAGGGGTCAGGGACCCACTTGAGGAGGCAGTCTGCCCATTCTCAGACCTCAAGCTGCATGCTGGGAGAACCACTACTGTCTTCAAAGCTGTCAGAGAGAGACATTTAAGTCTGCAGAGGTTACTGCTGTCTTTTTGTTTGTCTGTGCCCTGCCCCCAGAGGTGGAGCCTACAGAGGCAGGCAGGCCTCCTTGAGCTGTGGTGGGCTCCACCCAGTTCAAGCTTCCTGGCCGCTTTGTTTACCTAATCAAACAACTAACTCGGCAATGGTGGGCGTCCCTCCCCCAGCCTCGCTGCCACCTTGCAGTTTCATCTCGGACTGCTGTGCTAGCAATGAGTGAGACTCCGTGGGCGTAGGACCCTCTGAGCCATGTGAGGGATATAATCTCCTGGTGTGCCGTTTTTTAAGCCCATTGGAAAAGCACAGTATTAGGGTAGGAGGGGCCCGATTTTCCAGATGCCATCTGTCACCTCTTTATTTGACTAGGAAAGGGAATTCCCTGACCCCTTGCGCTTCCCGGGTGAGGCAATGCCTCACTTTAACACCCCACTGTCAACATTAGACAGATCAATGAGACAGAAAGTTAACAAGGATACCCAGGAATTGAATTCAGCTCTGCCCCAAGCGGACCTAATAGACATCTACAGAACTCTCCACCCCAAATCAACAGAATATATATTCTTCTCAGCACCACATCAGACTTATTCCAAAACTGTCCACATAGTTGGAAGTAAAGCACTCCTCAGCAAATGTAAAAGAACAGAAATTATAACAAACTGTCTCTCAGACCACAGTGCAATCAAACTAGAAGTCAAGATTAAGAAACTCACTGAAAACGGCTCAACTACATGGAAACTGAACAACCTGCTCCTGAATGACTACTGGGTACATAACGAAATCAAGGCAGAATTAAAGATGTTCTTTGAAACCAATGAGAACAAAGACACAACATACCAGAATCTCTGGGACACATTTAAAGCACTGTGTAGAGGGAAATTTATAGCACCAAATGCCCACAAGAGAAAGCAGGAAAGATCTAAAATTGACACCCTAACATCACAATTAAAAGAACTAGAGAAGCAAGAGCAAACACTTTCAAAAGGTAGCAGAAGGCAAGAAATAACTAAGATCAGAGCAGAACTCAAGGAGATAGAGACACAAAAAACCCTTCAAAAAATCAATGAATCCAGGAGCTGGTTTTTTGAAAAGATCAACAAAATTGATAGACCGCTAGCAAGACTAATAAAGAAGAAAAGAGAGAAGAATCAAATAGACAGAACAAAAAATGATAAAGGGAATATCACCTCCAATCCCACAGAAATACAAACTACCCACGGAGAATACTATAAACACCTCTACGCAAATAAACTACAAAATCTAGAAGAAATGGATAAATTCCTGGACACATACACCCTCCCAAGACTAAACCAGGAAGAAGTTGAATCCCTGAATAGACCAATAACAGCCTCTGAAATTGAGGCAATAATTAATAGCCTACCAACCAAAAAATTCCAGGACCAGATGGATTAATAGCTGCATTCAACCAGAGGTACAAGGAGGAGCTGATACCATTCCTTCTGAAAATATTCCAATCAATAGAAAAAGAGGGAATCCTCCCTAACTCATTTTATGAGGCCAGCATCATCCTGATACCAAAGCTTGGCAGAGACACAACAAAAAAGGAGAATTTTAGAACAATATCCCTGATGAACATCGATGCAAAAATCCTCAATAAAATACTGTCAAACCAAATCCAGCAGCACATCAAAAAGCTTATCCATCATGATCAAGTGGGCTTCATCCCTGGGATGCAAGGCTGGTTCAACATATGCAAATCAATAAACATAATCCAGCATATAAACAGAACCAAAGACAAAAACCACATGATTATCTCAATAGATGCAGAAAAGGCCTTTGACAAAATTCAACAGCCCTTCATACTAAAAACTCAATAAATTAGCTATTGATGTGATGTATCTCAAAATAATAAGACCTGTTTATGACAAACCCACAGCCAACATCAACTGAATGGGCACAAACTGGAAGCATTCCCTTTGAAAACTGGCACAAGACAGGGATGCCCTCTCTCACCACTCCTATTCAACATAAGGTTAGAAGTTCTGGCCAGGGCAATTAGGCAGGAGAAGGAAATAAAGGGTATTCAATTAGGAAAAGAGGAAGTCAAATTGTCCCTGTTAGCAGATGACATGATTGTATATCTGGAAAACCCCACTGTCTCAGCCCAAAATCTCATTAAGCTGATAAGCAACTTTAGCAAAGTCTCAGGATACAAAATCAATGTGCAAAAATCACAAGCATTCTTATACATCAATAAAAGACAAACAGAGAGCCAAATCATGAGTGAACTCCCATTCACAGTTGCTTCAAAGAGAATAAAATACCTCGGAATCCAACTTACAAGGGATGTGAAGGACCTCTTCAAGGAGAACTACAAACCAGTGCTCAACAAAATATAAGAGGACACAAACAAATGGAAGAACATTCCATGCTCATGGACAGGAAGAATCAATATCGTGAAAATGGCCATACTACCCAAGGTAATTTATAGATTCAATGCCATCCCCATCAAGCTACCAATGACTTTCTTCATAGAATTGGAAAGAACTACTTCAAAGTTCATATGGAACTAAAAAAGAGCACGCATTGCCAAGTCAATCCTAAGCCAAAAGAACAAAGCTGGAGGCATCACACTACCTGACTTCAAACTATACTACGAGGCTACAGTAACCAAAACAACATAGTACTGGTACCAAAACAGAGATATAGACCAACGGAACAGAACAGAGCCCTCAGAAATAATACCATACATCTACAACCATCTGATCTTTGACAAACCTGACAAAAACAAGCAATGGGGAAAGGATTCCCTATTTAATAAATAGTGCTGGGAACACTGGCTAGCCATATGTAGAAAGCTGAAACTGGATCCCTTCCTTACACCTTATATCAAAATTAACTCAAGATGGATGAAAGACTTAAATGTTAGCCCTAAAACCATAAAAACTCTAGAAGAAAACCTAGGCAATACCATGCACGACATAGGCATGGGCAAGGAATTCATGTCTAAAACACCAAAAGCATTGGCAACAAGGGCCAAAATTACAAATGGGATCTAATTAAACTAAAGAGCATCTGCACAGCAAAAGAAACTAGAGTGAACCAGCAACCTACAGAATGGGAGGAGATTTTTGCAATCTACTCATCTGACAAAGGGCTAATATCCAGAATCTACAATGAACTCAAACAAATTTACAAGAAAAAAAAAACAAACTACCCCAGCAAAAAGTGGGCATAGGATATGAACAGACACTTCTCAAAAGAAGACATTTATGCAGCCAAAAGACACATGAAAAAATGCTCATCATCACTGGCCATCAGAGAAATGGAAATCAAAACCACCATGAGGTACCATCTCACACCAGTTAGAATGGCGATCATTAAAAAGTCAGGAAACAACAGGTGCTGGAGAGGATGTGGAGAAATAGGAACACTTTTACACTGTTGGTGGGAATGTATACTAGTTCAACCACTGTGGAAGATAGTTTGGCGATTCCTCAGGGATCTAGAACTAGAAATACCATTTGACCCAGCCATCCCATTACTGGGTATATACCCAAAGGGTTATAAATCATGCTGTTATAAAGACACATGCACACGTATGTTTATTGTGGCACTATTCACAATAGCAAAGACTTGGAACCAACCCAAATGTCCATCAATGATAAGACTGGATTAAGAAAATGTGGCACATATACACCATGGAATACTATGCAGCCATAAAAAATGATGAGTTCATGTCCTTTGTAGGGACATGGATGAAGCTGGAAACCATCATTCTCAGCAAACTATGGCAAGGACAAAAAACCAAACACCACATGTTCTCACTCATAGGTGGGAATTGAACTATGAGAACACTTGAACACAGGTTGGGGAACATCACACACTGGGGCTTATCGCGGGGTGGGGGTAGGGGGGAGGGATAGCATTAGAAGATGTACCTAATGTAAATGACTAGTTAATGGGTGCAACACACCAACATGGCACATGTATACATGTGTAACAAACCTGCACGTTGTGCTCATGTATCCTAGAACTTAAAGTATAAAAAAAAAAAAGAAATCTTGGATCTGAAAAATACAATAAAAAATAATGGATTGTGTCAGTCTGTCTATTTGGGCAGCTATAACAAAATACCACAAACTGGGTAGCTTATAATGACAGAAATACATTATTTCTCCCAAGTCTGGAGGCCAGGGTGTTTAAGGTCAAAGTGGCGGCAGATTCAATATCTGGTGAGGTCTTGCTTTCTGGTTTATAGAAGTTAAATGAATAAAATATTTATAAATGTACTTTTTAAATATTTTTCAATTTAGTGATTTTTAAGATTCAAAGGGTACATATGCATGTTTGTTACATGGATATATTGCATACTGTGTGGGATTGGGCTTGTAGTGTACCCATTAACCAAATAGGAATAGGTAGTTTCTCAAACCTCAACCTCTCTCACCCTTCCCCATTTTGGAGTCCCCAGTGTCTATTATTTTCATCTTTATTTCCATGTATACTAAATGTTTATTTCCTACATGCAAGTGGAAATATGTGGTATTTGATTTTCAGTTATTTCACCTTTCAGTTACTTCACCTAGGATAATGGACTTCAGCTCCATCCATGTTGCTGCAAATTGCCTGTCTTCATTGTTTTTTAAAGCTATGTAGTATTGCAGGTATATGCACAAATTACCTATTAGTACATTATTCAGTCAAAGATTGATAAACACCTTTGTTTGTTTCGTGACTTTGCAACTGTAAATAGTGTTGTTAATACAGGAGTTACTAAGAAATAATTTTTAGGCAGCTAGAAAGGGTAATGGTTCTCAGTGGAATTTTGGTTTAATAAAAAGCAACCCCCAAAACATTTCTTTTCTAACAGAAAGCAGCTTGAAAAACCAGACCAGCAAGCATTGATATGCAAATACTGGTGATTAGAAACCAGGTCCACCCAACAGGGCCGTTCCCGCTCTCTTGTCCTTGTCACAACTTGTGCCAGGTGTCATGGCCATCTCCAGATAACACCACGTGTGCAGGACATCATGGCGCCCATCATTAGCATATTAAAAGACTAGGGTGAGAGGGCCAGGTTTTTCATGGGCTACATGAATGACACATCTGGTCACACCAATTCCCTGGACCCTATGCAAATCAGACACCACCTCCTTCAGCCTCCCAATATATCCAACTGCTTTTCCACTGCACATGGCGTTTTCTCCATTCGGGTACCCCTTTCCTCTGTACAGGGGGAGCTTTTCTTCTTCTTTCTTAATTAAACTTTCCACTCCTTAAAACTACTCCACGTGTGTCCATGTCATTTGTCTAATTGGCAGGAGACGAAGGACCCTGGTGTTTCTCCAGTCATTGGAGCCATATCATTTTGGTGCATTGGCTGGAAATCCAAGGTACAACACTCATCGGAGCGGTGAGTATAGGAGCGGACTTTCTACTTTCATTTCCAAGGCTTCTCGTCCTCAGTTTTTATTCTCTCAAATAACTATATAAAAAAACAAAAACAAAGAAACAAACAAAAAACTGGTGTCATTTGGCTGATTAATGAGCCACTAGGGCTGGCCACTGGTCTAAAACAAACAAACAAACAAACAAAAAACGGGTGTCCTTCGGCTAATAAGCCACAAGAGCTAGCCACAGATGGTCTAAAAGACTCAGGTGTGAGGCTTGCTAAGGAGGACTTAGTCAATCCCCTTGTGTCCTCAGGGTGCTGGGAATGTTGGCTCTGTCCAAATCAGTCTCCTTTCATGAGAAATATTCGCAATTGCGTGAGGATGGGAAAAGTACTGAAGCAACTGAGAATCTCTGGCCAGGGCACACCCTGGTGTTATTCAAAGGCTTCTGGACCTGACCCAGCCTCCGACAGCCCACTCTGGGTGTTGGTAGAGAATCCCCAGCTATCCTGTCACATAACTTACCTTCTTTTTTTTATCTGCAGTCTCTTACTCTCTTTCTGTGTGTGTCAAATGTGTGGGAATTTTTACAGTTCAGGGAAACAGGTCTGTTAGGAAAGATTGACAAAAACGGCAGGCAGTAACTCAATAAGCGTCTCTACTATGTTCCTGGGGAGCACATGGTATTTCTAAGCCAACAGCGCTACCTAGTGGATACAGAAATCCTCTACATGAGGCACATTTTTTAAAGTAACACTGCAGCTTCTTTTTGCGCCACTAGAAATCAGGCTCTAAGCCCCTTCTGTGAGTGGGGAAATTCTGCTTTCAACTATTAAGAATAAAATGTCCACCACAGCCAAATTTTAGTCCTGATACTGTCCCATCAGCAGGAAAATTGCCATTAGGTCCCCACGTCCCTTTAAGACACCTAGCCTCTTTCCTATTAGAAGCGTATTTAATTAGGGGATTTTAAGTCCAGAGGGTAACCAGAGCCATTTTTCTAAGGGTAAATGCTTTAGCACGAGCCATAATAGCAGGAAGTCTAGCATATTTCCTCCATTAAAGGAGCCTTGCCCAAAGACGACACAGTCTCTCTGGAGATCCGTTTTCTGGCAAGCCAGGCAGATCACATAGGTTTAGGAAGTCAAAGGGGAATCACACAAGGCAATAAGATAAGTTGCATGGATAATGCATGATTAATCCCATCACTTAGTTTATTCAGTTCCATGGCTTGGAGGGCTATGCCTACAACCATGGGCAGCACATTTAACAGGGTGCCTGGACCTAGGAACCAGGGAGGGAAAAGAGTCGGAAGGATTGCCCACAACCATAGGCAGCACATTTAACAGGGTGCCTGGACCCAAGATCCAGGGAGGGAAAACAGTCGGAAGGATGCTCCACTGTGTTATTCTCCACCCTGGGTCATATGGAAAGGAAGGAGACAAAAAAGATGCTTTTATTCTCACTTCTTTTTTTTAATGGGTAACAATATCTTCAGCTTGCACCCCTTTGGAGTGTACTCTGAAGCACTGGAACTTTTTTAACCTCAGGACTTTGAAGAGAAAAGCGACTCATTTTCTTTTGCACAAGGGCATAACATTTTTACTAAACCTTTGCAAGCATTATAAGACCATTCCAGCTCTCTTAGCGATAATATTGGGCAAGGCCACAGGAAATTGTTCCCCAGAGCTAAAGCAGATTTCAGAGGAGCAATCTGAGACAACTATTGAATGCCCCAACCCTTCCAGCCCCCCTCATTCAGAACCCCCTCCAATCATACCATCAGCTCCTCCAGCTCCACCATCTCCAGTATTACCCACTTTCCCTGCTTCTCTCTTACCTCTGCAGGAAATGCCTGATGGAAATGATGCCATGAGGGTTCAAGTTCCCTTCTCATTACAGGACCTTAGGCAAATAAAGAGAGATATAGGCAGATTTTCTGACGACACTGATAGGTATATGAAAGCTTTCCAAAATTTAACTCGGGTGTTTTACCACACATGGAAGGATGTTATACTGCTCCTAAACCAAACCTTAATGGTAGCTGAAAAGCAGGCAGCTCTTCAAGCAGCAGATAATTTCAGAGATGAGCAACATATCTCCTATAATACACCAAAAGGGAAGGAAAAACTTGGGGAAAGTGAAAAAATAGCAGAAACACCATTCCCAATGGGAAGGGAAGCAGTTCCCCTTGACAATCCTGATTGGTACCCCAGTAGCTCTGCAGATGAATGGAAAAGAAAGCACTATTTAATATGCATTTTAGAGGGCCTATGAAGAACTAAGACCAGACCTCTCAATTATTCTAAACTGTCTATGATAAATCAAAAACCCAGATGAGAATCCTGTAGCCTTTATGGAAAGGCTGAGAGAGGCACTAATAAAACACACCTCCTTAACCCCTGATTCAGTCAAGGGGCAGCTCATCTTGAAGGAGAAGTTTATTACACAGGTAGCTCCCGATATTAGAAGGAAACAACAGAAGCAAGCTATAGGACCAGATAGCACCTTAGAGAACCTCCTGAAGGTGGCCACTTCTGTCTTTTATAATACAGACTAGGAGGAGGCCCAAAAGAAAGAGAGAAAGCTCAAGAGAAGAACAGAAGCTCTAGTAGTGGCTTTGCAGGCTTGCAAAGTCCAGGGTACCCAAGGTGCATCCACTAGCTCCTATCAATGTGGCAAGTCAGGGCATTTTAATAAGAAATACCTGGGCAGCAAGACAAAACCACCTCAACCCTGTCCAGCCTGTGGTGGAGACCACTGAAGTTGTAACTGCCCCTGGAGATGGAGGTCACTGGGTTCAGAACCAGTCTCACAGATAGATCAACAGGACTGATGGGTTCTGGGGCTCAAACCTCCAGCTCCAGTGGCTCAAACTGCCATTACAGCACAGGAGCCCTGCGTGATTCTGGAAATTGAAGAAATGAAAGTAGACATCCTTCTAAACACTGGAACCAGTCTCTCTCTCTTTTCTCCTCTCTAATTCAGGCCTCTCCTCTTCCCATAGCACGACTGTAAGGGACATCTCGGGAAAAACTCTAACCCAGTATTTTTCTCAGCCTTAGTTGCAGTTAAGAGGACCTATTGTTCACACATGCTTCCAAGCCATTGTCACGATAGTTTATGACTCAGAAAAGCCTCCAAATTAACCTCAGGAAATAATTTAACTGTTTACACTCCACATAACATTGCATGATCACTGTCCTCCAGAGTAAGCTCTTAGCTAACAAACAGCCAGTAAAGCAAGAAGTACATAAGGCAGAATAAGCAGTAGTTACTCTTCCCAGACACAAGCACTCAATTAGTTGAACTAATAGCTCTTACAAGAACACTTAAATTAAGCAAGGGAAAGATAGCTAACATTTACACTGATTCCAAGTATGCTTTTTTAGCTCTCCACGTTCATGCCGCCATTTAAAAGGAAAGGCATTTTCTTACCACGAGCGGATCTGCTATAAATATCACCATAAATTAGCAGGTTATTATTCTCAGTTTTTCTTCCATGAGAAATAGCAGGGATGCATTGTAGGGGACCTCAAAAGGAAACAAATAAAGTAGCCAAAGGAAATAGGTTAGCTGATCAGGCAGCTAAGTCAGTGGCAAGGAAGCCTCAAGACATTAACATACTTTAAATGCCTCTAATCTAGGAAGGCTCCATAAGAGAAATTAAACATTACTATTTGCCTGCAGAAATAGAATAGGCCTCTTGTCGAAGGCATACTTTCCAGCCCTCAGGATGGCTACAGTCAGAGGATAGCAAACTCCATTTGCCAGCCCCCAGCCAATGGAAAGTCCTTAAAATCCTTCACCAAGCTTTTCACTTAGGAAAGGATAAGACCTATCAATGTGCTCAGAATTTGTTTTCAGGCAGGAAAGTTCTAAATTGGCTAGACATATAACCTCTCTAGCTCACTTCCAACAAGAATTAACACAACTATCAGAAGCCCAACCCAGGAAATAGAACCACGTTTATTTAACCCAGAAAATTGGGTGTTAGTGAAAAATCTCATCTCTCCTTCCCTAAGACAAGCTGGGAAGGGGCCTACACTGTTCTTCTTTCAACCCCCTTTGCAATAAAAGTTACAGGAATCAACTTCTGAATACATCACACTCAAGTCAAAGCCTGAAGCGCTGAGGGAGCAACACCTACCAGCCCAGAGGAACGTCCTGAATATCAATGTGAAGAAATAGGAGATCTTAAGCTGAAAATCATAACAAATACATAATGAGTGAGGGATACTCATTTTACTCAGTCCCATTCCTACCTCACCAGATAGTTTTCATTATTTCTACCCTTTCCTCTTAAATTCACTGCTGAATATTAGAACTTCTATTAATGCATATTTGCAGGATGATTTTAATTATTCATAGAATCGCATTTATAAATTTGTAGATCCCCACAGGAAAATGTTATATCTCAGCAAGTAAACTTTTAAACGGAAATTATTTTCTATGCCACTATTGTGGGAATTGTTATAGTCATACTACTACTTCCAATAGAACTATACACTGCGGGACCCACAATGTGAAATTCTGGTTGTAAAATTCTAATTGCTATAATATTTTGCCTGATTATCATCCTTATAACAGGGTTAATAATTGCAGGAAAGATTAAGCCAAGGTTATTTTGCTTATAGCAGGACTAATAGTTACAGATAAGAACTAAGCATGAAAGTTTTACTATCATTAAGTTTGATAGGACTTTTTATTGAAGATTGGTAATATGGTGCACTCTAAATTATGGAAAGAGGTTATAAAGGAAGGAATTTTATATATAAGAAAGGATTTTCTATGGTAAATTTTTGTCTTAAGGGGAAATGACTGGTTGTTTAAAGAAAGGATGTTTAGAACAAGTCTTGAGTATGTTGTAAGAGATCCATGAAATTCATGAAAGAATTTAATAATTAAAGAAAAAAATCATCAAGATTAACGTTAAGGTTATTTTAGCCACCCAATAATGTATTTCTCCCAATCATATTGCAAGTTATAAAAATAGCCTAAAACTAAAGTTACTCTCTAATAAGTCAAGGGGGAAATGTATGCTTTTCTCAAGGAAAATGTTACTTTTATATTAACGTTTCTGGTAATTACAGCAACATCTAGTGGAGACAAACCAGCATTACAATCCACTGGTGTAACTAACAGTATCAAACTCTACTCTCAGTTATGGTCTATAGGACCCCCATTAAGAGTGGTCATCTTAATGCTAATATTCTAACCCTATATTTTAAACCTCCTTGTAAAATGCATATACTTTTACCTAGAAGCAATCAAACTCCAAATGGTGCTGCAGACAGCCACATAAGGACATGTGATTCTTCCGAGAACTTTTAGATCAACCTCAGAAGGCCCAACTGCTGTTCCCCCCACATGAACGCCCCTTTTCCAGCAGGAATTAGCTAGAAAGAATTATTGTCCAAAGCCCCCTAACAGCAGGTAGGTTTACTTCTCTTGAGGGGGACTAATACAGGAGTTATTTAGAAATAATTTTTAGGCAACTAGAAAGGGTAAAGGTTCTCAGTGGAAATATCCTTTAATAAAAAGCAACCCTTAAAACATTTTTTTTCTAACAGAAAGTGGCTTGAAAAATCAGACTAAGCATTGATATGTAAATGCCAGTGATTAGAAACCAGGTCCAACCAACATGGCAGTTCCCTCCCTCTTCTCCTTTTCACCATGTGTGCCAGGTGTGATGGCCACCTCCAGATAACACCACGTGTGCAAGACATCATGGCGACCAGCATTTGCATATTAAAAGACTAGGGTGAGAGGGCCAGGTTTTTCATGGGCTACATGAATGACACATCTGGTCACACCAATCCCCTGGGCCCTATGCAAATTAGAAACCACCTCCTTTAGCCTCTGAATATAACCAACTACGTTTCCACCACATGTGGGGTTTTTCTCCATTCAGGGCCCCCCTCCCTCTCTATGGAGGGAGCCTTTCTTCTTCTTTCTTGCCTAATTAAACTTTCCACTTTTTAAAACCACTCCATGTGTGTCCATGTCATTTACCTAATTGGCACAAGAAAAAGGATCCTGGTGTGGATAGCTGAATAGGAACAGCTCCAGTCTACAGCTCCCAGCATGAGTGACATAGAAGATGGGTGATTTCTGCATTTCCAAATGAAGTACCAGGTTCACCTCACTGGTACTTGTTGGACAGTGGGTGTAGCCCACGGAGTGTGAGCCAAAACAGGGCAGGGCATCGCCTCACCCAGGAAGTGCAAGGGGTCAGAGAATTCCCATTCCTAGCAAAGAGAAGCCGTGACTGACAGTACCTGGAAACTCAGGACACTCCTGGCTTAATACGGTGCTTTTACAATGGTCTTAGCAATTGGCACACCAGGAGATTATATCCAGTGCCTGGTTTGGCGGGTCCCATGCCCACAGAACCTTGCTCACTGCCAGCACAGCAGTCCAAGGTCAAATTGTGAGGTGGCAGTGAGGCTGGGGGAGAGGCGTCCACCATTGCTGAGGCTTGACTAGGTAAACAAAGCAGCTGGGAAGCTCAAACTGGGTGGAGCCCACCACTGCTCAATGAGGACTTCCTGCATCTATAGACTCCACCTTTGGGGGCAGGGAATAGCTGAACAAAAGGCAGCAGAAACTTCTGCAGACTTAAGCACCCCTGTCTGAGAGTTTTGAAGAGAGCAGTGGTTCTCCCAGCATAGGTTTTGAGATCTGAGAATAAACAGACTGCCTCCTCCAGTGGGTCCCTGTACCCTGAGTAGCCTAACTAGGAGACACCTCCCAGTAGGGGCCGACTGACACCTCATACAGCCAAGTGCCCCTCTGAGATGAAGCTTCCAGAGGAAGGATCAGACAGCAATATGTGCTGTTCTGCAATATTTGCTGTTCTGCAGCCTCTGCTGGTGATACCCAGGCAAACAGGGTCAGAAGTGGACCTTCAGCAAATTCCAACAGATATGCAGCTGAGACACCTGACTGTTAGAGGGAAAACTAACAAACAGAAAGGAATACCATCAACACCAACAAACAGGATGTCCACACCAAATCCTCATCTGTAGGTCACCATCATCAAAGACCAAAGCTAGATGAAACCACAAAGATGGGGAGAAACCAGAGCAAAAAAGCCAAAAATTCTAAAAATCAGAGTGCCTCTTCTCCTCCAAAGGATCACAGCTCCTCGCCAGGAATGGAACAAAGCTGGACAGAGAATGACTTTAATGACTTGACAGAAGTAGGCTTCAGAAGATGGGTAATAACAAACTTCTCTGAGCTAAAGGAGGATGTTTCAACCCATCATAAGCTAAAAACCTTTAAAAATGATTAGACAAATGGCTAACTAGAATAAACAGCACAGACAAGATGTTAAATGACCTGATGGATCTGAAAACCACAGCATGAGAACTACATGACGCATGCACAAGCTTCAGTAGCCGATTCGATCAAGTGGAAGAAAGGGTATAAGTGATTGAAGATCAAATGAATGAAATGAAGCAAGAAGAGAAGTTCAGAGAAAAAAAAGAGTAAAAAGAAACGAACAAAGCCTTCAAGAAACATGGGACTATGTGAAAAGACCAAATCTACGTTTGATTGGTGTACCTGAAAGTGACAGGGAGAATGGTTGGATATTCAGGATATTATCCTGAATTATTCTTCAGGATATTATCCAGGAGAACTTCACAACCTAGCAAGGCAGGTCAACATTCAAATTCAGGAAATACAGATAATGCCACAAAGATACTCCACGAGAAGAGCAAATGCACGACCCATAATTATCAGATTCACAAAGGCTGAAATGAAGGAAAAAAAATGTTAAGGGCAGCCAGAGAGAAAGGATGGGTTACCCACAAAGGCAAGCCCATCAGACTAACAGCAGACATCTCACTAGAAACTTTACAAGCCAGAAGAGTAGGGGACAATACTCAACATTCTTAAAGAAAACAATTTGCAACCCAGAATTTCATATCCAGCCAAACTAAGCTTCATAAATGAAGGATAAATAAAATGCTTTACAGACTAACAAATGTGAAGAGACTTTGTCACCACCAGGCCTGCCTTACAAGAGCTCCTGAAGGAAGCACTAACCATGGACAGGAACAACCAGTACGAGCCACTGCAAAAGCATGCCGAATTGTAAAGACCATTGAAGCTAGGAAGAAACTGCATCAACTAACGGGCAAAATAACCAGCTAACATCACAGTGACAGGAATAAATTCGCACATAACAATATTAACATTAAATGTAAGTGGGCTAAATGCTGCAAATAAAGGACACAGACAGGTAAATTGGATAAAGAGTCAAGACCCATCAGTGTACTGTATTTAGGAGACGCATCTCACAGGCAGAGACACACATGGGCTCAATGCTGCAAATAAAGGACACAGACAGGTAAATTGGATAAAGAGTCAAAACCCATCAGTGTACTGTATTTAGGAGACGCATCTCACAGGCAGAGACACACATGGGCTCAAAATAAAGGGATGGAGGAAGATCTACCAAGCAAATGGAAAGCAAAAAAAAAAAAAAAAAAAAAAAAAAAAAAAAAAAAAGCAGAGGTTGCATTCCTAGTCTCTGATAAAACAGACTTTAAACCAACAAAGTTCAAAAGAGACAAAGAAGGCCATTCCATAATGGTAAAGGGAGCAATTACACAAGAAGAACTAACTATCGTAAACATAGATGCATCCAATACAGGAGCACCCAGATTCATAAAGCAAGTCCTTAGAGACATACAAAGAGACTTAGAATCCCACACAATAATAATGGCAGACTTTAACAACCCACTGTCAACATTAGCTCAATGAGACAGAAATTTAACAAGGATATCCAGGAATTGAACTCAGCTTTGCACCAAGCAGACCTAATAGACATCTACAGAACTCTTCACCCCAAATCAACAGAATATATATTCTTCTCAGCACCACATCACACTTATTCCAAAATTGACCACATAGGTGGAAGTAAAGCACTCCTCAGCAAATGTAAAAGAACAGAAATAATAACAAACTGTCTCTCAGACCACAGTGCAATCAAATTAGAACTCAGAACTAAGAAACTCACTCAAAACCGCACAATTACATGGAAACTGAACAACCTGTACCCTGAACGACTACTTGGTACATAACAAAATGAAGGCAGAAATAAAGATGTTCTTTGAAACAAATGAGAACAAAGACACAATGTACCAGAATTTCTGGGACATATTTAAAGCAGTGTATAGAGGGAAATTTATAGCACGAAATGCCCACAAGAGAAAGCAGGAAAGATCTAAAATTGACACCCTAACATCACAATTAAAAGAACTAGAGAAGCAAGAGCAAACACTTTCAAAAGGTAGCAGAAGGCAAGAAATAACCAAGATCAGAGCAGAACTGAAGGAGATAGAGACACAAAAAACCCTTCAAAAAATCAATGAATCCAGGAGCTGGTTTTTTGAAAAGATTAACAAAATTGATAGACTGCTAACAAAACTAATAAAGAAGAAAAGAGAGAAGATCAAATAGATGCATAAAAAATGATAAAGTGGATATCACCACTGATCCCATGGAAATACAAACTACCATCAGAGAATACTATAAACACCTCTATGCAAATAAACTACAAAATCTAGAAGAAATGGGCAAATTCCTGGACATATACACCATCCCAAGACCAAACCAGGAAGAAGTTGAATCCCTGAATAGATCAATAACAGCCTCTGAAATTGAGGCAATAATTAATAGCCTACCAACCAAAAAGAGTCCAGGACCAGATGGATTCACAGCCAAATTCTACCAGAGGTACAAAGAGGAGCTGATACCATTCCTTCTGAAACTATTCCAATCAATAGAAAAAGAGTGAATCCCCCCAACTCATTTCATGAGGCCAGCATCATCCTGATACCAAAGCCTCGCAGAAACACAACAAAGAAAGATAATTTTAGACTAATATACCTGATGAACATCGATGCAAAAATCCTCAATAAAATACTCGCAAACTGAATCCAGCAGCAGATCAAAAAGCTTATCCACCATGATCAAGTTGGCTTCATCTCTGGGATGCAAGGCTGGTTCATCATTTGTAAATCAATAAACGTAATCCATCATACAAACAGAACCAAAGAAAAAAAACACATGATTATCTCAATAGATGCAGAAAAGGTCTTCAATAAAAATTCAACAGCACTTCATGCTGAAAACTTTCAATAAACTAAGTATTGATGGGACATATCTCAAAATAGTAAGACCTATTATGACAAATGCACAGCCAATATCATACTGAATGGGCACAAACTGGAAGCATTCCCTGTGAAAACTGGCACAAGACAGGGATGCCCTCTCTCACCACTCCTATTCAACATAGTGTTGGAAGCTCTGGCCAGAGCAATCAGGCAGGAGAAAGAAATAAAAGGTATTCAGTTAGGAAAAAAGGAAGCCAAATTGTCCCTGTTTGCAGATGATATGGTTGTATATTTAGAAAACCCCATCGTTTCAGCACAAAATCTCCTTAAGCTGATGAGCAACTTCAGCAAAATCTCAAGATACAAAATTAATGTGCAAAAATTACAGGCATTCCTATACACCAATGACAGACAAATAGAGAGCCAAATCATGAGTGAACTCCCATTCACAATTGCTTCAAAGAGAATAAAATACCTAGGAATCCAACTTACAGGGGATATGAAGGACCTCTTCAAGGAGAACTAGAAACAAATGCTCAATGAAATAAAATAGGACACAAACAAATGGAAGAACATTACATGCTCAGGGATAGGAAGAATCAATATTGTGAAAATGACCATACTGCCAAAGGTAGTTTATAGATTTAATGACATACCCATCAAGCTACCATGAGTTTCTTCACAGAATTGGGGAAAACTACTTTAAAGTTCATAGGGAACCAAAAAAGAGCCTGCATTGCCAAGACAATCCTAAGCCAAAAGAACAAAGCTGGAGGCATCACGCTACCTGACTTCAAACTATACTACAAGGCTACAGTAACCAAAACAGCATGGTACTTGTACCAAAACAGAGATATGGACCAATGGAAAAGAACAGAGCCCTCAGAAATAATACCACACATCTACAACCATCTGATCTTTGACAAATTTGACAAAAACAAGCAATGAGGAAAGGATTCCCTATTTAATAAATGGGTGCTGGGAAAACTGGCTAGCCATATGTAGAAAGCTGAAACTGGATCCCTTCCTTACACCTTATACAAAAATTAACTCAAGATGGATTAAAGACTTAAATCTTAGACCTAAAACCATAAAACCCATAGAAGAAAACCTAGGCAATACCATTCAGGACATAGGCATGGGCAAGGACTTTATGACTAAAACAACAAAACCAATGGCAACAAAAGCCAAAATAGACAAATGGGATCTAATTAAACTAAAGTGTTTCTACACAGCAAAAAAACTGCCATCAGAGTGAACTGGCAACCTGTGGAATGGGAGAAAATTTTTACAATCTACCCATCTGATAAAGGGCTAATATCCAGAATCTACAAAGAACTTAAACAAATTTACAAGAAAAAATCAAACAACCCCATCAAAAAGTGAGTGAAGGATGTGAACAGACATTTCTCAAAAGAAGACATTTACACCACCAACAGACACATGAAAAAATGCTCATCATCACTGGCCATCAGAGAAATGCAAATCAAAACCACAATGAGATACCATCTCACACCAGTTAGAATGGCGATCATTAAAAAGTCAGGAAACAACAGTGCTAGAGAGGTTGTGGGGAAATAGGAACACACTTACACTGCTGGTGGTAGTGTATACTAGTTCAACTATTATGGAAGACAGTGTGGTGGTTCCTCAAGGATTTAGAACTAGAAATACCATTTAACCCCGTGATCCCTTTACTGGGTATATACCCAAAGGATTATAAATCATGCTACTATAAAGACACATGCACATGTATGCTTATTGTGGCACTACTCACAATAGCAAAGACTTGGAACCAACCTAAATGTCCATCAATTATAGACTGGATTAAGAAAATGTGCTGGAGGTGGAGCCAAGATGGCCAAATAGGAACAGCTCCAGTCTACAGCTCCCGGTGTGAGCAACAGAGAAGATGGGTGATTTCTGCATTTCCAACTGAGCTTTGAAGAGAGTAGTGGCTCTCCCAGCATGCAGCTTGAGATCTGAGAATGGGAAGACTGCCTCCTCAAGTGGGTCCCTGACCCCTGAGTAGCCTAACTGGGAGGCACCCCACAGTAGGGGCAGACTGACACCTCACACGGCCAGGTACTCCTCTGAGACAAAACTTCCAGAGGAACGATCAGGCAGCAGCATTTGCTGTTCACCAATATCCGCTGTTCGGCAGCCACCGCTGCTGATACCCAGGCAAACAGCATCTGAAGTGGACCTCCAATAAAGTCCAACAGACCTGCAACTGAGGGTCCTGATGGTTAGAAGGAAAACTAACAAACAGAAAGGACATCCACACCAAAAACCCATCTGTACGTCACCATCATCAAAGACGAAAGGTAGATAAAACCACAAAGATGGGGGAAAAAAAGAGCAGAAAAACCAGAAACTCTAAAAATCAGAGGGCCTCTCCTCCTCCAAAGGAACACAGCTCCTCACCAGCAATGGAACAAAGCTGGATGGAGAATGACTTTGACGAGTTGAGAGAGGAAGGATTCAGAAGATCAAACTTCTGTGAGCTAAAGGAGGAACTTTGAAACAATGGCAAAGAAGTTAAAAACTTTGAAAAAAAATTAGACGAATGGATAACTAGAATAACCAATGCAGAGAAGTCCTTAAATGACCTGATGGAGCTGAAAACCATGGCATGAGAACTACGTGATGAATGCACAAGCCTCAGTAACCAATGCAATCAACTGGAAGAAAGGGTATCAGCGATGGAAGACAAAATGAACGAAATGAAGCGTGAAGAGAAGTTTAGAGAAAAAAGATTAAAAAGAGACAAACAAAGCCTCCAAGAAATATGGGACTATGTGAAAAGACAAATCTATGTCTAATTGGTATACCTGAAAGTGACGGGGAGAATGGAACCAAGTTGGAAAACACTCTGAAGGATATTATCCAGGAGAACTTCCCCAATCTAGCAAGGCAGGCCAACATTCAGATCCAGGAAACACAGAGAATGCCACAAAAATAATCCTTGAGAAGAGCAACTCCAAGATACATAATTCTCAGATTCACCAAAGTTGAAATGAAGGAAAAACTGTTAAGGGCAGCCAGAGAGGAAGGTCGGGTTACCCACAAAGGGAAGCCCATCAGACTAACAGCAGAAACTCTACAAGCCAGAAGAGAGTGGGAGCCAATATTCAACATGCTTAAAGAAAAGAATTTTCAAACCAGAATTTCATATCCAGCAAAACTAAGCTTCATAAGTGAAGGAGAAATAAAATATTTTACAGACAAGCAAATGCTGAGAGATTTTGTCACCACCAGGCCTGCCCTAAAAGAGCTCCTGAAGGAAGCACTAAACATGGAAAGGAACAACCGGTACCAGCCACTGCAAAAACATGCCAAATTGTAAACACCATCAAGGCTAGGAAGAAACTGCATCAACTAACAAGAAAAATAACCAGCTAACATCATAATGACAGGATCAAAGTCACACATAACAATACTAACTGTAAATGTAAATGGGCTAAATGCTCCAATTAAAAGACACAGATTTACAAATTGGATAAAGAGTCAAGACCCATCAGTGTGCTATATTCAGGAGACCAATCTCACATCCAGAGACACACATAGGCTCAAAATAAAGGGATGGAGGAAGATCTACCAAGCAAATGGAAAACAAAAAAAGGCAGGGGTTGCAATCCTAGTCTCAGATAAAACAGACTTTAAACCAACAAAGATCAAAAGAGACAAAGAAGGCCATTCCATAATGGTAAAGGGATCAATTCAACAAGAAGAGCTAACTATCCTAAATATATATGTACCCAATACAGGAGCACCCATATTCATAATGCAAGTCCTTAGTGACCTACAAAGAGACTTAGAATCTCATACAATAATAATGGCAGACTTTAACACCCCACTGTCAACATTAGACAGATCAACAAGACAGAAAGTTAACAAGGATATCCAGGAATTGAACTCAGCTCTGCACCAAGCAGACCTAATAGACATCTACAGAACTCTCCAACCCAAACCAACAAAATATACATTCTTTTCAGCACCACACCACACCTATTCCAAAATTGACCACATAGTTGGAAGTAAAACACTCCTCAGCAAATGTAAAAGAACAGAAATTATAACAAACTGTCTCTCAGACCACAGTGCAATCAAATTAGAACTCAGGATTAAGAAACTCACTCAAAACCGCTCAACTACATGGAAACTGAACAGCCTGCTCCTGAATGACTACTGGGTACATAATGAAATCAAGGCAGAATTAAAGATGTTCTTTGAAAACAACGAAAACAAAGACACAACATACCAGAATCTCTGGGACACATTCAAAGCAGTGTGTAGAGGGAAATTTATAGCACTAAATGCCCACAAGAGAAAGCAGGAAAGATCGAAAATTGACACCCTGACATCACAATTAAAAGTACTAGAGAAGCAAGAGCAAACACATTCAAAAGCTGGCAGAAGGCAAGAAATAGCTAAGATCAGAGCAGAAATGAAGGAAAAAGAGACACAAAAAGCCCTTCAAAAAATCAATGAATCCAGGAGCTGGTTTTTTGAAAAGATCAACAACATTGATAGGCCACTAGCCAGACTAATAAAGAAGAAAAGAGAGAAGAATCAAATAGATGCAATAAAAAACGTCAAAGGGGATATCACCACTGATCCCACAGAAATACAAACTACCATCAGAGAATACTATAAACACCTCTATGCAAATAAACTAGAAAATCTAGAAGAAATGGATAAATTCCTGGACACCTACACCCTCCCAAGACTAAATCAGGAGGCAGTTGAATCTCTGAATAGACCAATAACAGGCTCTGAAATTGAAGCAATAATCAATAGCTTACCAACCAAAAAAAGTCCAGGACCAGATGGATTCACAGCCGAATTCTACCAGAGGTACAAGGAGGAGCTGGTACCATTCCTTCTGAAACTATTCCAATCAATAGAAAAAGAGGGAATCCTCCCTAACTCATTTTATGAGGCCAGCATCATCCTGATACCAAAGCCTGTAAGAGACACAACAAAAAAAGAGAATTTTAGACCAATATCCCTGATGAACATCCATGCAAAATTCCTCAATAAAATACTGGCAAACAGAATCCAGCAACACATCAAAAAGCTTATCCACCATGATCAAGTGGGCTTCATCCCTGGGATGCAAGGCTGGTTCAACATATGAAAATCAATAACCATAATCCAGCATGTAAACAGAACCAAAGACAAAAACACATGATTATCTCAATAGATGCAGAAAAGGCCTTTGGCAAAATTCAACAATGCTTCATGCTAAAAACTCTCAATAAATTAGGTATTGATGGGATGTATCTCAAAATAATGAGAGCTATTGATGACAAACACACAGCCAATATCATACTGAATGGGCAGAATCTGGAAGCATTCCCTTTGAAAACTGGTAGAAGACAGAGATGCCCTCTCTCACCATTCCTATTCAACATAGTGTTGGAAGTTCTGGCCAGGGCAATCAGGCAGGAGAAGGAAATAAAGGGCATTCAATTAGGAAAAGAGGAAGTCAAATTGTCCCTGTTTGCAGATGACATGATTGTATATCTAGAAAACCCCATCATCTCAGCCCAAAATCTCCTCAACCTGATAAGCAACTTCAGCAAATTCTCAGGATACAAAATCAGTGTGCAAACATCACAAACATTCTTATACACCAATAATAGACAAACAGAGAGCCAAATCATGAGTGAACTCCCATTCACAAGTGCTTCAAAGAGAATACAATACATAGGAATCCAACTTACAAGGGATGAGAAAGACCTCTTCAAGGAGAACTACAAACCACTGCTCAATGAAATAAAAGAGGATACAAACAAATGGAAGAACATTCCATGCTCATGGGTAGGAAGAATCAATATCATGAAAATGGCCATATGGCCCAAGGTAATCTATAGATTCAACGCCATCCCCATCACGCTACCAATGACTTTCTTCACAGAATTGGAAAAAACTACTTTGAAGTTCATATGGAACCTAAAAAGAGCCCACATTGCCCAGTCAATCCTAAGCCAAAAGAACAAAGCCAGAGGCATCACGCTACCTGACTTCAAACTATACTGCAAGGCTACAGTAACCAAAACAGCAAGGTACTGGTATCAAAACAGAGATATAGATCAATGGAACAGAACAGAGCCCTCAGAAATAATGCCACATATCTACAACTATCTGATCTTTTACAAACCTGACAAAAACAAGCAATGAGGAAAGGATTCCATATTTAATAAATGGTGCTGGGAAAACTGGCTAGCCATATGTAGAAAGCTGAAACTGGATCCGTTCCTTACACCTTATACAAAAATTAATTCAAGATGGATTAAAGACTTAAATCTTAGACCTAAAACCATAAAAACCCTAGAAGAAATCCTAGGCAATACCACTCAGGACATAGGCATGGGCAAGACTTCATGTCTAAAACACCAAAAGCAATGGCAACAAAAGCCAAAATTGACAAATGGGATCTAATTAAACTAAAGAGCTTCTGCAGAGCAAAAGAAACCACCATCAGAGTGAACAGGCAACCTACAGAATGGGAGAAAATTTTTGCAACCTACTCATCTGACAAAGGGCTAATATCCAGAATCTACAATGAACTCCAACAAATTTACAAGAAAAAAACAACCCCATCAAAATGTGGGCGAAGGATATGAACAGACACTTCTCAAAAGAAGGCATTTATGCAGCCAACAGATACATGAAAAAATGCTCATCATCACTGGCCATCAGAGAAATGCAAATCAAAACCACAGTGAGGTACCATCTCACACCCGTTAGAATGGCAATCATTAAAAAGTCAGGAAACAACAGGTGCTGGAGAGGATGTGGAGAAATAGGAACACTTTTACACTGTTGGTGGGACTGCAAACTAGTTCAACCATTGTGGAAGTCAGTGTGGTGATTCCTCAGGGATCTAGAACTAGAAATACCATTTGACCCAGCCATCCCATTACTGGGTATATACCAAAAGGTTTATAAATCATGCTGCTATAAAGACACATGCGCACGTATGTTTATTGCAGCACTATTCACAATAGCAAAGACTTGGAACCAACCCAAATGTCCAACAATGATAGACTGGATTAAGAAAATGTGGCACATATACACCATGGAATACTATGCAGCCATAAAAAATGATGAGTTCATGTCCTTTGTAGGGACATGGATGAAGCTGGGAAACATCATTCTCAGCAAACTATCGCAAGGACAAAAAACCAAACACCGCATGTTCTCACTCATAGGTGGGAATTGAACAATGAGAACACATGGACACAGGAAGGGAACATCACACACTGGGGACTGTTGTGGGGTGGGGGGAAGGGGGAGGGATAGCATTAGGAGATATACCTAATGCTAAATGACGAGTTAATGGGTGCAGCACAGCAGCATGGCACATGTATATATATGTAACAAACCTGTACGTTGTGCACATGTATCCTAAAACTTAAAGTATGATAATAATAAAAAAAGAAAATTTGGCACATATACACCATGGAATACTATGCAACCTTAAAAAAGGATGATTTCATGTCCTTTTTAGGGACATGGATGAAGCTGGAAACCATCATTGTGAACAAAGTATTTCAAGGACAGAAAACCAAACACTGCAAGTTCTCACTCATAGGTGGGAACTGAACAATGGGAACACTTGGACACAGGAAGGGGAACATCACACACTGGGGCCTCTCGTGGTGTAGGGGGATCAAGGGGTGACAGCATTAAGAGGAATACCTAATGTAAATGATGAGTTAATGGGTGCAGCACACCAACAAAGCACGTGTAACAAACCTGCACGTTGTTCACACTTAAAGTATTATAATTAAAAAAAAGAAAAAAAGTGAAAAAGGACCCTGCTGTTTCTCCAGTCATTGGGTCTGTATCACAGCGGTGAACATATGAGTGCAGGTTTCTTTTCTATATAATGACTTTTTTCTGTGTGATCATGCCATGTAGTGGGATTGTTGGGTCAAATTGCAGTTCTATTTTAAGTGTTTTAAGAAATCTCCATAGTTTTCCAAAGAGGTTGACATAATTTAAATTCCCACCAACAGTGTATAAGCATGCTGTTTTTCCTGCATCCTTGCCAACATCTGTTGTTTTTTGACTTTTTAAAAATAGGCACTTTGAATAGCAAAGACATGGAATCAAACTAAATGCCCATAAATGCAGACTGGATAAAGAAAATGTGGTACATAAAAGCCATAGAATGTTATGCAGCCATAAAAAAGAAATAAGATCATATTTTAAACCAAAAATAAAATTCTGAGTCCCACCCCCCAACCTTCTGAATAAGCTTCCTTTTCAGCCAGTGAACTCTTAAAATTTAACCTGAAAGATTGGTTTAGTTCAAGATGAGAACTGGGGCTCAGACATGCTTCATTATCTCTCTCCTATATTAACATCAACACAGACCTTAAGTCTGATAAGTAGCATTTACAATCTGTTCTCTTTGAAAGCTGCTACCTGGAGGCTTCATCTGCATGATAAAATTTTCTTCTACACACCCTCTTATCACAACTCAGACGTTTCCTTTCTGTTGATACCAGGTCTTTAAACAAATTCAACCTATTTTCATTCCAAAAACTTTTAAGTCTACCTGTACACTGAAAGCCTCTGCTTCAAGTTGTCCCACCTTTCTGTACTGAACCAATGTATTTCATAAATGTATATGATTGAAGTCTCAAATTTTCCTAAAATGTATAAACCCAAGCTGCACCCCAAACTACCTTGGTCACATGTTCTAAGGACCAACTGAGGGCTGTGTCACAGGCCTTGAACACTCATATTTGGCTCAGAATAAATCTCTTCAAATATTTTAGAATGTGCAATTTTTCCTTCCACACTACCCTAGCAGAGGTTTTCCATGAGAGCCCCTTCCCTGCAGCAAACTTTTGCCTGGGCATCCAGATGTTTCCATACATCTGAAATCTAGGTGGAGATTCCCATACCTCAATTCCTGACTTCTGTGCATCTGCAGGCTTAACACCATGTGGAAGCTGCCAAGGCTTGGAGCCTCCACCCTCTGAAGCCACAGCCTGAGCTCTACATTACCCTCTGTCAGCCATGGCTGCAGTAGCTGGGACACAGGGCACCAACTCCCTAGGCTGTATGCAGCACAGGGACCCTGGGCCTGGCCCACAAACCACTTTTTCCTCCTGGACCTTGGGGTCTGTGATGGGAGGGGCTGCTGTGAAGACCTCTGACATGCCTTGGAGACATTTTCCCCATTGTCTTGGGAATTATCATTAAGCTTCTTGCTACTTATGTAGATTTCTGCAGTGGGCATGAATTTCTTCCCAGAAAATGAGTTTTTCTTTTCTATATCATATTCAGCCTGCAAATTTTCTGACCTTTTATGCTGTTTCCCTTTTAAAACTGAATGCCTTTAATATCCCAATTCACCTCTTGCATGCTTTGCTGCTGAATTTCTTCCACCAGATACTCTAAATCATCTTTCTCAAGTTCAAAGTTCCACAAATCTCTAAGGCAGGGGCAAAATGCCACCAATCTCTTTGCTAAAACATAACAAGACTCACCTTTGCTCTGGTTCCCAACAAGTTCCTCATCTCCACCTGAGACCACCTGAGCCTGGATCTTATTTTCCATATTGCTATCAGCATTTTGGGTAAAACCATTCAACAAGCCTTTAGGAAGTTCCAAACTTTACCACATTTTCCTGTCTTCTGAGCTCTCCAAACTTCCAACCTCTACCTGTTACCCAGTTCCAAAGTCACGTCCACATTTTTGGTTATCTTTTCAGCAATTCCCCCCTCTACTGGTACCAATTTACTGTATTAGTCTATTTTCACACTGCTGATAAAGACATATCTAAGTCTGGGAAGAAAAAGAGGTTGAATTGGACTTACAGTTTCACATGGCTGGGGAGGTCTCAGAATCATGGTGGGAGGTGA
Organism: Homo sapiens; assembly: GCF_000001405.40. Lineage (NCBI taxonomy): Eukaryota > Metazoa > Chordata > Mammalia > Primates > Hominidae > Homo > Homo sapiens. Next base: position 57,802,593 of record NC_000023.11, on the reverse strand, counting down.
AAGACACTTCTTACATGGTGGCTGCAAGAAAAAATGAGGAAGAAGTAAAAGCAGAAATCCCTGATAAACCCATCAGATCTTGTGAGACTTATTCACTATCATGAGAATGGTAAGGGAAAGACTGGCCCCTGTGATTCAATTATCTCCTCCTGGGTCCCTCCCAGAACAGGTGGAGATTCTGGGAGACACAATTCAATTTGAGATTTGCATGGGGACACAGCCAAACCATATCAGAAGTACATTGGTTCAGTCTGGAAAGGCAGGACAACTTGAAGCAAAAGCAGGAATACTCGAAGTGGGGAGGGAGCTTCCAGCTCACACAGGTGAAAAACAAATGGTTGCATTTTTTGAGTTTCTGATTAGCATTTCCAAAGGTGGTAATCAGATATGCATCTATCTCAGTAACAGAGGGATAACTTTGAATAGAATGGGAGGCAGGTTTTCCCGGAGCAGTTTCCAGCTTAAGTTTTCCTTAGTGATTTTGGGGGCCCAAGTTAATTTCCTTTCACAATGTTCAGTTCCATTTTTCTGCATATGGCTGTCCATTTTTTTTCAGCATCATTTATTCACTAGAATGTCCTTTCCCCATTGTTTATTTTTGTTACTTAGTTGAGAATCAGTTGGTTATAGCTATGTGGCTTAATTTCTATATTTTTTATTTTATTCCATTGATCTATGTGTCCATTTTTGTGCCAATACTATGCTGTTTTAGCTGTTTATCATATATGGCTCTCATTATTTTGAGGTATGTTCCTTTGATGCCTAGCTTGTTGAGGTTATTTATCATGAAGGGATGTTTAATTTTATCAAAAGCTTTTTCTGCATCTATTAAGATGATCTTATGGTTTTTGGTTTTAATTCTGTTTGAGGTGAATCTCATTTATTTATTTGTGTATGTGGAACCATCCTTTCATCCTAGAATAGAATCCACTTAATCATAATTTATTATCTTCTTTATGTGCAGCTGGATGTGGTTTGCTAGTATTTTCCTGAGGATTTTTGTATTTAAGTTCATCAGGGATACTGGCCTGTAGTTTTTTTTTGTTGTTGTTGTTGTTGTATCTTTGCATGATTATCAGAGTGATACTGGTTTCATAGAATGAATTAGGGAGGAATTCCTTTTCCTTGATTTTTTTGGATAGTTTCAGTAAGATTGATACAATGTTTTTTATACATGTGGTAAAATTTGCCTGTGACTCCACCTGGTCCTGGGTTTTCTGTTGTTGTTGGAGAAGGATATTTTATTGCTGATTCTACTGTATTACTCATTATTAGTCTGTTCAGGATTCATATTTCTTCTTAGTTTACTCTTGAGAGGTTTCCAGAAATTCATTTATTTCCTCTAGGTTTTGTACTTTGTGTACATAGAGGTGTTCACAATAGTCTCTGGCAATCTTTTGTATTTCTGTTGTACCAGTTGTAATGCCACGCTCATTTTTTTTATTGTGCTAATTTAAATTTTTCCCTTTTTTCGTGGTTAGTCTAGGTAATGGTCTGTCAATTTTATCTCTTCAAAGGGCCAACTTTTGTTTTATTGATACTTTTTATCATTGTCTCAATCTTTTTTATTTGCATTTTTATAGTCTTTTTATTATGAAAGTAATATATGAATGCATGCTTATTGTAAAAAAAACTTACCACTTTAGAAGTTATATTACTTTTATACTGAGGAGAAGAGATTATAAAAGTATTATTGCATGTTTCTGTAGGTTTACTGATGACTTCATTCTTGTTATCACTGGCAATTCTTTATTTATTTATTTATTATTTATTTATTTATTTATTTATTTTATTATTATTACACTTTAAGTTTTAGGGTACATGTGCACAATGTGCAGGTTTCTTACATATACCTGTGCCATGTTGGTGTGCTGCACCCATTAACTCGTCATTTAACATTAGGTATATCTCCTAATGCTATCCCTCCCCCTCCCCCCACCCCACAACAGTCCCCAGAGTGTGATGTTCCTCTTCCTGTGTCCATGTGTTCTCATTGTTCAATTCCCACCTATGAGTGAGAACATGCGGTGTTTGGTTTTTTGTCCTTGTGATAGTTTGCTGAGAATGATGGTTTCCAGCTTCATCCATGTCCCTACAAAGGACATGAACTCATCATTTTTTATGGCTGCATAGTATTCCATGGTGTATATGTGCCACATTTTCTTAATCCAGTCTATCATTGTTGGACATTTGGGTTGGTTCCAAGTCTTTGCTATTGTGAATAGTGCTGCAATAAACATACGTGTGCATGTGTCTTTATAGCAGCATGATTTATAATCCTTTGGGTATATACCCAGTAATGGGATGGCTGGGTCAAATGGTATTTCTAGTTCTAGATCCCTGAGGAATCGCCACACTGACTTCCACAATGGTTGAACTAGTTTACAGTCCCACCAACAGTGTAAAAGTGTTCCTATTTCTCCACATCCTCTCCAGCACCTGTTGTTTCCTGACCTTTAATTGTGATCTGATCTTTGTTATTCTGCCACCTTTGAGGTTTCTTCTGCTAGTGTTCGGGTTAGGTTGTCCTTGTGTTTCTAGTTCCTTGAGTTTTGATATTAGATTCTTAATTTAAAATCTTTCTAGTTTTCAATGTAGGCATTTAATGATATTAATTTTTCTCTTAGCTGTTTCTGCTGTATTCCAGTAGTTTTGGTATGCTGTGTTTCTGCTTGTTGCTATGTTTCATTTGTTTTAAAACATTTTATGGTTTCTGCCTTTATTTTACAGTTTATCCAAAAGTTGTTCCAGAGCATGTTGTTTAGTTTCTATGTACTTGTGTAATTTTGAGTTCTTCTTGGTATTGATTTCTAATTTTATTCTACTGTGGTATGAGCAGACACTTCATATAATTTTGATGTCTGAATGTATTGAGACTTGCTTTATTGCCAAGCATATAGTAAATTCTGGAGAATGTTCAGTGTGCAGAGGAAATAAATGTATATTCTGAAGTTGTTTTGTAGAGTGTTCTGTTAGTGTCTATTAGGTCCATTCGGTCTAGGGTTCAGTTAAAAACCAGAGTTTGTTGATTTTCTTCCTTCATGATCTGTCTGCTGATGTCAGTGGAGTGTTGAAGTCCCCTGCTGTTATTGTATTGTGATCAGTCTGTTTTCTTAGGTCTACTAGTGTTTGTTTTATTAATTTGGGTGCTCCAGTATTGGGTGCATATATATTTAGGATAGTAAAATCTTCTTGTATTGAAGACTTTATCATTATTTAATGTACTTTGTTGTATTTTTGCTTACTATTGTTAGTTTAGAGTCTGTTTTATCTGATATGAGAATGGCTACACTTCCTTGCTTCTGTTTTTCATTTGGTGTAATATACTTTTTCCATTCCTTTATTTTGAGTCTGTAGCTTGCTTTAGCCAGTAGGTGAGTCACTTGTAGGCAGCAGAAGATTTGTTCTTATTTTTTATCCAATTTTCCACTCTGTATCCATAAGTGAAATATTTAGACCATTTACATTCAATGTGTGTGATGTGTGTGTTTTGTTTCTGCCATAGTATTGTTAGTTAGTAGCATGGAGTTCCAATTGTATAATTGCTTCATAGTATCTGTGAGCTTTGTATTTATTTGTCCTTTTATGATGTTGTATATTGTGTTTTTGTTTTCATGTTTAGAACTTCCTTGAGCATTTTTTTTTTTTTAAGACAGAGTCTCGCTCTGTCACTCAGGCTGGAGTGCAGTGGCACGATCTTGGCTCACTGAAACCTACACCTCCCGGGTTTGAGCAATTCTTCTGTCTCAGCCTTCTGAGTAGCTGGGACTACAGGTGCACGCCACCACATCTGACTAATTTTTGTATTTTTAGTAGAGACTGGGTTTCACCATATTGGTCAGGTTAGTCTGGAACTCCTGACTTCAGGTGATCCCTCACCTCAGACTCCCAAAGTGCTGGGATTATAGGCATGACCCACCACAAGCTGCAGTTGACTATTTCTTACAGAAATGACCTAGTGGCGTGACACTTTCCTTAGTGTTTGTTTATTTGGGACAGACTTTATTTCTTCTTTTATGAAGCTCAGTTTGGCAGAATATAGAATTGTTGACTGACATATTTTTCTTTAAAGAGGCTAAAAATAGGCCCCCAATGTATTTGGCTTGTAGGTTTTCTCCTGAGAAAACCACTGATAATCTGATGGGATTTCCTTTATAAGTGATTAACTACTTCTCTCTTACCTCTCTTCATATTTTTTTCTTTCATTTTAACTTTGGATAGTCTGATGACTATATGCCTTGGTGAGATTCTTCTCGCAATGTATATTCTGGGAGTTCTCTGAGCTCCTTGTATCTGGATATTTGAGTCTCTCCAAACACCAATACCTAGAAATAATAAAATTATTGAAAGAAATTGTACTCTGAAAATACAAACAATTTTTTGGAGACAAAATCTGTCACTGAAGCCGGAGTTTGGTGGAGCAATCAAAACTCACTGCAGCCTTGACCTCCTGGACTAAAGCAATCCTCTCCCCTTAGTCTCTCATTAAGGTGGGACTACAGGTACATGCCACCATACCTGGCCAATTTTAATTTTTTTTTTTTTTGTAGATACAGGGTCACACCATGTTCCTCAGGCTGGTCTCAAACTTCTAAGCTCAAGTGAATCTCCTAACTCAGCCTTTTAAAGTGCTAGGATTATGGACATGAGCCATCACACCTAGCCATAAAAAACATTTTTTAAAGAAATTAAAGATGACTTGAATAAATGGAAAGATATTTTATTTTCCTGTGTAAGAAGATGAAGTAATGTTAAGATGCTAATACTATTCACAGTGATCTATAGATTCAACACAATCACTATAAAAATTTCAAAAGGGCCAGGCATGGTGGCTCACGCCTGTAATCCTAGCACTTTGGGAGGCCGAGGCGGGCAGATCACGAGGTCAGGAGATCGAGACCATCCTGGCTAACAAGGTGAAACCCCGTCTGTACTAAAAATACAAAAAATTAGCCAGGCGTGGTGGCGGGTGCCTGTAGTCCCAGCTACTCGGGAAGCTAAGGTAGGAGAATGGCATGAACCCAGGAGGCAGAGCTTGCAGTGAGCTGAGATTGCACCACTGCACTCCAGCCTGGGCGATAGAGCGAGACTCCATCTCAAAAAAAAAAAAAAATTTCAAAAGTATTTTTTCCAAAATACAGTAGCAATTTTTACATTCATGTTAAGTTGCAACAGTCCCAAATTATCAAAACAATTTTGAAAAAAAGTAAATGCAGATTATCCACATTTACCAATTTTTAAACTTACTACAAGCAACGGTAATCAAAACATTGCAGGACTCTTATAAAGATAGACATGCAAATCCATGGAATAGAATTGAGAGTTCAGATATAAACTCAACCATTAATGGCTGATTGGTGTTTGACAAGGGTGTCCAGTAACCTCAATGGGAAAAAAATGGTCTCTTCAAAAAATAGTGCTGGGATAGATTAATATTCATATGCAAAACAAATTTGGACCCCCACATTACACCATATAAAAATTAACTTAAACCATGATACATTTAGAAGAACACTTACAGGTAAGTCTTCCTGACCTTGGATTTGGCGATGGACTCGTTTGCACTCCAAAACCAAAAAGAGTGGAAGAAAAAAAAATAGATAAATTGAACTTCATTGACATTGAAAACTTTTGTGCCTTAAAGGACATTATCAAGAAGGTTAAAAACAACCTACCAAATTGGACAAAATATTTGCACAACTTATACCTGATAAGAGTTTGATAGGCAGTAAAAATAAAGAACTTCCAAAATAAACCACAAATAGACAAATAACTCAATTTAAAAATTGCATGGGACTTGTTTAGACATATCCGCAAAGAAGATATACAAATTGCCAATAAGTTCAAAAAAAGATGCTCAAAATAATAAGTTATTAGAGAAATGCAAACCAATATTACAATAAAATTCCACGTGACACCTACTAGGATGGTTATACCAGTGATTTTTAAAAAGGAAAACAGGCCAGGCGCAGTGGCTCACACCTGTAATCCCAGCACTTCGGGAGGCCGAGGCGGGTGGATCACGAGGTCAGGAGGTCAAGACCATTCTGGCTAACAAGGTGAAACCCCGTCTCTACTAAAATGTAAAAAAAAATTAGCCAGGCATGGTGGCGGACGCCTGTAGTCCCAGCTACTCGGGAGGCTGAGGCGGGAGAATGGAGTGAACCCTGGAGGCGGAGCTTGCAGTGAGCTGAGATCGCGCCACTGCACTCCAGCCTGGGAGACAGAGTGAGACTCCATCTCAACAAAAAAAAAAAAAAAAAAAAGGGAAAATAAGAAGTGTTGGCAAGGATGGGGAGAAATTGGGATTCTCATACATTGATGGTGGCAAGAAAAAGTGGTGCAGTTACGGCAGCAGTTTCTCAAAAGGTGAAAAAGTTTCACTTTTTTAAAGTTAGACATTCAAATATATAATATATTCCAAATTTTATCACAGCAATATTCGTAATAGCCAAAAGTGGAAACAGTTTTCTAAAATTTGGCTATCACTTCAGCCCATCAACAAATAACTGGATTAAAAAAGTATATACATACAAGGAAATATTATTCAGCTATATGAAGGAATACAACTCTGACCCATGCTACAATATGGATGAACCCTGCAAACATTATGCTCTATGTCATAAGCTAGACACAAAAGGACAAATATTTTATGATTCTATTTACATTAAATATTTAGAATAGGCAAATTCACCTAGATAGAAATTAAATTAGAGGTTACCCGGGTTGGGGGAGAGAAGAATGGAGAGTTGTTGCTTAATGGTTGCTGAGTTTCTATTTGGAATGATAAAAAAAAGTTTGGAAATAGATTGTGGTGCTGGTTGTGCAACCTTATAAATGTAATTAAAGCAACTGAATTGTACACATAAAACATTTTAAATGGTAAATTTAATGTTACATATATTTTAACAAAATAAAAAATAGAAAACAAATAAAAGTATTAAATATTTACCTAGATTACCTTAAAGATTTTGAGGAAGGAATGAGGTAACTTTACTGCATAAATGCTCTTGATAGTTTTGGGTTATTAAGGATGAACTAAGGAGTTGACAAGAATATTTAGTTCATGTGTATGAGAGAGTAAAATAGATAGGGTTACTTCATGGAACTGTTTTCAAACCATGTTTCTCTACTACTGCAGCTAGCTTTGGAAAAACTTTAAATCACTATGTACCTCTGACCCGAAGTGGGATTGAGGCATAATTAAATTACAGAGTTATGGAATACAGTAATTTTTAGAAGATTTTTTCTCATGAATCTTCATATCAAATTAATGAATAAATTTAGGAGAAAATTCAAATCTACTGATGAAGGTGGGGCAGAAGTGTGAGCTAGTGGTATCTGCCACTCATAAGACAGACATCCAGTTCCTATGTACCCCATTAATATTTCCATGGCAGAACACTGATCAGAGATTTTGGTACCCAAATGCCTGAAGTAAAGTTGTCCTTAGGTTCTTTGAATGTGTTGGTGGCAGGTCAGCCGTTACTACTGTTATCAGTTGCACATGCTACAGTGATGAGGAAGAAAACTGTAGGCCTTGTTCTGACTTATATTCCTAAATTATATGGATACTTTGATTGCTTTTCTGGGGCTAATGACTCAACATAACTATTTTCCAACTCTGCAATGCAAGGAGTCCAATTCAAATGTTGATTGAAAACTGTGGTCCAGAGCACTAGAAATAAACTTCCCTGCTTGTAAAGTCATTATAGAAGTGATGAGCACTAACTCCAGCAAGCTGTATAATGCCAAACTCCCTCCTTACCAGGAGCACTAGACAACAAAGAAATTAACAGATTTGCTTGGCAGTGGACTGGCTATTTTTAAGAGAAACCAAAGGACTCAGTGAAAATATAAATATTTATTAACATTGTGTTATGGACTGAATGTTCATACCACTACCCAAAGACAGAAGTTGAAGTAATATGACTATATTTAAATGTGACTATATTTGAAGACAAAGACTTTCTGTGGCCTGATTTTTTGTTTCCCCAAAATTCACACATTCAAACCTAACTGCCAAGATAATGATATTAAGAGATGAGGTCTTTTGGAGGTGATTAGGTCTTAAGGACTCAACCCTTATAAATGGGATTAGTGCCTTATAAAATAGGTTTAAGGGAGCTTGTTTTCTCTTTTTGCCATGTGAGGAGACAGCACAAAAACACCGTATATAAGAAACTGGTCCTCAATAAACACTGAATCTGCTGGCACCTTGATCTTTGACTTACCAGCCTTCAGAACTATGTAGAATAAATTTCTGTTGTTTATAAACTTTTCAGTAAAGTATTTTGTTGTAGCAATTCAAATGGAAGAGGTAGAAACTGGTGCTGAGAAGTGGGATATTGCTGTAACAAATACCTAAAGATGCAGAAACAGCTTTGGAAATGGGTAATGGGTAGACACTAGGAGAATTTTGAAATGCATACTAAGAAAAGCTAATATTGCCATAAATAGATCATAAAGGCTGATTCTGCTGAGGACTCAGAAGAGGAGAGCTTTAGAGAAGCCTAAATCTTCTTAGGGATTACTACCTAAGCGCTCATGAACAGAATGTTGGTAGAAATATGGACAGTAATGGCCATTCTGATGAAGCCTTGGAAATGAGAAACATGTTATTGGAAACTGGAGGAAATGTCCTCCTTGTTGTAAATGGCAAAGAATTCATCTGAATTGTGTTCACATTCTAGAGATTTATGGAATGTAGAACTTATATGTGATGAAATAAGATATTTGGCAAAAGGAATATCTCAGTGAAGTGTTGAGGGTGCAGCATGGCTTTTCTTGACTGCTTATAATAAAATGTGAGAAGAGGAAAACAAAGTAAATATTACATTTATATTCCAAAGGGAAGAAAAACTTTAATATTTGGAAAATTATTAGCCTGGTCATGTTTCAAAAATGAAAAACCATAATCAGAAGAAAACACAAAGGGTGTGGCCAAGCAACCACTTGATAAGAAGATTAGTATAGATGAGTAGAAGGATGGTGCTACTTATTAAGATAATAGAAAAATGACGCCAGAATAATTTCAGAGATCATTGGAACTGCCTCTTCCAGCACAGGCACAGAATACCAGGGCCTTGAGGGACAAAAAAGTTCAAGGCTTTACTCCCCACATTTTATTGCAGCACTATTTGGCTGACACAGGTGTGATTTAGGCAGACCTAGGTGTGTTTTGGGCCACCTCATGAAAGGTACTGGTTTTTTAATCATGGCTGCATCAATGCAATGCTATTTCCACAGGTGTGCTAACTCAGGGAGATTGTGAACAACGAGCTCTCAAAGACAAAGATGGCATAAAAGTGGTTTTATTCTGCTCCATTCCTAGAATTTCTTGGAGCAGCAGTCCCCACAGTTACACCTTGGCCTGGATTTGAACACGAAAAAAACCCTGTTTCTCAAAATTAATGTAAAAAAAAGAGTTGCCTATGTATATGGGCAACAAACCTACACCTTTATTGTCCAGATGGTACTTTCTCAGTGGAGATTACTTGTCTTATATTCTATAGAGAGAAGAAAGAGATTTCTAGTTTCTCCATTCAACCTCATATACATCTTTATTATCTTCACCAGGAAGAGATTAAATAAACCCAATCACTCTTCTATAAAAAGAGGGATTCCTCAGAATATAGAGTTGTAATATTTTGTACTGCTATAATTATTCCTACATAGCAATCACACCATTGCACTTAATGATCTATTAAAATGTCTATTTGCTTCTGCAAGCTCTCATAATGACTTAGTTTATACATTTTGGAAATGAGATTCCCAAGCCTTCCTAGCACCTTTCCACCTTATGGTTGTTCAAAATATTTGCTGGATGGCTGGCTGGCTAGCAGGAAAGGTAGATGCATGACAGAAATTCTACTAGCCTAGAGAAAAGTGTGTGTGTTAATATTAACCTTCTCTGAAGTTAACATTCCTGCTACAGATGTACATATTTCCCTCTTCTTCACACAAGAGGTCAAGAACCTCAGTTCAATGGCTGTTCTGTTGATCTAGAGGAGAGGGTTTAAATTATTATAAGATAAAAATAAACAATAAAAGTAGCATTCATTATCTGAAAATACAAAGCCTGAGGAGCATGGCAGATCAAAACTTTATATTGAAGTCTAGAAAATTCCAACCCATTTCTGGGATCTCCCTATGTAGTGTGCAACTGTTACCAGAAGGCAAGCCTTGATTGTGAGATGTCCAGCTCCTTGGCGTTTTGAACAAAGAATTGGACACAACACACAAAGTAACAAAGGAACAAAACAGTAATGAAGCAGTGAAAGCAGGGATTTATTAAAGTGAGAAAGCTCTCTACAGGGTGGGAATGAGCCTGAGCAAGCAGCTCAAGGGTCCAGTTACAATGTTTTCATGATTTTAAGTATTCCTTTTGAGGTCCCTATCAGTTACTCCTCATCTGGATGAAGAATTTAGTCTGTGGCTAATTAAATGCTGAGGTAAATTGGCACCCTATGCAGATGAAGGGATGGCCCAGGCTTGGCCAGCAGCCAATATAGGGCACTTTCCCTTTCTGTCTGAGACATGATGGAAGGGGGAGGGTTGTAGGGAAAATAACCTTTGGTCCTTTGCTACTCTGGCATGGGGAGATGGGGTTTTTCTCTTTTGTTTAGCTTTAGGAAGTTTGCTTTAATTGGCCTTAGGGTCCCTGCTCCAAGACCCAGGTGTTTTCCCTTTGATTTAACTTTAGTAAATTATCACAGATTGGTCTTAGATACCCTGCCCCTAGCCTTGGTGTTTTCTTTTTTAGAGTCAGCACAAATTGGCCTCAGATTCCCTGCCTCCAGACATTGGTGTTTTCGCTTTTAGGGAGTTAGCATTATTTGGCCCCATTATTTCATGACCGCAGACCTTAGTGTTTTCCCTTGATTCAGCTTTAGGAAGTCAGTACAAATTGGCCTTAGATTCCCTGCCTTCAGACCCTATTCTCCTGCCTTACAACCTGAACGTCTGTTTACACTAGCACTCTCAGTTACATTAATGAAAATTTGAGTCTAACCTCGCAGTTCCAGAAGGACAGCCTTCAGAGTAATCTGGGATTCATTGTGAAATCCTGAAGGGAACTCTCCTAAGAAGACTACACAAATGAACACCAAGCAGTCAGGCATTGCCTGTTTTCACTTCAGAGTGGTCATCATTCCTGACAACAAGATATTCAGCTTCTGCTGCCTAGCAAGCTTATTAATTAGTTCTTGAAGAGAGAACAGTGATGATGATACAATCACGATAATAATAAAGATAATGAAGAGGAACAGCCTTTTGGAGTTATCAGTGATTTTTGTTCCTGGCTGACAAACTAGATGGGAGACTGGCAAGTAAATATGTGAATGATCTGAACAAATCAAGATGCTAAGAGGTTAAGTGATGCCTATAAATTCACATTAGTTTTACTTTTTGAGAATTGGGTACTTTTATATCTGTTTCACATATGAGAATCTTGAAGTAAAAAGGGCTGAGACACATGCCTAATATCACTCAGCTTAATAAGAGACAGCAATAAGATAGCAGTCCATCTGTCTGAATCCAGAGTTTAAGTTTTACATTATACTTCCTCCCACTGCTTCCTAAGAATGAACTTACTCCCACCCTACAAAATTGCTGTTTCTTTTCTCTGGATTGCTCTTTCCCTCTAAATGTCATGTGACTCATTTCATCACTTTATTTCAGGTCTTGCCTCAAATGTAAATTACCCAGAGTCCAGCACCACCACACTTACCCATTCAAATTAAATTCTGAATATCTTTACTATGATTTTTCCACATAACATATATCTGTCCAACAACATGTTGTGAAACCCAAATATATGAGATAGGTCTCAGTCTATTTAGGAAGTATATTATGCCAACATTAAGGATATGCACCCGTGACACACCCTCAGGAGGTCCTGAGGACATGTACCCAAGGTGGTCAGGGCACAGCTTGGTTTTATACATTTTAGAGAGATATGAGGCATCAATCAGTATATGTAAGATGTACATTGGTTTGAGCCGGTATGGCAGAACAACTCGAAGTGGGCAGGGGACTCCAGGTTATAGGCAGATAAGAGACAAACATTCGTTTGAGTTTCTGATTAGACTTTCCAAAGGAGGCAATCAGATATGCATTTATCTCAATGTGCAGAGGTACAATCTTGAATAGAATGGGATACAGGTTTGTCTTAAGCAGTTGCCAGCTTGACTTTCCCTTTTAGCTCAGTGATTTGGGGGTCCAAAGATTTATGTTCCTTTCACAATATTATAAAATTGTTTGCATTAGTGTCTGTCTTGTCAATCACAGACTATTTGCCACTCCCAGATATTTTACTTTCATTAAAAAATTGATAAAATATTAGAATGAGGTGGAGGAATTTTCTCCAAAGAACATCAACAATGAAGATTATGGTGACTGGAAAAGTTGAAATAAATCAGAGGTACATTTTTCATGAGAAACCTTTCAAATCCTTTAGCTTTTCCATAAGTTATTTATCTATATATTTCTAAACAAAATTTGTATAATGCTCCTTTTTGAATTCTCAGTCACACATTTTATCTATTCACTTTTTTATGAAAAAAATAATTTAGGTTTCCCTCATAAGCAGTCACACACGCACAATACACACACACAAATAATAAGACTAACTCCATTTTTTATGTTTTTGAACTTTTTATTTTTTGAGTACATAGTAGGTGTATATATGTATGAGGTAAACACAATGTTTTGATACAGACATGCAATGCATAATAATCACATCATAGAGAATGGGGTACCCACCCCCTCGAGCATTTATCCTTTGTGTTACAAACAATCTAATTATACTTATTTAAAAATATGCAACCCACTTATTATTCACTATAGTCACCCTATTGTGCTATCAAATATTAGCTCTTATATATTCTATTACTTTTGTACTCATTAACCATACCTTCTCCTCCCACCCCCACTACTCTTCCCAGCCTCTGTTAACCATCCTTCTATTCTCTGTGTCCACAAATTCAATTTCTTTGATTTTTAGATCACAGAATAAGTAAGAACATGTGGTATTTGTATTTCTGTGCCTGGCTTATTTCACATATCATAATAATCTTCAGTTTCATCCATGGTGTTGCAAGTGACAGGATCTCATTTTTTTAATGGCTGAACAGCAGTCCATTGTGTATAAGTACCACAATTTCTTTATCCACACATCTATTGATGGCCACTTACGTTGCTTCCAAATCTTGGCTATTGTGAAGATGCTGCAACAAACAAAAGAGTGCAAATATCTCTTCCATATAGTGATTTTCTTTCCCTTGCATATATACCCAGCAGTAGGATTACTGAATCATATGGTAACTTTATTTCTAGTTTTCTGAGGAACCCCCAAACTGTTCTCCATAGGGGTGGTACTGACTTACATTTTCACCAACGGTATAAAATCGTTCCCTTTTCTCCACATCCTTGACAGTATTTGTTATTGCCTGTCCTTTGGATGTAAGCCATTTTAAATGGGGCAAGATAATACCTCATTGTAGTTTTGATTTGCATTTCTCTAATGATCAATAGTGTTCATCGTCTTTACATACGCTTGTTTGTGATTTGTCTTTTTTTGAGAAATATCTATTCAAATCTTTCAAACTTTTTAAAATCAGATTACTAGTTTCTTTTTCTATACAGTTGTTTAAGCTCCTTATACATTCTAGTTATTAATCCTTTGCCAGAAAGGTAGTTTGCAAATATTTTCTCCCATTCTGAAGAGTTGTCTCTTCACTTTGTTGATTGTATCCTCTGCTGTGCAAGAGCTTTTTAATTTGATGTGATCCCATTTGTTCATTTTTACTTTGGTTGCCTGTGCTTCTGGGATATGGCTCAGGAAATTTTTGCCAAGACCAATGTCCTGGGAAATTTCCCCAATGTTTGCTTGTAGTAGTTTCATAGTCTGAGGTCTTAGATTTAAGCCTTTCATTTATTTTAATTTGATTTTTGTATATGGTGAGAGACAGAGGTCTAGTTTTATTCTTCTGCATATAGATGTCCCGTTTTCCCAGCACCATTTATTGAAGAGACATTTTTTTTCGAGTGTATGTTCTTGGCACTTTTGACAAAAATCAGTTTACTGGAAGTGTGTGAATTTGTTTCTGGGTTGTGTATTTTGTTCCATTGGTCTATGTGTCTGTTTTTATGCCAGTGCCATGCTGTTTTGGTTACTATACCTCGGTAGTATAATTTGAAGTAAGATAATGTGATTCTCCAATGTTGTTCTTTTTGCTTAGGACACCTTGGCTATTTAGGGTCTTTTGTGATTTCATATAAAATTTAGGATTGCTTTTTTCTCTTTCTGTGAAGAATGTCATTGGTATTTTGATAGAAATTGCATTCAGTATGTAGATTGCTTTGGATAGTATGGACATTTCAACAACATTGATTCTTCCAATCCATGAACATAAAATATCCTTTTTGTGTGTGTCCTTTTCAATTTTTTCATCAATATTTTATAGTTTTCATTACAGAGATATTTCACGTGTTTGGTTAAGTTAATTTCTAGGTATTGAATTTTATGTGTGGCTAAATTTTAAATGTGGGATTACATTTTTATTTCTTTTTAACATTGTTTACTGTTGGCATATAGAAATGCTACTGATTTTTGTGTGTTGATTTTGTATCTGGCAGTGTTACCGAATTGGCTTATCAGTTCTAAAAGTTTTTTTTTGGTGGAGTTTTTTTGTTTTCCAAATATAAGATTATATAATTTGCAAACAAGAATAATTTGACTTTTCCCACTCCAATTAGGATGCCCTCTATTTCTTTCTATTGTCTGATTGCTCTAGCTAGGACTTTTAGTATTTTGTCGAATAAAAGTGGAAAGTGGGCATCCTTGTGATTCAGATCTTAAAGGAAAAGCTTTCAGTTTTTCCCCATTTTGTATGATACTGTGGGTCTGTCGTATATGTTTTTTATTATGTTGAGTTATGTTTCTTCTATACCCAGTTTCTTTAGGGTTTTGATTAGGAGGGATGTTAAATTTTATCAAATGCTTTCTCAGCATAAATAGAAGTGACCATATGGCCGGTTGCAGTGGCTCATGCCTGTAATCCCAGGACTTTGGGAGGCTGAGGCAGGCAGCCCACTTGAAGTCAGGAGTTTAAGACCAGCCTGGCCAACATGGTAAAACCCTGACTCTACTAAAATAAATACAAAAATTAGCCCAGCCTGGTGGCATGTGCCTTTAGTCCCAGTTACTTGGGAGGCTAAGCCATGAGAATCACTTGAACCCAGGAGGTGGAGGCTTTAGTGAGCTGAGATCACACCACTGCACTCCAGCCTGGGTGACAGAGCAAGATTCTGTCTTTAAAAAAAAAAGTAGAAAAGGAAATTATAATAGTCTTTCTAGAGATGGTCTTTGATATTAACAAAAATACACTAATACAAAACTAAATAATTGATTAAAACAAGCTTTTATTTAAAATATTGGCTTATTCTTTTTTTATTATACTTTAAGTTCTGGGATACATGTGCAGAACGTGCAGGTTTGTTACATAGGTATACACGTGAAATGGTGGTTTGCTGCACCCATCAACCCGTCATCTACATAAGGCATTTCTCCTAATGCTATCCCTCCCATAGCCCACCATCCCCCGACAGGCCCTGGTGTGTGATGATTCCCTCCCTGTGTCCATGTGTTCTCACTGTTCAACTCCCAGTTGTGAGTGAGAAGATGCAGTGTTTGGTTTTCTGTTTCTGTGTTAGTTTGCTGAGAATGATGGTTTCCAGCTTCATCCATGTCACTTCAAAAGACATAAACACATCCTTTTTAGAACTGCATAATATTCCTTGCTGTATATGTGCCACATTTTCTTTATCCAGTCTATCATTGATGAAAATTTGGGTTTGCTATTGTGAACAGTGCTGCAACAGACATACATGTGCATGTGTCTTTATAGTAGAATGGCTTATAATCCTTTGGATATATACCCAGTAGTGAGATTGCTGGGTTAAATGGTATTTCTGGTTCTACATCCTTGAGGAATCGCGACACTGTCTTCCACAATGGTTGAACTAATTTACACTCCCACGAACATTGTAAAAGTTTTCCTAATTCTCCACATCCTGGTCAGCATCTGTTGTTTCCTGACTTCTTAATGATTGCCATTCTAACTGGCATGAGGTGGTTTGCATTTCTCTAATGACTGGTGATGATGAGCTTTGTTTCATATGCTTTTTGGCCTCATAAATGTCTTCTTTTCAAAAATGTCTGTTCATATCCTTCGCCCACTTTTTGATGGGGTTGTTTGTTTATTTCTTGTAAATTTGTTTAAGTTATTTGTAGATTCTGGATATTTGCCCTTTGTCAGATGGGTAGATTGCAAAATTTTCTCCCATTCTGTAGGTTGCCTGTTCATGCTGATGATAGCTTCTTGTGCTGTGCAGGAGCTCTTTAGTTTAATTAGATCCCATTTGTCAATTTTGGCTTTTGTTGCCATTGCTTTTGGTGTTTTAGTCATGAAGTCTTTGCACATGTCTATGTCCAGAATGGTATTGCCTAGGTTTTCTTCTAAGGTTTGTATGGTTTTGGGTCTTATGTTGAAGTCTTTAATCCATCTAGAGTTAATTTTTGTATAAGGTGTAAGGAAGGGATCCAGTTTCAGTTTTCTGCATATGGCTAGCCAGTTTTCCCAACACCATTTATTAAACAGGGAATCCTTTCCCCATTGCTTGTTTTTCTCAGGTTTGTCAAAGATCAGATGGTTGTAGATGTGTGGTATTATTTCTGAGGCCTCTGTTCTGTTCCATTGGTCTATATTTCTATTTTCATACCAGTACCATGCTGTTTTGGTTACTGTAGCCTTGTACTATAGTTTGAAGTCAGGTAATGTAATGTCTTCAGCTTTGCTCTTTTCATTTAGGATTCTCTTGGCCATATGGGCCCTTTTTTGGTTCCATATGAAATTTAAAGTAGTTGTTTCTAATTTTGTGATGAAAGCTCATGGTAGCTTGATGGGGATAGCATTGAATCTATACATTACTTTAGATACTATGGCCATTTTCATGATATTGATTCTTCCTGTCCATAAGCATGGAATGTTTTTCCATTTGTTTGTGTTCTCTCTTATTTCCTAGAGCAGAGGTTTGTGGTTCTCTTTGACAAGGTCCTTCACATCCCTTGCAAGTTTTATTCCTAGGTATTTCATTCTCTTTGTAGGAATTGTGAATGGGAGTTCACTCATGATTTGGCTCTCTGTTTGTCTATTATTGGTGTATAGGAATGCTTGTGATTTTTGCACATTGATTTTGTATCTTGAGACTTTGCTGAAGTTGCTTATCAGCTTAAGGAGATTTTGTGCTGAGACGATGGGGTTTTCTAAATATGCAATCATGTCATCTGCAAACAGAGACAATTTTACTTCCTCTCTTCATTTTTTTTCTTCTAAAAAATGGGATACATGTGCAGAATGTGCAGGTTTGTTACATAGGTATAGATAGTGAAATTTTAAAAATAAATACACCTGTTTTTATAATGACACTTTTTAAAAATTATACTTTAAGTTCCAGGGTACCTGTGCACAACGTTCAGGTTTGTTACATATGTATACATGTGCCATGTTGGTTTGCTGCACCCATCAACTCGTCATGTACATTAGGTATTTCTCCTATTGTTATCCCTCCCCAAGTCCCCCCCCCAATGACAGTCCCTGGTGTGTGATGTTCCTCACCCTGTGTCCATGTGTTCTCTTTGTTCAACTCCCACCTATGAGTGAGAACATGCTGTGTTTGGGTCCTTATGACAGTTTGCTTAGAATGATGGTTTCCAGCTTCATGCATGTTCCTGCAAAGGACATGAACTCATCCTTTTTTATGGCTGTAGAGTATTCCATGGTGAATATGTGCCACATTTTCTTACTCCAGTCTATCATTGATGGACATTTGGGTTGGTTCCAAGTCTTTGCTATTGTGAATAGTGCCACAATAAACATACATGTGCATGTGTCTTTATAGTAGCATAATTTATAATCCTTTGGGTATATACCCAGTAATGGGATAACTGGATCAAATGGTATTTTTAGTTCTAGATCCTTGAGGAATTGCCACACTGTCTTCCACAATGGTTGAACCAATTTACACTCCCACCAACAGTGTAAAAGCATTCCTATTTCTCCACATCCTCTCCAGCATTTGTTGTTTCCTGACTTTTTAATGATCGCCATTCTAACTGGCATGAGATGGTATCTCACTGTGGTTTTGATTTGCATTTCTCTGATGACCAGTAATGATGAGCATTTTTTCATGTGTCTGTTGGTGGCATAAATGTCTTCTTTTGAGAAGTGTCCGTTCATATCCTTTGTCCACTTTTTGATGGTGTTGTTTGTTTTTTTCTTGTAAATCTGTTTAAGTTCTTTGTAGATTCTGGATATTAGCCCTTTGTCAGATGGGTAGATTGCAAAGATTTTCTCCCATTCTGTAGGTTGCCTGTTCACTCTGATGATAGTTTCATTTGCTGTGCAGAAGCTCTTTTGTTTAATTAGATCCCATATGTCTATTTTGGCTTTTGTTGCCATTGCTTTTGGTGTTTTAAGACCTAATGTCATAAAACCCTAGAAGAAAACCTAGGCAATAACATTCAGAACATAGGCATGGACTTCCTCTCAACTTATTTGAATACCTTTTATTTCTTTCTCTTGCCTGATTGCCCAGGCCAGAACTTCCAGTACTATGTTGAATAGGAGTGGTGACAAAGGGCATCCTTGTCTTGTGCCAGTTTTCAAAGGGAATCTTTCCAGTTTTTGCCCATTCAGTATGATATTGGCTGTGGGTTTGTCATAAATAGCTCTTATTATTTTGAGATATGTTCCATCAATTCCTAGTTTATTGAGAGGTTTTAGCATGAAGCGGTGTTGAATTTTATCAAAGGCCTTTTCTGAATCTATTGAGATAATCATGTGATTTTTGTCATTGGTTCTGTTTATGTGATGAATTATTAAGTTTTTAATTATAAATTCTATAATCTGTCTTTTTTACAGTCTTCAGATTCATATCTCAAAAAAATACGGCTCTTTCTCTTTTGAAATGGCCGTGGATGTTTACTCTTTCCTTCATCTTTTATTAGCTCCTGTAACATTTTATCAATTATCTAAAGTAAGAGAGAGAATTTTTTTGGAAACAGGCAAATAAAATATTTTTTGGACTTGCCCTCTTATTCTGCATGCCTGTTATATCTCTATCTTTAAATGTGTCACATGGAAGTGATATTTCACTACCCAACTATGTGAAAGAGCTCTAATCAAGTAACTTTTTTCTTTTTTTGATGGTGTTTCACTGTTTTTGCCGAGGCTGGAGTGCAATGGCGTGATCTTGGCTCACTGCAACTTCCACCTCCTGGGTTCAAACGATTCTCCTGCCTCAGCCTCCTGAGTAGCTGGGATTACAGGTGTCCACCACCACTGCCAGCTAATTTTTTGTATTTTAAGTAGAGACAGGGTTTCACAATGTTGGCCAGGCTGGTCTTAATCTCCTGACCTCAGGTGATCTACCAGCCTCACCCTCCCAAAATGCTGACCTCAGGTGAGCCACCGCACCTGCACTAATCAAGTAACTTTTAAAAAAATACATGCTTATCAGATTAGAAGAAACTAGCTCAGATCCCTTTTAATTCACATAACCTTAGTAATCTTTGGTAAGATTAATTTGGTAAATTTAATCTCAAATTTCTCTTCAGTAGTTCAAAATCTTAAAATCATATGATGTTATAACTTTGGAGTTTTTTCACTGAGAATTTTGGGTTCCCAAAAGCATAAAATATGTTTTTGGTGAGTTTATAAAACACAAGGATGTCAAGTTTTCTAAAAAGAAAAAATTAAAAAGGAAGAAAAAAATGTAGTTTATTTTTTAGTTAAGAAACAATTTAATAGTTACCTCTAAATGAAGGAAAATTACACAGATAAAACTAAATGAATCAAAAGAACAATTAAGCCAGGGCAAGAAAAGTTAACTCTAAGAACTGTGGCTAGCAAAAAGATAGTCAATATGGGGGAAGGGCAAAACCAAGTAACTATTAAAACCACAGGGTATAATGCAAAGAAATTTTTTTATTTTGTATCTTGGTATCATCAGTTTGTTAAAAAGTCTATGTGATAAATTGTAAAAATAACCACTTTAAGGAAAAAATAATAATTTTAAATTCTACAGAATTTAAGAGCTTTTTTGGTTTGAGGCAGGACCCACAGGTCTCTATTGAACAATCACTGATGAGAATATGTGATCCAAATGCACAGGAAGTTATTTCTGAGTGGACAGCCAGACTAATTTTTATGTAAATCTCATGAAAGTAGGTATTGTATGTAACTGAAGGTTGTATCCCCTGTATAGTACTATAAAACTGAAGGCATGTAAATCTGCTCCTTTAAGAAGTGTTACTTAGACACGTTAAATAGGAACTAATAAAATCACCCAAGTTCACAAAGTATAGGTTAGAAACTGGAGTGATAGTCAGGACAAATCCTCCACTTCATAGCCCTTTGCAGAGCATTTACTGGCGCTGATGGCAAAAGACTGTGAGTACTTCCCAATGACAATGACTGAACCAGAGAATTTCCAACTGAGGGGCATTTACTGCCTTACTATGGAATGTTAACTGAAATTACCCCTATGCTAATGGAAAAATGGTGCCCAAAAGAGTTTCATGATGAAATAAAATCAGTTTACATAGAATCTTGCTACCTGGGAATATAAGGAGGAGTTTCTCATAAGCAGGGAGCCTTTTTTATAGAACTAATTCTAACTATGCGAGGAGCTGTTAGATTCTACAGTGCCTGAGAGATAGCTTTCATGAGCTGTTTGGCTTGTGAATGGCATTTTCAAGGTAAACAAACATCAAGTTACTGCTCTGGTTTAAAAAGGGTCAATAAAATCTTTTTCTTTTGAATTATTTGGGGAAGTACTTTTTTTTGTAATCAAATTTACCTTTCTCTCTGAGTTCTCCAACATTTTGATTGTGATTTTATGACAATATAATTATTTGTATTAGTTCAAAAAGAGTCTTTAAAAACAGAACAATCAGAGACACTGGTTGTTTTACCAAGACTTAAACTAAAATAGTATATTTTTAGGCAAAGTTCCTGCAAATCCAATTTAAAAGGAGCCTATATAGCCACTCAATTCTTGCTGCATTTTATGCAAATAATCAGGCCAAGTATATTAAGACTAAAACATATTTTGCAAACAAATTGGTCTTACTATAATTTCTCTTTAATAGAAAAACAGGTCTAGAGAAATTGTTTCAATGGAAAAGCAAAACACTTGGTGCTAGATTTCAACCCTAACTTTTATTTTTTTTTGTTTTTTGTTTTTTTTTTAAGTGCAGATAGAATCATGAATTATTTCTTGGCTATGATAATCCTAGAGAGTAGCAGATTATAATTTTTCTTCACATTTTACTTGTTGGTTCCTTAATGGAGTTGGCTCCTTTTTCTGTTCTAACACATAAATACTATGTTCATTGTCAAAATATTAATATTATTTGTCTCTCCCTGTTTTACATCCAAGGACACAAAAATAATGGTACTCTCAAGACCAGAGATGTGAATATCCCTCATTTGTCATCCCACTAGGCCCAATCTGTTTTTCCTGCAAATGTCCTGCTGCTAAAACTATACAAGCAACCTTCCTTTGGTTAAGGGACTGTCCCAGAAGAAGTGGGCATGTGAGGTTCTAAGGGCTGGTTTTGAGGGATAGAATCCGGTCAAGGTCAGACTCTCCAAATCAAGGAGGGATGCAAAGATTCCTAAACAGCTGGTAAAACAAGTCTTCTAAGCCATTATTTGTCATTTTTACATTTATCCTAACTATAAAAAAATTTTCTGCTTCCCATAGAATTAAAATAAAATATTTACTGAGAGAATAATGATACCTGTTAACAAAGCCTACTGGGTATGATACTATCAGTTATGAGTTTGCAAAGATAGATATATCTATATCTATATTCAAAAAATGTTTAGAAAAATGCTTATGTTTTGTATAGCTACTTGCTGTAAGTCTGTAACAAAAACAAAGCTTACATGTAGCACAACATATAGAAGTTAAAAATAAACCAGTTTTGTAACTTTGCATTTTGCTTTTTATTTGTTGGCTTTTTACCTAAAATAATAATTTTAAGATGTAAGAAATGCCTGTCTACATCCATTTCTATATGGCCTAGGACAATTAATTGGCTATCAGTATTTTTATTCTTAAGGCCCTTGGCCATAGGGAGTCCCACTGAGGGACAGGATGGACATGGGACAGGCAGCCATGACACTCTAGCAATGCTAGCTGACAAAATAAAGATTGGCTGACCTTTGATGTTGCCTCTGGCAAATCTTGGCCAGAAGAGGGAGAATGTAAACCCAAAATAAAATTCTAAGGCACCCCAACCATCTGAATGAACTTTCTCTTCAGCCAGGGCTCTTTTAAAATTTAACCTGAGAAACTATTTCAGGCCATGACAGAAAGTGGGGGTCAGACATGCCTCATTATACCACTTGGCATAAACATCAACAAAGACTTTAAATCTGATAAAAAATCATTTTAAAACCTATTCTCTCTGAAGCCTACTACCTGGAGATTTCCCCTGCAAATAAGAACTTGGGTTTCCACAATGCTTTATCTTAACCCAAACACTCATTTCTATTGAACTCAGGTCTTTAGATAAATTCAAGCAATTGTCAACCAAAGAATATTTAAATTTACATATAAACTAGACCCCCCACATCCCCGCCCCACTTAGAGTAGTCCCACCTTTCTCAACCAAACCAATGTATTTCTTAAATGTATCTGATTAAACTTTCATGCCTTCCTAAAATGTATAAAACCAAGCTGCACCCCAACCACCTTGGGCACATGTTCTCAGGACATTTTGAGGGCTGAGTCATGGACCATGGTCATTCATAACTGGCTTAGAATAAATCTCTTTAAATATTTTATAGGGGTTGACTCTTTGACAGCTGTAAAGTATCCTGATTTAAAGAGGTACTCATTTTCATTGTTACCCTGGTAACACAAGTCATAATAACTTGGAAGCCTACTAGAAGAAATATAAAGATTAGAAACCTTGGAAAACCCAAGTTTGTCATCCACCACTTAGAATGCCTGCAAACCATTAGTTGCTCCTGTAAACAAATTATGATTCCTTTCTCTTCAGAGACTAATTTAATGTATTTGGTGGCAAAGTCTAAGAAAATAGCAGTGTCTGCCCAAGGTAATTTGTAGATTCAATGCCATCCCCATCAAGCTACCAATGACTTTCTTCACACAATTGGAAAAAACTACTTTAAAGTTCATATGGAACCAAAAAGAGCCCACATTGCCAAGACAATCCTAAGCCAACAGAACAAAGCTGGAGGCATCATGCTACCTGACTTCAAACTATACTACAAGGCTACGGTAACCAAAACAGCATGGTACTGGTACCAAAACAGAGATATAGACCAATGGAACAGAACAGAGGCCTCAGAAATAACACCACACATCTACAACCATCTGATCTTTGACAAATCTGACAAAAACAAGAAATGGGGAAAGGATTCCCCATTTAATAAATGGTGTTGGGAAGACTGGCTAGCCATATTTAGAAAGCTGAAACTGGATCCCTTCCTTACACCTTATACCAAAATTAATTCAAGATGGATTAAAGACTTAAATGTCAGACCTAAAACCATAAAACCCCTAGAAGAAAACCTAGGCAATACCATTCAGGACATAGGCATGGGCAAGGACTTCATGACTAAAACACCAAAGGCAATGGCAACAAAAGCTAAAATAGACAAATGGGGTCTAATTAAACTAAAGAGCTTCTGCACAGCAAAAGAAACTACCATCAGAGTGAACAGGCAACCTACAGAATGGGAGAAAATCCACCCGTCTTACAAAGGGCTAATATCCAGAATCTACAAAGAACTCAAACAAATTTACAAGAAAAAAATCAAACAACCCCATCAAAAAGTGGGCAAAGGACATGAACAGACACTTTTCAAAAGAAGACATTTATGCAGCCAACAGACACATGAAAAAATGCTCATCATCACTGGTCATCAGAGAAATGCAAATCGAAACCACAATGAGATACCATCTCACACCACTTAGAATGGCGGTCATTAAAAAGTCAGGAAACAACAGGTGCTGGAGAGGATGTGGAGAAATAGGAATGCTTTTACCCTGTTGGTGGGACTGTATATTAGTTCAACCATTGTGGAAGACAGTGTGGCAATTCCTCAAGGATCCAGAACTAGAAATACCATTTGATCCAGCAATCCCATTACTGGGTATATACTCAAAGGATTATAAATCATGCTACTATGAAGACACATGCACACGTATGTTTATTGTGGCACTATTCACAATAGCAGAGACTTGAAACCTGCCCCAATGTCCATCAATGACAGACCGGAGTAAGAAAATGTGGCACATATTCACCATGGAATACTATGCAGCCAGAAAAAAGGATGAGTTCATGTTCTCTGTAGGGACATGGATGAAAATGGAAACCATCATTCTGAGCAAACTATCACAAGGACAGAAAGCCAAACACTGCATATTCTCACTCATAGGTGGGAATTGAACAATGAGAACCCTTGGACACAGGGCACGGAACATCACACACTGGAGCCTGTCATGGGCTGGGGGGCTTGGGGATGGATAGCATTAGGAGATGTACCTAATATAAATGACGAGTTGACGGGTGCAGCAAACCAACATGGCACATGCATACATATGTAACAAACCTACAAGTTGTTCACATGTACCCTAAAACTTAAAGCATAATTTAAAAAAAAGAAAAAAAAAAAGAAAATAGCAGTGTCAGCTACCTTTTTAATTAAGCTTTTTGTAGTAACAAAGTCAGGAGAAAGATAACATTCAGTTTTGTTTAACACCAAGCATAGGTCTCCAGTTTGAGCAAAAAGAAGATATAAAGCTGTATGATATTCCATTAAATGTTTTTGTTGAATATGTATGTTGTCATCTACCTTTCAGAGAGTAGCTTCTACCCATCTGAAACACTGGGCAGTCTGATTGTATGCAAAATCCAAGATTTTTCCCAATTTATGAATTAGCTTTAAGTTCCTTACAACTGGCACCCCACTACCACCAATAGTGAGCCCCCAAGGACCCCACTGTAATGTTTCCTCAGTAAAAACTAGCTTAAACTCATCTATTTCAAGGCTAGTGCTAATTTCAGTTATTGATTATTTATGCCTCTGATTATAAGGCTATCATGAGACTTTTCAGGGGAAGCTATTCAAAAGGCAGTAGTGAGCCAGGTCAAATAGCAAGATCTGAACAAACAAAGAGGCAGAACAAAATATCCAGATTCTCCACAGATCCAATATAGACCCTTTGGAGTCGGAAAAAAGGGCCACCTAGTTGCATTTGTGCAGGAGTCAGTCAGTTTTCTTCATCCACAAATCTGCATAGCTCCTGAACAACATCCAGTAGGAAATTTACTTTTTTTCTGCTCTCTTTATAGCATGTTGTAAGGGGATATAACTACACGTAGTAAAAAGAGACCCTACTGGATTTAATTCAGTTATATATTGCATGCAATTACTTGTACCAACATAGGTAATTCCCCAATCTAGAGAGTGTGATTCCTGGAAGCATAATATACTTTTACAGGCATCGTTTGGATATTTTTTTTATTTTATATTTGGTAATGATGGAGTTATCAATTTAAAAAGTTAGAGTATTGTTTTTATTGACTGTAAAAAAAACAAGCAGCAGTGATGTTTAGAATATCAATAATAGCTTCCCATTCTTTCCTTGGAGTTTCAGGGTTACTCTAATTGGGAACATGGGGAGGCATTGGCATCAGCAGAATTTTTTCCTAATTTTTTTTTGCATTAGCCCACAAACCCAACAATTACTCTGGTTTTGTGCTAGACCATAAGCTCAGGCTAAAGCCACCCACTGATTATTGTCCTATGGATTTTTCTGTATGGGAAAGAAAAGGATTAGGACAACAAAAAATGAGGAAAAAGAAAAACACATAAGGCTTTCATGACGGTAGAGAAGTCTTGATCCATGATCTTGGGAAAGCTGTTCACAACGAGGATGCCATTTGCTTCTGAGGAAAGATTTCAAGGAGTACAGGTTCAGGAGTCTGAAAGGTCCCTTTTGAATTGTGAGTTGTGGACCCAAGAAGTTCAAGGCCCTGAAGCTTAACTGCAATGGTGGGTGGTGAGAAGAACTTCATATGATTTTTTTTTCAAGAAGGTTCAAGAGCAGTCTTCTGATATTGTTTCCAGAAGACCCAGTCTTCAGGTTTCAGATCATGGAGGGTCTGATTGTCCTCAGCTGGTGAATCTCAAAAAGCTTCCTTTACCTGGTGAAAGTACACTGTGGCATAATGCATTAAAGCCTTGCAGTATTTAGCCACACAAGAGTTTAAGAGAACAGGAGAAGCATGAGGTGCTACTATTAGGGACATAGGTCTCCCGATGACTATTTCATAAGGGATCACCTTACATTTTCCAATGGGAGTGGATCTAATTGCCATGAAAGCCAAAGGTAGTACCTTTGGCCAAGGCAATACAATTGATTCAGTTAACTTTGACAATTTCCGTTTTAATATGCCATTTGTTCTTTCAACATTTCCAGAAGACTGGGGGTGATAAGGACAATGGTAGTGACACTATCCATAACACTTATTTAACTGCTTTATAACTTGCCCAGTAAAATGAGTTCTGCTATCACTGGAAGTTTTTCCAGGCATCTCTCATAAAAGAAAAACATTTTCTAGTAAATTCTAGGCCACTGTCAGAGCAGCAGCTTTCCTACATGGGAAGGCCTCTATTCAACTAGAAAACATGCAAATTATTAAAAGAACATAATGATACCCTATTGGGTAGCAACTGAATGAAGTCCATCTAAAAATGTTAGATGCACCAAATGGTGCATCATGTGGTGGAAATATACCACCTGAAGTTTTTATTGTTTTTCCAGGATTATGAGTTTGACAAGTCAAAGTTTAATTATAAACCATTATAGCAATTTTGGAACAGTCATCCCATCAGTATTTTTTCACAGTTTGGATCATTTTGTCCATTTCATGATGAGTTGTGGAGTGCAGAGCTTTTAACAATGAAAGTTTAAAAGACTCAGGAAGGACCAGACAGCATCCAGGCCCTCTGTGAGTCTGTGCTTCACACTAAATTTACATTATTTTACACACTAATTTTGTTTTTCCAAATCATGTGCATTGCACTGTTCATTAAATAGGTTATCATAGGAAAGTTGGCTTGGATTAATCTTAGGAAATTCATTCAGATTGCATATTTTAACAGTTTCAGCACTAGCTGTTTTAGCATAAAAATCTGCTAAAGCGTTTGCCTGATATTCAGGTTCAGTTCTACAAGTGTGAGCTTTAATCTTAATAACAGCAATCTGTAATGGCAACAGGATAGTAGAAAGGAGATCATCTACTTGGAGTCCGTTTTTGATGGGGCTCCCACTAGAGATGAGAAACCCTCAAAATTTCCATCTCATGCAAAAATCATGTACTACTCCAAAAACATATCTGCTATTTGTATAAATATTTACTGACTTGTCTTTAGCTGTATGACAAGCTCGGTGAGGGCAAAAAGCTCCACACATTGGGCTAGCTTAAATTGAGGAAGAGTTTTCTTTTCTATTAACTCACTTTGGGTGGTAACAGCATATTCTGCCTGATATTTTTCTTCTGAGTTATTGGCATAGGACGCATCAACAAAGAGTATTAATTGAGAATTATTCAGTA
This sequence comes from Homo sapiens, assembly GCF_000001405.40. Taxonomy (NCBI): domain Eukaryota; kingdom Metazoa; phylum Chordata; class Mammalia; order Primates; family Hominidae; genus Homo; species Homo sapiens. Next base: position 57,774,863 of record NC_000023.11, on the reverse strand, counting down.
GAGTATCTTGTAAATCAACACAAGGAACCACTATTTCTGACACTACACTTAAACAATTGTGGTCTTCACCATCATCAGACAGAGGTAATAGAGTAGTAAGGTTAAGTAGATTACAGCATTTTTGATGAAGATTAGAAAGAGATAGGAGAAGTAATTCATGAGATGGTAGTAGTAATTCATGAGATGGTAGTCTACTTACTGAAAAATGCTGGATTTGGTTGGAATTTAATAGATTTTTCACAGCCTGTGGGACTTGCAGATTAAGTTCAGTTCCGAAAATCATATCTGATGAAACTTCTACCAGGTTGGCCACTGCTGTTACTGGTTTTTAAACAATTACAATGTTCCTTAGCAACTGGGCCTACTTGAAGTCTATAGTATCTAATGTGTCTATGTTTACCACTATGCTTTTGAGTAAGGAATCCTAATGCCTGATTTTTACGCTCATGATCAACCAAGGTGAAAGGTTTAGTGCAATTTGAAAATCTGAAAGCTGGGGGCTGTTGTAAGGCCAATTTCATTTGGCTAAAACCCTGCTCATGACTATCATCTTAAGGCAAAGGCTCCGGTACAGCATTTTCAGTGAGCTTATACAGTGGTGAAGCTGTTAAGGAAAAATTTGGAACCTATAATCTGCAATATCTGGCAAGTCTCAGAAATTCTTTTAAGTGTCTTTTGGTTGCAGGTTGAGAAAAATTTAGAACACTTTTTATCCTCTCAGGTGAAATCCCTTCAGCAGTCAATTTATGTACCAAATAGTGGATTTTCCTCTTGAAAACTGAAGGTTTTTCATTAAAGCCTTGTGACTTTTATATGAAAGTTGCTGTAAAAGGTAAACTGAGTCAATTTCAGAGCACTTCTTAGTGGGAGAGCATAACAATGAGTCTATGTACTGAATGAGAGTAGAATTTTGACGAAATTGTAGTGCCAATTCCTGATGCAATGTTTGGGAAAAATATGAAGGGGCTTCGGTAAACTCTTGTGTCATTACGGTTCTGGTGTACTGCTGATTTTTCCAAGTAAGGGTAAACAAGTATGGACTCTCTTTATGAAATGGAATGCCAAAGAAGGCTGAGCAGAGATCTATTACTGTGAACCACTTGAAATCAGTGGGTACATTAGGTAACAAAGCATTAGGATTTCAGACTACAGAAAATCTTGGTATTATATATTTTTTAATTTCCGATAAATCTCAAACAAATCTCCAGCCTCATCTATTTGGTTTTTTAATTGGTAAGATTGGAGTGTTACAAGGGATGGTGCATGGAATTATGAATCCTTGTTTAATTAAATCATCTACAATTGGCGAGAGCCTTTGAATTGCTTCAGGTTTTAGTGGATATTGGTGTAATTTAGGTAACAGTTTAGAATGATCTATTTGGGCTTTTATAGGTTCCATACTTTTAATTTTTCCTACGTCAGTTGAGAAACAGACCCATAAACATTTAGGTATTTTTGAAAGATCAGGGGTATTACAGGCCTGAGTTTTGATTTTATCATTTTCTGCCTGTAGACAACATAACAATTCTGGCTCAAGAGACTTAGGAAACTCTAAGATTACATATCTGTATCAGGAAAATTTTATGTGCCCTTTTAGCTTTGAAAGTAAATCTTGCCCTAACAAGTTTACTGGAGCAGTATCAAATCGTACAAAAAAAAAAAAAAAAGGTGTATTTTTCTGAAAAGACCCCCGAAGTTAATTGAATATGTTCAGAGGTGGGAACCTCTTGAACTTGATTTGAAACCCCCACCACAGAAATGATCTTTTTACCCTGAGGGATTTGTTGGCTTATTAAAGTGGGGTTTATGACAGATAGAGTAGTTCTGGTATCCACCAGGACTGTACATGACTTCCTATTTATTTTAACTCTGTTTCTCCATGTTCATTTAAAGATATTACAGGGAGCAATTTACAGGAGTATCCTTCAGATCCTCCTTGATGTTTATTATTATCAGGAGGCCTAAGGTCTCTTGGGCTCTCTCTAGTGGTGAAACAGTTCGGCCTAAAGGGAAGCTTATTGGTGGACCAATATAAAAGCAGACAATCCCTTTTCCAGTGTCCTCGGTGTTTGCATAACGGCGGACATCTTGGGAAGAATTTCCTCTTTCAGAACCTCTTGGTTGTGATTTAAAATGGGAACAAGAAGGTGCCTCTGGTCTTGGCCCCTGTAACTGTTGTAATTGAAGGGTCCTAAGCTTCTTAGCCTTTTGAGTGTTTTCTTGTTCCAGAGTTCCCTCAAAATGTTCAGCAAAGGCCACCAATTCAGTCACTTCCCATCTCAGCTTATGTTTTTTAATTAAACTGCTAAGTTCACGATGGAGTCCATTTATAAACAGAAAAGCTAATGCCATTTCAGTCCCTGCAGGAAATTCTCCTTACTGTACTTTGAGCCCAGAATGTTTCACAGTTTCTAAGTGAGTTCTATAATCTAAAATTGGTTCATCCTTTCTTTCTTTACAATATTGTATGATAAACCAATCAATTTTTTTTGTAGAAAAAAATTAGGAATTGAATTTAAAAGGTTTTCAGCAAATTTTCTAGCTACGTTTGGTTCTTCTCATGAGGAGCTTTTGGAGGGGTTTTTAATATTCTCTCAGGTTTGTCCCATTCTGCTGCTCCCATTTATTTCTGAGATTCATCAGACCCCAATATCATGTGAACAAATTGTCAAAGGTCAGAAACTCCTGGATCATAAACTCCTAAGAAGATTCTAAATTCCTTGGTAAATTTTTGAGAATTTTTCCTTGGACCAGGGAAGTCCATCACAATGGCTATAAGCTTGGTTTTAGACCACAGAGTGAACATGGTTACAGCAGGCAGGACTAACTGACTAGAACATCTCACTTTGTAAGGGATATGTCTAATTTCATTTTTTTTTTTTTGCCATTATCTTCAGAGTGAAAGGGTAATTTAGCAAAAAGGTTAGTGGACTCAGTATCTAGGTGGAGATGGATAAACAAAAGGAAGAGTTGGGGTTAGTTGAGTCAGAGTACAGTCATCTTTTGTCATGTCCTTAGTCTGTTGCTTAAGATTTTCATTTGTGGTTTGCAAACAACCTTTTAAAAAGTCAATTTTTGATTAATTTAGTCTTTTAGAAGCTTCTGCATACCAATAAAAGAATATGTGCCACTGTTTTTTGAGGGTTTTGATCCCCCTATTTAATATGTCTTGAAGATAAAAAATTTTATCCAAATTAAAACTTCTCCATTGCAGCCATCTGAATTCTAAGTTTTCTTTAATGAGTTTAACCCATTTTTTTAAAAATGCACACACCTGGGCCTATAATTTGTACACATAAAATTAGCTGAAGTCCCAGAATGTGGATTCCCAGACTCTTTGAGTTGAAATGATCCCATTATTAAAAATAAGGTACCTGATCAGGGCAATCAGGCAGGAAAAAAAAATAAAGCGTGTTCAATTAGGAAAAGAGGAAGTCAAATTGTCCCTGTTTGCAGATGACATGACTGTATATTTAGAAAACCCCATCGTCTCAGCCCCAAATCTCCTTAAGCTGATAAGCAACCTCAGCAAATTCTCAGGATAAAAAATCAATGTGCAAAAATCACAAGTATTCTTATACACCAATAACAGACAGAGAGCTAAATCATGAGTGAACTCCCATTCAAAACTGCTTCAAAGAGAATAAAATACCTAGGAATCCAACTTACAAGGGGTGTGAAGGACCTCTTCAAGGAGAACTACAAACACTGCTCAATGAAATAAAAGAGGACACAAACAAATGGAAGAACATTCCATGCCCATGGATAGGAAGAATCAATATTGTGAAAATGGCCATACTGCCCAAGGTAATTTATAGATTCAATGCCATCCCCATCAAGCTACCAATGACTTTCTTCACAGAATTGGAAAAAACTGCTTTAAAGTTAATATGGAACCAAAAAAGAGCCTGCATTGCCAAGACAATCCTAAGCCAAAATAACAAAGCTGGAGGCATCAGGCTACCTGACTTCAAACTATACTATAAGGCTACAGTAACCAAAACAGCATTGTACTGGTACCAAAACAGTGATATAGACCAATGGGACAGAACAGAGCCCTCAGAAATAATACCACACATCTACAACCATCTGATCTTTGACAAACTTGATAAAAACAAGAAATGGGGAAAGTCTTCCCTATGTAATAAATGGTGTTGGGAAAACTGGCTAGCCATATTTAGAAAGCTGAAACTGGATCCCTTCCTTACACCTTATACAAAAATTAATTCAAGATGGATTAAAGACTTACATGTTAGGCCTAAAACCATAAAACCCCTAGAAGAAACCTAGGCAATACCATTCAGGACATAGGCATGGGCAAGTACTTCATGACTAAAACACCAAAAGCAATGGCAACAAAAGCCAAAATTGAGAAATGGAATCTAATTAAACTAAAGAGCTTCTGCACAGTAAAAGAAACTGTCATCAGAGTAAACAGGCAACCTACAGAATGGGAGAAAAGTTTTATAATCTACCCATCTCACAAAGGGCTAATATCCAGAATCTACAAAGAACTTAAACAAATTTACAAGAAAATATCAAACAACCCCATCAAAAAGTGGGCAAAGGATCTCATCAGACACTTCTCAAAAGAAGACATTTATACAGCCAACAGACACATGAAAAAATTCTCATCATCAGTGGTCATCAAAGAAATGCAAATCAAAACCACAATGAGATACCATCTCACACCAGTTAGAATGGCAAACATTAAAAAGTCAGGAAACAACAGGTGCTGGAGAGGATGTGGAGAAATAGGAACACTCTTACACTGTTGGTGGGAGTGTATACTAGTTCAACAATTGTGGAAGACAGTGTGGCAATTCCTCAAGGATCTAGAACTAAGAAATACCATTTGACCCAGCTATCCCATTACTGGGTATCTACCCAAAGGATTATAAATCATGCTCCTATAAAGACACATGCACATATATGTTTATTGCGGCACTATTCACCATAGCAAAGACTTGGAACCAACCCAAATGTCCATCAGTGATAGACTGGATTAAGAAAATGTGGCACATATACACCATGGAATACTATGCAGCCATAAAAAAGGATATGTTCATGTCTTTTGTAGGGACATGGATGAAGCTGGAAACCATAATTCTGAGCAAACTATCACAAGGATAGAAAACCAAACACCGCATGTTCTCACTCATAGGTGGGAATTGAACAATGAGACCACTTGGACACACGTTGGGGAACATCACACACTGGGGCCTATCATGGGATGGGGGTAAGGGGGAGGGATAGCATTAGGATATATACCTAATGTACATGACGAGTTGATGGGTGCAGCACACCAACATGGCACACGTATACATATGTAACAAACCTGCACATTGTGCACATGTACCCTAGAACTTAAAGTATAATAATAAAAAAAGGAAAAAAATAAAATAAGGTACCTGCACAAGATCTGACACCTCTATCTGAATCCAATCCAGTTAATTATCAAGTCCAATTTGATCCTGGATGCAGTCCAGTCTAAGTATTGCACAAATAAACTCAGAGAGCTCAGAACACATGTTAGTGAAGCTCCAAATCTGAGTGAAAACTCACCCACGACCTTCAGTTACAATCAGGAGAGCAGTGAGCACAACTGGTTCCACAGGCACCTCACATGCTCACCTGGTGTTCCTGGGGTTCACAGAGTTTTACTTCAAATCCCACTTCTGATACCAGATCTGCTAAAAAAAAAAAAAAAAAAAAAACTTCTGACAAATTAATTTTAACAGAGTTTAATTGAGCTAGAAAAAAAGAAAGATTCATAAATTGGGCACCTTCCAGAATCGCAGCAGATTCAGAGAGATTCCAGGGATACCTCATGGTCACAAGAAATTTATAGACAAAAAACAAAAAGGAAAGTGACGTACAGAAATCAGAAGTGAGGTACAGAAACAGCTGGATTGGTTACAGGTTGGTGTTCGCCTTATTTGGACACAGTTTAAGCACTCAGTGTTGTATGAATGGTAGAACTGTGGCTTCTGGGATTGGCCAGGACACAGCTTTTGTTACAGACAGATACTCCTAAGTTAGGTTTTTAATCTCAACTACCTATTAAGTTAGGTTATGATTTGTCCACAAGGACTCAAATATTTTTTAGTTTGCTTTAACATCACTTATAAGAGGGAGCTAATCTATGAATATGCAAAAACATACAGAGTGATACAATGGACTCTAGAATGTCAAAAGGGAGAATGTAGGAGGAGAGCCAGGATATAAAACTACACATTAGGTACAATGTACACTACTCCGGTGATGGGTACAGTAAAATCTCAGAATTCACCATTATATAATTTATCCACGTAAACATAAACCACCTGTACCCCAAGAGCTATTGAAATAATTAAATTTTTTAAATAATTAAAAATAATTAAAAATTTTCCAGACATCATGGATAATGAACAAGGATGGCATTGTTCATTGTGTAAAGGGAAAGATGTCTTTCCCTTTACACACTGTTGAGCTCTTGAAATAGGTGTTCAATAAAACATTCACTTTCTTTACTGATCTCAGGCTGCAGGCCTCATAGAGTACCACAACGTCTAACTTAAACAAGGTCTCATTCACTGATCTCAGGCTTCAGGCCTCGTAGAGTACCACAATGTCTAACTTAAACAAGGTCACATTCACTTAGATAAAACACGGCATATTTTGATCGTCAGTCAAACATTATGAGTAAATTGTATTAAAGAGTCTGACTTTATTTTTGATGTTTGATGATGACATCTTTCAGGTCTCAAGTGTCCCTGTTTCTCCTGTCCCACACATCTGGGCAAAACAGCAAGAAAGTCTGGGTGCTCACTTCCTTGGGCACCCAGGATGACATTCAACCATGAAAAGTCCTGATCGATTCCTGCTAAATAAATATTCACATTTTACCTTAATATGTGATCTTGCTTTTTTCCCTGAAGTTAATAATTGTCTTAATCTTTAATTGCTATATTTTCTATGTACCTACAGTAAGTTTACTCCCAAGCCTTTGAGTGTACCAAAATGAATTGCAATACTTTCAAGTATATGAGATGAGCTATGATCTACTTTCTTTTGAAAAATCCCTTTGAGGCCTTAATTCGCTGCTCCAATCTGAACTAATTTTTATCCAGGCTTGAACTGAAGCACAGCTGATGCCTAGGACTTTCCCACCTCCTCAGTCTAAAAATGCCTTTCTTTTTCTTTCTCTTTTCTCAATTCTAGGCAGCCTCCCTTAAGGTTAGAGACATTCCCAAAAGATGTTGCTTTTGCTTAGACATATAGTACACTGCAGACAATTGCAAATGTTTCTGCTTAATACATTTTATAAACTCTTTCCAATACTTTTAGTATATTTTATTATTTTTCATTTGAGTATATATTTATTTTAAAAGCAGCAGTAACAGCATAATAAATTGTCATTTAAAAATATGTACCAAGAAGCACATACTCTTTAATATGTTTTCTGTACATGTAATTTAAGTATAACATTATTATTATTTGGTACTAGAGTCAAAGATGCTATTTAGGTTCTTGAGCTTTGGCACATTTAGTAACATCAAAATGATTTTCTAGTCAGGCAAGGAAAAGAACTTCAAAACTAGTTTATTGTCCAATACTTCATAAGTAGCTCCTTTGCAGTAAGATCCATCTCCTTACATGAGAAATCATTAATAGGGAGAACTTAAACTTCCAGGTCTCATTCTTGATTATCACAGCAGAGCAGCAGATCATCAGGCATACCATAAGAGCTGCCATCAGCAGTAACACCCATGGACACAAACTCACCCTCTGGTGTTTCAAACCAGATATCTCTGACAGTCAGAGATAGCTTTTATGGCAGATATTGCACTGGATAGTATTCAAGCTTTGATGAAAGCAGCATCATGCTGCTGCAGTCATGATGAATTCTCCCTGAGCCAACTGTCATCTTTCAGAGCTTCATAAACACTAATTTCCTTTTCTTGCAATTTCTCCTTGGCATGGTTGACATCTGGATACTGAATTGAGGAATGGTCTCCCTAGATAATGACATTCTTTGCATTTTCAGCAGTCACACCAAGTTTAAGAGTGATTTGTGCTTCATCTCAGTTGTGATTCAAATGAATTAAGCAACTGAAGTTCTTGGGGATAGATGGAGCTGACATGAAGAAAATCAGGCAGATGGTATTAACTGGATTTTCCATTATGATAAATTTAACTTCTTGGTATATTTCTTCAAGGTTGCATCTTGGCATTTGAAGATTTTCACATGTGCTTTAAGTAAATCTTTCTTCTCCATGCCTTCCCTTCTTGGCATGGAGCCCACAAGAATGGCCACATCCAAGTCTTTGAAGACCAGCTCTTCTTTGTCTGCTGCAATGACATATTTCCAAAGGGAAAGGGCACAGTCTTGCAGTTTCATTAGGACACCATCCAGGACACTCATCATAGGGGTGATATGCATCAGCAAAAGAATTGTAGGCTGGTTTTTACCAGAGACACATCCATTTCCAATACTGTACAGCACTGAATATGCAATTCGACCAGTTGCTTCTTTCACAAGGACTCTGATTGGTTCAGACATAATTGGGAACATTGGGGACAAATTCAGCACCTGCAAAATGAGCCTCATTGATAGAGGGGACCTGACTCCCTCTGTGGGAGGCAGTCAGGTCACTTCTACCATGGAACCGACTCCTATTTTTATGGCATCACTGCCTGATGATTCTATTAAATAGACTTTGTCAATGTACAGAAAAATGTAATACAATGTGACTTTTTTCAATGATGTTTATAACACATTTTCTGACAACATTCTCATTCCCTACCTGCCAAGTCTAAAAAAGGTATCTTCAACATATGACTAAACTAAAAAGAACAATAAAGTAAGAGATTTAAATTTGCTGAAAAGCATTTCAGAATTAGGTTGCCTTTTCATGGACATATTATACAAAGCATCAAGTAGTCACAATTGAATGGAAATTCTGAAGATGCTCAAACACCACAGAGAAGTGCCTACATTATATAGACCAGGCATATTTTTATTTTGTTCTATTAAATTATTATTATTTTAACATAATGTACGTTATTTAGAAAATCAAACAGCCCTACAGAATTATAATGAGAAAGAGCAGCCCCATGCCTCACTACTGCCTACCCTGAAATGTCACTACCTAGATGTTTCTATTGTCCACTATTTAAGCATATTTTGTTATGTGCCTAAGCCATATCTTTATACCCCTCTTCATTATTCACTTTTAGGGCAAGAGGAGATAGTAACAGGTAGTGGATAAATTCTTACTTGTTTATTCCCTTTGTGTCTCTGTTTCCTTTTCTGTAACATGGAGACAAGAATACAGCACAGGTTTATTTGAGGATTCAGTGATTTGACACTTCTATAACACCTAGAAAAACACAATGTCACAATATAAGTGTTTAATAAATGTCAAGTTTTGTCAATTATTTACAGTTAATTAACAAAATGTTTGAATTCTTATGGTACCTCTTTTCCCACTGTCTTAGTCCATTTGTGCTACAGTAAGAAAATACCTAATACTGGATAATTTATAAAGAATATAAATGTATTTCTTATCATTCTTGATGCCAGAAAGTCCAAGATTAAAGTGCCAGCAGTTTTGGTGTCTGGTGAGGCAGCTCTCTGCTTCCAAGATAATGCCTTGTTGCTGCATCATCCAGAGAGCATTCAAACTATGTCTTCATGTGGTCAAGAGCAAAAGTGCTAAGCAAATCTTTGAAGCCTCTTTTTTAAGTGCATTAATCCCATTAACAAGGGCAGAGCCCATGTGACTTAATCATTTTCCAAAAGACTCCACACTGTAATACCATCACTTTGGAGTTTAAATTCCAACATTCGAATTTTGGAGGGACAGGTGCATTCAAACCATAGTACTCATTGACACATACGCAAACATACTTATTCTCTCATATTTCCAATATAAATATATATTTGTTTGTATTTAAATTTGTACCAATTGTTTACAATATTTTTGCTATGATGAGACATGGAGAAAATTGGAGCTGGGTGTGGCGGCACATGCCTGTAATCCTAGCAGTTTGGGATGCTGAGGCAGGTGGATCACTTGAGGTCAGGAGTTCAAGACCAGCCTGGACAAAATGACAAAATGCTGTTTCTACAGAAAAATACAAAAGTTAGCCAGGCATGATGGCACATGTCTGTAATCCCAGCTACTTGGAAGACTGAGGCATGAAAATTACTTGAACCTGGGAGGCGGAGGTTGCAGTGAGCCGAGATTGTGTCACTGCACTCTAGCCTGGGTGACAGAGCTAGATTCTGTCTCAAGAAAGAAAGAAAGAAAAAGACAAAGAAAAGAAAGAAAAAACTTTGGACAACATTTATTTTTTGCCAATATTTGGTTTTTCCTAATAAAATGCATTTTTAGTTCATTTGCTCAGTGTTCTCTGAGCACTTTCCTCAGTAATGCCAATTGTCTGCCACACATCATATAAACATCATCTCAAAACAATCAAATACATCTCCTGTCTCTTCATGTTCATTTCTTCCCCACAATAAATATCCCTTGAAGAAACTTCTGTCTTCCTACTCCAATTTGTAAGGGTTTCAGTAGGTCTACTGTTGTCCTAGAATTTCTTTTTTCACACATCTTGGGCTTCCTTTCATCTCTAATAATGGTCCCCAGTTCCCTGTTGTTCTTTTCATTGGCATGTTCACAATTATTAAAATGACACTGAATGTCTCAGTTCATTCCTTCTGCTATAAAAAATACCACAAACTGGGTAATTTATAAATAATAGAAATTTATTTCTCACATTTCTGGATCTGGAAAGTCTAAGATCAAGAGACTGGCAGATTTAATGTCTCTTAAGGGCTTCCTCTGCAACTAATATTGTGCCTTCATGCTGCATCTTCCAGAGGGGATAAATAATGTGTCCTCTCATGGTGGAAGGGCAATCAAGGAATAGGCCACTCCCTTCAACCTCTTTTATAAAAGCACTATTCTCACTCATAAGGATGGATACCTTATTACTTAATCACTTCTCCTAAAGCCCCACCTCTTAATATTAGGTTCCAATATATGAATTTTGTAGGGAAATATCCATTTAAATCATAGCATTCTACCCTGTACCCCTAAATGTGTGTCTTTTTTATATTCAAAATACAGTCACTACATCCCAATAGTCTTCCAAAATTGTCACTTTCTCTAGCACTAACTCAAAAGTCTAAAGTCCACAGCCTCATATAAATACTATCTAAATCAGTTATGAAACTCAAAGGTGTATTTTATCCTGAGACAAATTGTCCTTCAGTTGTGAGCCTGTGAAATAAAACAAGTTGTGGGCTTCCCAGAATACAATGATGGGACAGAGAGGATAAACATTCTCATTCCAAAAGGAAGAAATAGGAACGTAGAAAGGGATAACAGGTCCCAAGTAAGTCCAAAACCCAACAGTGCAAAAAACATTAAATCTTAGGTTGAAGAAAAATCTTAGACTCCATGTCCTGCCTTCTGGACGTATTTGGGTGGGTATTGGTTGGGCTTCCAAGCCTCTAGGAAGCCCCACCATAATGGCTTTGCTGGGAGCAGCCAAACCAACAGCTCCTGGGGGTTAGAGTTGGGTGCCTACCACTCTCCCATGCTGTGGTGACTCCCATGCACATCGGTGGCTCTACAGCTCTGGAGTTTCAGAAGCAACCCTGCCCCCATAACTCCACTAAGCATTGCCCCATTAGGGATTTTCTGCAGTGGTCCTGATTCTCTGGCTCTGCTGGACATTGCCCTAGAAGAGACCCTCTGTGATGGTATCACTCCCATAGTTCCACTAGTAATTGCCCTAGTAGGGAATATCTGTGGAAGTCCGGACCTTGTGGAAGTTCTCTGCCTGAACCCTGAGGATCTCTGATGCATTCTTTGAAATCTAGATGGAGGTTGCCTAGATTCATCCACAGTTCTTGTACTTCATGTGCCTGCAGGATTTCTGTGTTGCAGTTTTAATTTAGATATCCTTATTGTCTGAGAAACCTTAGTTTTTGCTCTTAAGACGTTCAACTTACTGAATGAAACCCACTCATATTATGGAGGGTAATCCGCTTTATTGAAAGCCAATTGATTTTTAATGTTAATTACATCTACAAAATACCTCCACAGCAACATCTAGAATACTGTTTGTCCTAGAAAAATGGGCTCCATATTCAAGCCAATTTAACACATAAAATTACCTATCATTGTCTATGGCCACACTACCCTGAACGTGTCTGACCTTGTCTGATCTCGGAAAACTACCCATCACACTTTCATACTAGCACTATGCAACCTTATACTAGTCCTGTACTAGCCTAATACTGGTGTTTTCATGGGTGAAAAAGTAGCTAATCTGATGAATTCTGATCACTGTTTTATGTATCAAACACCTAACAGGCTCTGAAATGTCTGTCCTTTAGCCTCTTGGGCCTGCCTATCTCCAGGCAGAGACAGAAAAACAAAAAACAAACAAACAAAAAAAAACTACTTCCAGTCTCTGCTATTTTTGTTCCATACTTTTGAGTAGAAACTACATGGGTAAGTCCTATCGGCTGCAAACATCAGGACAGGCTCTATTATTTTCAGGGAGCAAGAATTGCTAAGCTCCATGTTGTTGTGGTGTCTAAATTACTTGCTCATTAAAGCCTTACATTATATAAAACTGATAATATTTTATCCCCATCTGAGTTAGACCAACAAACAGATTGTGTTTTGAAATGTGACGACATGAGATTTGGGAGGGACCATGGGTGGAATGGTATTGTTTGGCTGTGTCCACACACAAATTTATCTTGAATTGTAGTTACCATAATCCCCACATGTCGTGGAGGGACCTGGTTGGAGGTAACTAAATCATGGGGGCAGTTACCCTCATGCTGTTCTTGTGACAGTGAGTTAGTTCTCACAGGTCCTGATGTTTTTTTAAGGGGATTTCCATCCTACTCCCCAACTTTGCTCAGCACTTCTCTCTCCTGCTGCCATGTGAAGAAGAATGTGTTTGCTTCCCCTTCTGCCATGATTGTAAGTTTCCTGAGGCCTCCCAAGCCATGCTGAACTGGGAGTCAATCAAACCTCTTTCCTTTATATATTACCCAGTCTTGGGTATGTCTTTATTAGCAGTGTGAGAATGGACTAATACTGATATCTATTCAGCGATTCTTTTAGTCTCTCTCTCTATCTCACCCCCACAGACACACTCAGAGAGAACATGCACAAAGACACACACATAATGATATTCACTAGATGAAATAATTAGAGCAAACAAGGAGTGCAATATATCTGTAGACATACAATTCATTATCTATTTTAAAACATAATTTTATATGTTTTTTAAAACTTTGACTATTGCTAAAAAGTAAATATTTTTTTTCAGGCCACCAATTAATATATAGGAGTTCTAGGAAGAAAGAGAAAATGTTCCAACTTAAGTCCAACACATTAACCACATAAAAGTCCAACATTAACTGTAAAAATGAGCAGTCCTGTATTTTAGTACATGTAGGATGCCACTATAATAATTAAACAATTTTTTATTTTACATGCCAAAACAGTGGCACCTAGACTTTGCTTGAAATAACCATAGTTGTGTGATTGTGGACAAGATGGGAACATGGCTCAGAAAAATCTGGATGTCTTTTTTACATATAATCATAAAATAACATATAATTGGTATTTTATATGTGTCTTTTTTTCAGCTTTATTAATGTATGATTGACATAAAGTTGTACACATTTAGGGAGTACAATATGATGTTTTGATAGATGTACACATTGCACATATTTAGGGAGAACAATGTACAATTTAGGGAGTACAATATATTGTACATATTTAGGGAGTACAATATGATGTTTTGATAGTTGTATACATTGTGTTCTGAAATGATTACCACAGTCATGCTAATTAACATAATCCTAATAATGCTAATTAACATAATCCATCACCTCACATGTAAGTGTGTATGTCTGTGTGAGTCTGTGTGTGTGTGTGTGTGTGTGTGTGTGTGGTAAAAACACCTGAAATCTACTCTCTTAGGAAATTTTGGGTATAAAATACAGTATTGTTAACTATAGTCACTATGCTGTATATTAGGTCTCCAGGGCTTATTCATCTCATAACAGAAGAACCACTATCTTTTATATTTATTTATTTTTAATTTTTTTTTTTTGAGATGGAGTCTCACTCTGTCACCTAGGCTGGAGTGCAGTGGTATAATCTCAGCTCACTGCAACCTCCACCTCCTGGGTTCAAGCGATTCTCCTGCCTGAGCCTCCAGTGTAGCTGGTACTACAGGCGTGCACCACCACACCTGGCTAATTTTTGTATTTTTACTAAAGACGGGGTTTCACCACATTGATCAGTCTGGTCTTGAACTCCTGACCTCAGGTGATCCACCTGCCTCAGCCTCCCAAGGTGCTGGGATTACAAGATTGAGCCACCGCTCCCAGTCTATTTTTTTCCCAGCTGCCAGCCACCAGGTAAAAATTAGACAAATATGTCAATCTGAGCTAGATTCTTTAGATTTCTCATATAAATGAGATCATAAAATATTTGTCTTTCTGTGTCTGGCTTCTTTCAGTTATCCTAATGTCCCCAAGATTCATGCATGTTGTTGCAAATGGCAGGATTTTCTTCTTTAATGTCTGAATAATACTTTATTATATATATAACTATATATGTATATGCATCATGGACACTTACATTGTTTTTATATTGTGATCATTGTGCATAATGTTGTAACAAACAAGAGAGTACAAATATCTCCTAAGGTATTGATTTTATTTACTTTGAATAGATACCCAGAAGTATGTTGCTAGATCTTATGGTAGGTCTATTTTTAATATTTTTAATGTTTTGAGTAATCACCATGCTGTTTCCCATAATGGTTGGACCAATTTACATTCCCCCAAACACTGTACAAGAGTTCTCCTTCTTTTACCATTTTGACAACACTCTTCCCTTTTTGAGAATAGCTATTCTAACAGGTGTGAGGTGATATCCCATTGTGGTTTTTGATTTTCGTATGCCTGATGATTAGTAATGTTGAGCACCTTTTCATATACCTGTCAGCCATTTGTATGCCTTTGGAAAAGCTTATTTATGTCCTTTGCACATTTTAAAATCAAGTTATTTTAATTTTGTTCTTTTTTGCCAGTATGAGCTACATATATATATTACATATTACCCATTATCAGATATGTGCTTTACAAGTATTTTTCTCTAGTCTTTAAATTGTCTTTTCATTATGTTGACAGTTTCTTTTGCTGTGCAGACACGTACTAGTTTGAAGTGGCCCCATTTTCTTATTTGGTTCTTTTTGCCTCTGCTTTCAGTGTTAAATTTGTAAAAATCATTGCTGAGACCAATGACAAAGAGGTTTTCTTGTAAGTTATTTTTAACAAGTTTTATTGTTTCAAGTCTTTTTTTTAAGTTAACACATTTAAATTGATTTTTGTATATAGTGTATAAAAACTGTTCAATTTCATTCATTTGCACGTGGTGTCATGTTTCTCACCACCATTTATTAAAGAAAATATCATTTACCCATTATATATTATCGGTGGTCTTGTCAAAGAATAGCTTATCACATGTTTCCACACTGTATTCTGATCTATTGGCCTATGTGCCTGTTTTTATACCAGTACTATACTGTCGTGATTTCTATAGCTTTGTAATATAGTTTGAAATTGAAAAGTGTGATGCATCCAGATTCATTCTTTTTGAGCATAATTGGTTTACCTATATTTAAAAATCTTTTATTATAATTTGGGTATTACATAGCATATATATTTATGGGTACATGGGATGATTTTATACAAGCATGCAATACACAATTATCACATCATGTAAAATGAGGCACCTATCCTTCCAAGCATTTATCCTTTGTGTTAAAAACAATCCAATTATACTCTTTTAGTAATTTTTAAATGTGCAATACAATTATTATTAACTGTAGTCACCCTATTGAGTTGCTATCAAATATTAGGTCTTGTACATTCTTTCTATTTTTTTTCTACCCATTAAGCATCCCCAACTCACCCTACCCTCATATTACCCTTCCCAGCATCTGGTAACTATTCTTCTATACTCGATCTCAATGAGTTTAGTTGCTTTGATTGTTAGATCCCAGACATAAACGAAAGCATGTAATGTTAATCCTTCTGTGCCTGGCTTATTTCACTTAGCATAATGACCCAGTTCCCTCCATGTTGTTGCAAATTACAGAATCTCATTTTTTATGGCTAAATAGTACTTCATTGTGTATATGTACCACATTTTCTTTGGCCATTTATCTGTTGATGGACACTTAGGTTGTTCCAAATCTTTGCTACTGTAAACAGTGTTGCCAAAAACATAGGAGTGGAGATATCTCTTCAATATACCGATTTTCATTGTTTTGGATATATACCCAGAGGTGGGATTGCTAGATCACAGGGTACCTCAATTTTTAGTGTTTTGAGGAAACCTCCAAACTGTTCTTTATAGTGGTTGTACTAATATACATTCCCACTAACAGTGTATGAGGGTTTATCTCCACATCCTCACCAACATTTATTATTGCATGACTTTTGGATAAAAGCCATTTGAAATGTTTGATTTGCATTTATCTGATTATAAATGATGTTGAGCATTTTTCACATGCCTATTTGCCATTCGTATGTCTTTTTTGAGAAATGTCTCTTCAAATATTTTTTTCATTTTTAATCTCATTATTAATTTTTTAAATACAGTGTTTGATCTCCTCATAGATTCTGATTATTAATCCCTTGACAGATGGGCAATTTTCAAATATATTATTTCATTCTGTGGGTGGTCTCTTCACTTTATTGATTGTTTTCTTTTGCTGCACGGTAGCTTTTTAACTTGATATGATCACATTTGTCTATTTTTGTTTTGATTTCCTGTGCTTGTGGGGTATTGCTCGAAAAACTTTTGCCCAAACCAATGTCCTGTAGATTTTCCCCAATGTTTTATTGAAAGAATTTCATAGTCTAAAATGTTTTAGATGTATGTCTTTAATCCATTTTGGTGTGATTTCTGTATATGGCAAGAGATAAGATTCCAGCTTTATTATTCTGGATATATCGTTTTCCTAGCACCATTTATTGAAAAGACTGTCTTTTCTCTAGTGTATGTTATTGGCAACTTAGCTGAATATTAGTGCACTGTAGGTGTGTGGATTTGTTTCTGGGTTCTCTATTCTCTTCCACTGGTCTGCGTGTCTGTTTTTACGCCAGTACCATGCTATTTTGATTTCTATTCCTCTGAAGTGTACTTTGAAGTCAGGTCATGTGATTCCTCTAGTTTTCTTTCTTTTGATTAGGATAGTTTTGGCTATTCTGCGTCTTGTATGGCTCCATATAAATTTTGGAATATTTAAAATATTTTTGTGAAGACTGTCATTGATATTTTGATAGTTATTGCATTCAATCTGTATGTTGCTTTGGGCATTATAAGCATTTTAACAATATCGATACTTCCAATCCATAAACAAAATATTTTTCCATTTTTTCACTTCAATTTCTTTTCTCAGTGTTTTATAATTTTTATTGTGCATATCTTCCACTTATTTGGTTGAGTGAATTCCTAAGTATCTAACATTAGTTGTGGCTACTGCAAATGGGATTGCCTTTTTACTTTTTTCACGTTGTTCACTGTTGGCATATAAAAATGTTACTAATTTTTGTGTATTGACTTTGTATCCTGCAACTTTTTGGAATTTGGTTAATAGCTCTAATACTTTTTTTTTTTGTGGAGTCCTTAGATTTTTCCAAATACAATCACATATCATCTACAAAAAAAGGACAATTTGACTTCTTCCATTTCAATTTTGATGCCCTTTATTTTTCTTGTCTGATTGCTCTATCGAAGACTGCCAGTACTATGTTGAACAACACTGGTCAAGTGAGCATCCTCGTTGTGTTCCAGATCTTAGAGGAGAGGCTTTCAGTTTTTCCCCATTCAGTATGATACCAGTGTGAGTCTATCATATATGGCTTTTATCATGTTGAAATATGTTCCTTCTGTACCCAGATTTTTGAGGGTTTTTATCAGGAAGAGATGTTGGATTTTATCAAATGCTTTTTCAGCATTAGTTGAAATGATTATATGGTTTTCATCCTTCACTTTGTTGATGTGATATACCACATTGATTTATTTGTGTATATTGAACCTTCCTTGCATTCCAGGAATAAATCCCACTTGGTCATGATAAGTGATCTTTTTAATGTATTGTTGAATTTAGTTAACTAATATTTTGTTGAGGATTTTTGCATTAATATTCATCAGAAATATTGGCCTTTAGTTTTCTTTTTTGGGATATTTCTTTTTCTGGTTTTGGTGTCAGGGAAATACCAGCCTTGTAGAATGAGTTTTGAAGTATTTTCTTCTCCTCTATTTTTGGAGATACTTTGGGTAGGATCAATATTAGTTCTTTTTTAAATGTTTGGTTGAAATCAACAGTGAAGCCATTGGGTTGCAGGCTTTTCTTTAGAGAGACTTTTTATAATGGTTTTGATCTCATTATTTGTTATTGGTCTGTTCAGGTTTTGGGTTTCTTCCTGGTTCAATTTTGGTAGTTTGTATGTATTAGGAATGTGTTCATTTCTTCTAGATTTTCCAATTTATTTACATATTGTTTCTCTTAGTCGCTACTAATAATCCTTTGAATTTCTGCACTACCAGTTGTAATGTCTCCTTTTTAATCTCCAATTTTATTTATTTGGATCTTCTTTTTTCTTAGTCTGCTTAAAGGTGTGTCAATTTTTTTAATATCTCAATAGATATAAAAAATCTATTTATGACATTAATATTTATTTGCAATAAAAAATTCTTAGTTAACTATGAATGTGCAGTAGACAGAATTCCAAGATGGCACCCAAGCTCCCTGGCCCCTGTTTTATTCTTTTTTTTTTTTAACTTTTCTAAAAACAATTTTTTGTTTTATTGATTTTTTATAGTGTTTTATTCATTTCAATTTCATTTATCGCTGCTTTGACTTCTATTATATCTTTTCTTCTACTAATTTTGTGTTTCATTTGCTATTGCTTTTCTAGTTCTTTAAGATGTATCATCAGGTTGTTTATTTGAAGAATTCTTTTTCTTTTCCAACATAGGCACTTTGGGCTGTAGACTTCCCTCTTAGTACTGCTTTTGTAGTATTCCCTAGGTTTTGGTATGTTGTGTTTCCATTATCATTTGTTTCCCACAATTTTACAATTTACTTCTTAATTGTTTTTATTGATTCACTGGTCATTTGAGACTATATTGTTTAATTTCCATGCATTTGCATAGTTTCCAAATTTCCTCTCCTCTTGTTATTGATTTCTAGTTTTACTATATTGTGATCAGATAAGATATTCATAACACTTCTTTTTTGAATGTTTAAGGATTTGTTTTATGACCTAGCATACGATCTATCCTCAAAAATAATCCATGTGTTGAGGAACAGTATGTGTATTCTGCAGCCATTGAATACAATGTTCTGTAAATATCTGTTAGATCCATTTGTCCTCTAGTCCAGATTGAATATGATTATTTTTTGTTAATTTTCTGCCTGAAAGATCTATCTAATGCTGAAAGTGGAGTGTTGAAGTCTCAGCTATTATTGTGTTAGGGCCTATGTGTCTCCTTAGCTCAAATAACAGTTCCTTTACACATCTGGGTGTTCCAGTGTTGGGTGCATATATATTTAAATTTGTTATATTCTCTTGCTTAATCAACCCCTTTATCATTATATAGTGACCTTCTTTGTGTGTTTTTATGGTCTTTGTCTTGAAATCTATTTTTTTCTGATATAAGTAAAGCTACTTCTTCTCTTTTATTTTGGTTTTCATTGGAATGTAATATCTTTTCCCTGTCCTTTATTTTCAGTTCATGTGTGTCTTTATAGGTGAAGTGTGTTTCTTGTAGGCAACAGATCAATGCATCTTGATTTTTGTTTATCCATTGAGTCACTTTATGTCATTTGATTGGAGAGTTTAGTGCTTTTACATTTAATGTTATTTTTGATAAGTAAGGATTTACTCCTACTATTTTGTTATTTATTTTCTGGTTGTTTTGTCATCTTCTCTTTCTTCTTTTCTTACTTCCTGTTTTCCTTTTTAGGGGAAGTTATTTTCTCTGGTTATATGGCTTTGTTTCTTGCTTTTTATTATTTTGTATCCATTTTATGTTTTTTGATTTGAGGTTACCATGAGAATTGCAAATACTATCTTATAATCCATTATTTTAAGCTGATAACAATTTAACATTGTTTGCATAAACAAACAAGCTAAAAAATGAATAAAGACTCTGTGCCTTAAATTTGTTTCCTATTTTTAACTTATTATTATTACTACTTATATCTTATATTCCCATCTTTGTTTTAAATGCTTGTTGTAGTTATTTTTTTTAAGCAGTTCATCATTTAGTCTTTCTACTTAGAATAAAAGTAGTTTACACAACAGTTAGAGTGCTATAATATTCTGTGTATTTCTGTGCACTTACTATTTCCAGTGAGTTTTGGAACTTCAGATTATTGCTTATTGTTCATTAACATCTTTTCTTTCTTATTGATGTAACTCCTTTAGCATTTCTTACAGGCGATGACTGGTGTTGATGAAATACCACAGCTTTTGTTTTTCTGAGAAAGTCTTTATCTTTCCTTCATGTGTGAAAGATATTTTTGTCAGATATACTACTATAGGGTAAAAGGATTTTTTCTTTCAGAAGTTTAAATATGTCATGTCATTCTCTCCTGACCTGTAAGGTTTCATCTGAAAAGTGTGTTGCCAGACATATTGGTGATCCATTTTATGTTGTCTCTTTTCTCTTGTTGCTTTCAGGAGCCTTCCTTTTCTTTGACCTTTGGGAGTTTGATTATTAAATGCCTTCAATTAGTCTTCTTTGGGTTAAATCTGCTGGGTATTGTATGTTCTTCTTGTACTTGGATATTGATATCTTTCTCTAGGTTTAGAATGTCACCTGTTACTATTCATTTGAATAAACTATCTACCTTAATATCTTTCTCTACCTCCTCTTTAAGGCCAATAACTCTTAGTTTTGCCCTTTTGAGTTATTTTCTTAATCCAGTAGGCACGATTCATTGTTTTTTATTCTTTTTTCTTTTGTCTTCTCTTACTGTGTATTTTCAAATAAGCTGTCTTCAAGTTCATTAATTCTTTCTTCTGCTTGATTCTGCTATTAAAAGACTCTAATGTATTATTCAGTATGCAAATTGGATTTTTTCAGCTCCGGAATTTCTGCTTGATTCTTTTTAATTATTTCAATCTCTTTGTTAAATTTATCTGATAAAATTCTGAATTCTTCTCTGTGTTATCTCGAAATTCATTGAGTTTCCTCAACATAACTCTTTTGAATTCTCTGAAAGGTCACATATTTCTGTTTTTTCAGGATTTGTCTCTGGTGACTAATTTAGTTCATTTGGTGAGTTTCTGATTTCCTGGATGATGTTGATACTTGTAGATATTTTCTAGTTCCTGGTCATTAAATAGTTGTTATCCATTTATTGCAGTTTTTGCAGTCTGGGTTTGTTTGTGCCTATCCTTCCTGAGAAGACTTTCCAGATATTTTAAAGGACTTAAGTGTTGTAATCTAAGCTGTGTCTGCTTTAGGGGGCACTTCAACCCCAGTAATGTTGTGGTTCTTGCAGACTCATAGCGGTACCACTCTGATGGTCTTGGACAAGTCCAGATGAATTATCTATATTACCAGGCAGAGACTCTTGCCCTCTTCTCTTACTTTCTCCCAAATGGATAGAGTCTCTCTCTTTCTTCTGAGCCACCTGGAGCTGGGAGTGGTTTGACAGACACAGGCACCCTTGTGGTCACCATCAGTATGACAGCTGGGTCTGACCTGAAACCTACACATCACAGGGTCTCACCCGTGGCCTGCTGAAACACTTTCTGGCTACTGCTTATGTTAGCTCAAAGCCCTGAGGCTCTCCAATCAGCAGGTGGCAAAATCAACCAGGCCTGTGTCTTTCTGTTTAGTATGACAGGTTTTCTCTTACCCTGGGCATGTCCTGAGGTGCCATTCAGATTTCAGGGATTAGAGTCAACAAACTTAGAAGGTTACCTGATGTTGTTACCTGATGTTCTATTGCACTGTGGCTGAACTGGCACTCAAACCACAAGATGCAGTTCTTTCCAGTCTTCCCTCCCCTTTCCAAATGCAGAGGAACCTCACCCCATGACCACTTCCACCACAGGCCCATGAGTCTACCACTGACATTCCCTGAAGACTCAAAGTCTCTTCAGTCAGCTTGTAGTGAATGCTGCCCTGCCTTGGACCCACCCTTCAGGACAATGGGCTCCCCTGTGGCCCAGGACAGGTCCAGAAATACTATCCAAGAGCCAAGTTCTAGAATTGAAGAACCAAAGAGACCACTTGGTGCTCTATTCCCCTGTAGACAAGTTGGTACCTAAGGTACAAGACAAAGTCCCCTTGCTTTTTCCTCTACTTCTCTCAGGTGAGTGGAGTTTTGCTCCATAGCCACTATTGTTTAAAGTGTGTTGAGTTTCACCTAAAGCCTGCAAGTTTATGGGTCTCACTCAAGGTCATCAATGAGGTACCTGGGCATTGCTACTAACTATTCAGGGACCAAGAGTTCTTCAGTTAGAAGTTAATAAATCCTGCCAGGACTGGATCTTTCTCTTCAAGGCAACACGTTCCCTTCTGGTCAAAAGTGTGACTAGAAATGTTAAACCAGGATCTAGGGCTTGGAAAACTTCCTCATGTCTCTGACCAGTGCCATATCCTACTGTTACTGAGTTGATATTCAACTGTTACTGAGTTGATATTCAACTGTTACTGAGTTGGTATCCAAGATGAAAGACGAAGTCATCCCCACTCTTCCCTCTCCTCTCTTACATGGCGAGATGGGGTCTTTTTGTAGCCTTAAGCTGTGCACGCTGAAGTTAGGTGAGGAGTGATGCCAGCACTCCCTTAGCTGCCATGTGTCCACTCCAGTCCACTGTCTCAGGTCCCAGTTCAACACTAGGGCTCACCTAGGATTTTCAGTCCTTGTGGCCTTGGCTTACTTTCAAGTTTATTTGTGGCCCCAGTGCATTTTAGCCTGTGGTGGTAAGACTTGCAGAAACTTAAGTTCAAATTTCTGGTATCATCAATTCCTCTCTGGTTAGGGACAGTTTAAATGCTCCCTCCATGGGCAGGCATGAGCTAATTTTGGTCCAGTTTTGTTTTCTGTTATAGTAGGGCAGAAATGAGTTCAATGTCTCACAAATGCTGTGATCTCTTCTCTGCACACAGAAATGCTCTATGCACCCCCCACTGATGCTGGGGGATGGGAGAAATGTGGCGTTGGCCATTCAACACCATTTTTTTCTACCTCGTTAGCGTTTCTTTCAGTGATGTGAAGTGAAAACCAGGTACTGTGAGTGCTCACCTGAGTTTTGGTTCTTATAAAAGTACTTTTTGTGTAGCTAGTGGTTTAATTGGTGTCCTTGAGAGGGGAAAGTTAGTGGAGTCTTCTATTATACCATCTTGCACCACTCTGCAGCAGGCTTTCTTAGTTATTTGTGGTTTCATATGCATTCTAAGATTTTTTTTCTACTGTGACAAATGGCATTGAAATTTTGAAAGGTGTTGCATTAAATCTGGAGATGGCTTTGGCTAGTTTGGACATTTAACACAATATTAATTCTTCTAATACATGAACACAGGTAAATTTCTATTTATTTGTATCTACTACAATTTTTTCAACCAATGTTTTATAACTTGCAGTGTGTGGATCTTTCACCTCCTTGGTTAACTTTAGGTTAAGCATTTAGGTTCTGTTA
Organism: Homo sapiens; assembly: GCF_000001405.40. Taxonomy (NCBI): domain Eukaryota; kingdom Metazoa; phylum Chordata; class Mammalia; order Primates; family Hominidae; genus Homo; species Homo sapiens. Next base: position 57,751,084 of record NC_000023.11, on the reverse strand, counting down.
TGCTGTTCTAAATTAGATCATTTTAAGGAAACATGCTATCATTTGTCTTTTGATTATTTTTTATTAGTATAAATTTAAGGTATACAAGTGCAGTTTGTTGCATGGATATATTGTATAGTGGTGAAGTATTTTAGTGTAACAATCACTTGAATAATATACATTGTATCCATTAAGTTATTTATCTCTTACTCTCTCTCACCCTTCTACTCCTACAATATCTATTATTACACACTTTGTTTCCATGTGTATACATTATTTAGCTGTCATTTATAAGTGAAAACGTGGAATTTGACTTTCTTTGTCTGAATTCTTTCACCTAAGATAATGGCCTCCACTTCAATCCATGCTGCTGCAAAAGAAATGATTTAAATTTTTATGGCTGAATAATATTTCATTATATGTATATGTAATATTTTCTTTATCCATTCATTCATTGACACACTTAGGTTGATTCAGTATCTTTGCTATTGTGAATGTGCTGTAATAAACATACCAGTGCAGGTGTCTTTTTATATAATAGGTTTTTTGTTTTGTTTTGTTTTTGAGGGGTGTGGATACCCAGTAGTAGAACTGTTGACTCAAATAGTAATTCTAGGTTTAGATCTTTGAGAAATCTCTGTGCTGTTTTACATAAAGGCTGTACTAATTTACATTTGCAACAACATTAAATACTCATTCCTTGTTCTCTGCACCCTTGCCAACATCTGTTATTTATTGAATGTTAATAGCTACTCTGACTAAGGTGAGATGATATCTCATTGTTGTTTTAATTTGAATTTATCTAATAATTAGTGAAGTTAAGCATTTTTATACACTTTTAATTTTTGTATTATTATACTTTAAGTTCTTGGGTACATATAAACAATGTTCAGTTTTGTTACATAGGTATACATGTGTCATGTTGGTTTGCTGCACCCATCAACTTGTCGTTTACATTAGGTAATTCTCCTAATCCTATCCCTCCCTCAGGCCCCCATCCCCCAACAGGCCCTGGTGTGTGATGTTCCCCTCCCTGTGTCCCTGTGCTCTCATTGTTCAATTCCGACTTATGAGTGAGAACATGCGGTGTTTGGTTTTCTCTTCTTGTGTTACGTTGCTGAGAATGATGGTTTCCAGTTTCACCCATGTCCCTACAAAGGACATGAACTCATCCTTTTTTATGGCTGTGTAGTATTCCATGGTGTATATGTGCCACATTTTCTTAAGTCTATCATTGATGGACATTTGGGTTGGGTCCAAGAGTTTGCTATTGTGAACAGTGCTACAATAAACATAGGTGTGCATGTGTCTATGTATCTTTATAGTAGAATAATTTATAATCCCTTGGTTATATACCCAGTAATGGGATTGCTGGGTGAAATGATATTTCTAGTTCTGGATCCTTGAGGAATCACCACATGTCTTCCACACTGGTTGAATTAATTTACATTCCCACCAACAGTGTGAAAGTGTTCCTATTTCACCACATGCTCTCCAGCATCTGTTGTTTCCTGACTTTTCAATGATCACCATTCTAACTGGCATAAGATGGTATCTCATTGTGGTTTCGATTTGCATTTCTCTAATGACCAGTGAAGATGAGCATTTTTTCATAAGTTTATTGGCTGCATAAATGTCTTCTTTTGAGAAGTGTCTGTTCATAACCTTCACCCATTTTTTGATTTTTTTTTTTTCTTGTGAATGTGTTTAATTTCATTGTAGATTCTGGATATTAGCCCTTTGTCAGATGGATAGATTGCAAAAATTTTCTCCCAATCTATAGGTTGCCTGTTCCTTCTGCTGATAGTTTCATTTGCTGTGCAGAAGCTCTTTAGTTTAATTAGATCCCATTTGTCTATTTTGGCTTTTGTTGCAATTGCTTTTGTTGTTTTAGTCATGAAGACTTTGCCCATGCCTATGTCCTGAATAGTATTGCCTAGGTTTTCTTCCAGAGTTTCTATGATTTTAGGTCTTACATTTAAGTCTTTAATCCATCTTTAGTTCATTTTTGTATAAGGTGTAAGGAAGGAACCCAGTTTCAGCTTTCTGCATATGGCTAGCCAGTTTTTCCAGAACAATTTATTAAATAGGGAATCCTTTCCCCATTGCTTGTTTTTGTCAGGTTTGTCTAAGATCAGATAGTTGTAAATGTGTGGTGTTATTTCTGAGACCTCTGTTCTGTTCCATTGGTCTTTGTATCTGTTTTTGTACCACTACCATGATATTTTGATTACTGCAGCCTTGTAGTGTAGTTTGAAGTCAGGTAGTGTGATGCCTCCAGCTTTGTTCTTCTTGCTTAGGATTGTCTTGACTATGCAGGCTCTTTTTTGGTTCCATATGAAATTTAAAGTAGTTATTTCCAGTTCTGACAAGAAAGTCAGTGGTAGCTTGATGGGGATAGTATTGATTCTACAAATTACTTTGGGCAGTATGGCCATTTTCATGATATTGATTCTTCCTATCCATGAGCATTCTTCCATTTGTTTGTGAACTCTTTTATTGATTTCAGCAGTGGTTTGTAGTTCTCCTTGAAGAGGTCCTTCACATCCCTTATAAGTTGCATTCCTAAGTATTTTATTCCCTTTGTAGCAATTGTGAATCGGAGTTCACTCATGATTAGGCTCTCTGTTATTAGTGTATAGGAATGCTTGTGATTTTTGCAGCTGATTTTGTATCCTGAGACTTCGCTGAAGTTCTTTATCAGCTTAAAAAGATTTTGGGCTGAGACAATGGGGTTTTCTATATATACTATCATGTCATCTGCATACAGAGACAATTTGACTTCCTCTTTTCATAATTGAATACCCTTTATTTATTTCTCTTGCCTGATTGCCCTGGCCAGAACTTCCAGTACTATGTTGAATACAGAGTGGTGAGTGAGGGCATCCTTGTCTCGTACCAGATTTCAAAGGGGATGCTTCCAGTTTTTGCCCATTCCGTATGATATTGGCTGTGGGTTTGTCATAAATAACTCATTATTTTGACATGCATTCCATCAATACCTAGTTTATTGAGTTTTTAGCACGAAGGGCTGTTAAATTTTGTTGAAGGCCTTTTCTGCATCTATTGAGGTAATCATATGGTTTTTGTCATGGGTTCTGTTTATGTGATGGATTATATTTATTGATTTGCATATGTTGAACCAGCCTTCCATCCCAGGGATGAAGCAAAATTGATCATGGTCGATAAGCTTTTTGATGTGCTGTTGGATTCGGTTTGCCACTATTTTATTGAGGATTTTCGCATCAATGTTCATCTGGGATATTGGCCTAAAAGTCTCTTTTTTGTTGTTGTTATGTCTCTGCCAGGTTTTTGTGTCAGGATGATGCAGGCCTTATAAAATGAATTAGGGAGGAATCCCTCTTTTTCTGTTGATCAAAATAGTTTCAGAAGGAATGGTCTCAGCTCCTCGTTGTACCTCTTGTAGAATTCAGCTGTGAATCCGTCTGGACCTGGACTATTTTTGGTTTGTAGGCTATTAATTATCACCTCAATTCCAGAACCTGTTACTGGTCAATTCAGAGATTCAACTTCTTCCTGGGTTAGTCTTGGGAGGGTGTATGTGTCCAGGAATTGATCCATTTCTTCTAGATTTTCTGGTTTGTGTAGAGGTGTTTATAGTATTCTCTGATGGTAGTTTGTATTTCTGTGGGATCAGTGGTGATATGCCCTCTATCATTGTTTATTGCTTCTATTTGATTCTTCTCTTTTCTTCTTTATTAGTCTTGGAGCAGTCTATCTATTTTGTTAATCTTTTCAAAAAACCAGCTCCTGGATTCATTGATTTTTTGAAGGGATTTTTGTGTCTCTATCTCCTTCAGTTCTGCTCTGATCTTAGTTATTTCTTGTCTTCTCCTCTTTTGAATTTGTTTGCTCTTGCTTCTCTAGTTCTTGTAATTGTGATGTTAGGGTGTCGATTTTACATCTTTTCTGCTTTCTCTTGTGAGCATTTAGTGCTATAAATTTCCCTCTGCACACTGCTTTAAATGTGTCCCAGAGATTCTGGTACGTTGTGTCTATGTTCTCATTGATTTCAAAGAACATCTTTATTTCTGCCTTCATTTTGTTATTTACCCAGTAGTCATTCAGGAGCAGGTTTTTCAGTTTCCATGTAGTTGTGCAGTTTTGAGTGAGTTTCTTAATCCTGAATTCTAATTTGTTTGTACTGTGGTCTGAGAGACAGTTTGTTGTGATTTCTGTTTTTTTACATTTGCTGAGGAATGTTTTACTTCCAATTATGTGGTCAATTTTAGAATAAGTGCAATGTGGTGCTGAGAAGAATGTATATTCTGTTGATTTGGGGTGGGCAGTTCTGTTTATGTCTATTAAGTCCACTAGGTCCAGAGCTGAGTTCAAGTCCTGGATATCCTTGGTAATTTTCTCTCTCATTGATCTGTCTAATATTGATGGTGGGGTGTTAAAGTCTCCCACTATTATTGTGTGGGAGTCTATGTCTCTTTGTAGGTCCCCAAGAGCTTGCTTTATGAATCTGGGTGTTCCTGTATTGGGTGCATATATATTTAGGATAATTAGCTCTTCTTGTTGCATTAATTCCTTTACCATTATGTAATGCCCTTTTTTGTTTCTTTTGATCTTTGTTGGTTTGAAGTCTGTTTTCTTAGAGACTAGGATTGCAACCCCTCCTTTTTTTTTGCTTTCCATTTTCCTGGTAGATTTTTCTCCATCTCTTTATTTTGAGCCTATGTTTATCTTTCCAAGTGAGATGGGTCTCCTGAATACAACACACCAATGGGTCTTGACTCTTTATCCAATTTGCCAGTCTGTGTCTTTTAACTGGGGCATTTAGCCCATTTATATTTAAGGTTAATATTATTATTGTGAATTTGATGTTGTCATTATGATGCTAGCTGGTTATTTTGCCCGTTAGTTGATATAGCTTCTTCATAGCATCAATGGTCTTTATAATTTGGCATGTTTTTGCAGTGGCGACTACTGGTTGTTCCTTTCAATGTTAGGAGCTTCCTTCAAGAGCTCTTGTAAGGCAAGCCTGATGGTGACAAAATCTCTCAGCATTTGGTTGTCTGTAAAGGATTTTATTTCTCCTTCACTTATGAAGCTTAGTTTGGCTGGATATGAAATTCTGGGTTGAAAATTCTTTTCTTTAAGAATGTTGAATATTGGCCCCCACTCTCTTCTGGCTTGTAGAGTTTTTGTCAAGAGATCCGCTGTTAGTCTGATAGGCTTCCCTTTGTTGGTAACCCTACCTTTCTCTCTGGCTGCCCTTAATATTTTTTCTTTCATTTCAACCTTGGTGAATCTGGTGATTTATATGTCTTGGTGTTGCTCTTCTCGAGGAATATCTTTGTGGTGTTCTCTGTATTTCCTGAATCTGAAAGTTGGCCTGCCTTCTAGGCTGGGGAAGTTCTCCTGGATAATATTCTGAAGAGTGTTTTCCAACTTGGTTCCATTCTCCCATTACTTTCATGTACACCAATTAAACGTAGATTTGTTCTTTACACATAGTCTCATATTTCTTGGAGGCTTTGTTCATTTTTCTTTTCACTCTTTTTTCTCTAAACTTGTCTTCTTGCTTTATTTCATTAAGTTGATTTTCAATCACTGATATCCTTTTTTCTGCTTGATTGATTTGGCTATTGAGGCTTGTGCATGCTTCACGAAGTTCTCATGCTGCATTTTTCAGCTCCATCAGATCATTTATGTTCTTCTCTACACTGGTTATTCTAGTTAGCAATTCATCTTACCTTTTTTCAACGTCCTTAGCTTCCTTGCATTGGGTTTGAGCATGCTCCTTTAGCTCAGAGGAGTTTGTTATTACCCACCTTCTGAAACCTACTTCTGTCAATTCATCCAACTCATTCTCTGTTCAGTTTTGTTCTCTTGCTGGTGAGGAGTTGTGATCATTTGGAGGAAAAGAGGTGTTCTGTTTTTTGGAATTTTCAGGCTTTCTGCACTGGTTTCTCCCCATCTTTGTGGTTTTTATCTACTTTTGGTCTTTGATGTTGGTGACTTACAGATGGGGTTTTGGTGTGGACGTCCTTTTTGTTGATGTTGATGCTATTGCTTTCTGTTTGTTAGTTTCCCTTCTAACATTCAGGTCCCTGAGCTCCAGGTCTGTTGGAGTTTGTTGGAGCTCCATTCCAGACCCTCTTTTCCTGGGTATCACCAGCAGAGGCTGCAGAACAGCAAAGCTTCCTACCTGACCCTTCCTCTGGAAGCTTTGTCCCAGAGGGGAACCCACCAGATGCCAGCCAGAGCTCTCCTGTATGAAGTGTCTGTTGGCACCTACTGGGCACTTTCTCCCAGTCAGGCTAAAAGGGGGTCAGAGACCCACTTGAGGAAGCAGTCTGTCAGATATCAGAGCTCAAATGCTGTGCTGGGAGAACCACTGCTCTCTTCAGAGCTGTCAGGCAGGGATGTTTAAGTCTGCTGAAGCTGTGCCCACAGCTGCCCCTTCCTCCAAGTGCTCTGTCCCAGGCATATTTGGGTTTTATCTATAAGTCCCTGACTGGGGCTGCTGCCTTTGTTCAGAGATGCCCTGCCCACAGAGGTGGAATCTAGAAAGGCAGTCAGCCTTGCTGAACTGTGGTGGGCTCTGCCCAGTTTACACTTTCCTGGGGCTTTGTTTTCACTGTGAGCATAAAACTGCCTACTCAAGCCTAAGCAATGGCAGATGCCCCTCCTGTTGCCAAGCTCCAGCATCACAGGACAATCTCAGACTGCTGCACTAGCAGCAATAATTTCAAGCCAATGTGTTTTATCTTGCTGGGCTCTGTGGGTGTGGGACCCACCGAGCCAGGCACCGGAGGGAATCTCTTGGTCTGCCATTTGTGAAGACCATGGGAAAAGTGCAGTAACTGGTCAGGAGTGTACCGTTCCTCCAAGTACAGTCTCTCATGGCTTCCCTTGGCTAGGAAAGGGAAATCCCCTGACCCCTTGCACTTCCTGGGTGAGAAGACGCCCTGCCCTGCTTTGGCTCACCCTCCATGGGCTGCACCCACTGTTCTACCAGTCCCAATGAGATGAACCATATACCTGCATTAGAAATGCAGAAATCACCCATCTCCTGTGTCAATCTCGCTGGGAGCTGCAGACCAGAGCTGTTCCTATTCAGTCATCTTGCCAGAAATACCCACTTTTAATCATTTTTATGTCTTCTTTTAAAAAAAAGTCTATTCATGTTCTTTCCCCACTTTCTAATGGAGTTATGTTCTCAACATATTTTTTAAATAGGATACTGATTTTTGTATGTTAATTTTGGTATCCCACAACTCTACTACAGTTGTTTGTTAGTTGCAACATTTTTTTGGTATAGCCTTTAGGGTTTTTCTATATAGAAGAGCATATTTTTTGCAAACAGACAATTTTCGTTTTCTTTTTTTTTTCCTAATTTGGATACTTTTGTTTCATTTGCCACATTGCCCTAGCTTGGACTTACAGTATTTTGTTGAACAGAAGTGGGGAGAGTGGGCATCCTTGTCTTTTTCTGGATTTTAGAAGAAAAGCTTTCCATTTTTCACATTGAATATGATGAGTTGTATTAGTTCTTTTGCTCCCTGCTATAAAAACCTACCTGAGATGGCATAATTTATGAAGAAAAGAGGTTTAATTAACTCACAGCTCCACAGGCTGTATAGAAGGCATAGCTGGGAGGCCTCAGGAAGCTGCAATCATGTCAGAAGGCAAAGTGGAAACAAGCACACCTTAACATAGCAGAGCAGGAAAGAGAATGCAAAGGGGAAGTGTTACACACTTTTTTACAACCAGATCTCATGAGAACTCACTCACTATCATGAGAACAGCAAGAGAAAATTCTGCTCCCATGATCTGATCACCTCCCACCAGGACCCTCCCTGAACATTGGGAATTACAATTTTGATATGAGATTTGGGTGGGGAAACAGAGCCAAACCATATTACTTGTCATATATAACATGTATTAATGTTGGTTATATTCCTTCTATACCCAACTAATTAAGAGTTTTTATCATGAATATATATTGAGTTTTACATAATGCTTTTTGTGCATTGAGATGTTCATATAATTTATTCTTTATTCTATTAATGTGTTATATCACATTTATTGATTTGTGTATGTTGAACCTTCTCTATATCCCAGTGATAAATCCCACTTGATCAAGATGTATGATCCCTTTAATGTACTGTTGAATTTGGTTTGCGAATATTTGTTGAAAATTTTTACACCTACAATCATCAGTGATATTAGTCTAAAAATTCATTTTCTCATAGCATCCTTACGTGGCTTTGGTATGAGTGTAATGCTGGCCCCAGAAAACGTGTTTGGAAGTGTTTCTCCCTCTTCAATTTTGTTAAAGACAATGAAAAGTATTGTCACGAATGTTTCTCTGAATGTTTCAAAGAATGCAGATGTGAAGCCATATGGTTCTGGGGTTCCCTTTGTTGGGAGTTTTTTCTTTAATTACTAATTCAATCTTTTCACTAATTATTGGTCTTTTAAAATTTTCTATTTCTTAATGATTCAATCTTGATAGGCTATATGGTTCTAGGAATTTACCCATTTTTTCTTAGTTAACCAATTTTGTGGTGTATAATTATAATTTTCTCAAGTAACCTTTGACAAGGGCACCAAAAATATACAATAGGAAACGAAGAATCTCTTCAGTAAGTGCCGTTGGGGAAACTATGTATAAAAAAATTTATTGGACCCTTATTTTATATCATATACAAATATTAACTTGAAATACATTAAAAACTTAAATGTAAGGCCTACAACCATAAACTTTTAGAAGACAGCATATGGAAAAAGCCCCTCAGCATTGATTTTGGCAGTGATTTTTTTATATGACACCAGAAGCACAGGCCATCAAAGCAAAAATAAACAAAGTAGGACTCCATCAAACTAAGAAACCTTTGCATAGTGACATAAACTACTAACAAAATAAAAAGGCAACCTACAGATTGGGAGAAAGCAAGCATAAGCCATCTATCTAATAAGGGTTTAATATCCAAAATATGTAAAGTTTAATATCCAAAATATGTAATATCCAAAATGTGTAAAAAGAACTTATACAAAGCAATAGCAAACACATTGGCACAGACACACACACATACACACACACACACACACACACAAAATCTAATTACAATAAACAAAGAAATTGATGGAATTTTTCCCAAACAAGACAGAAAAAATGACCAACAGTTATATGCAAAAGTGCTCAAAAAAAAAAAAAAAAAAAAGGAGCAATGGAGCCAGATTGCAGAAAAGGAGATTCCTACACTTGTCCCCTCTCAGATACATCAATTCAAACCACTCCTCATATATAAAAATACCTTCACAAGGGCTAAGAAAACCAGGTGAGACATGACTGCATCTGGGTGTAGCAAGGAAATAAGAAAAAATCTAGTGAGGATAGTAAGAAATACAGTTTTACATTATCTATTTTACGTTTCTGCCATCCCCAAGCAGCACAGCATGGAGAGAGATACCCTCCGTTTTGGGAAAAAAGAGTTAAGTGATCCCTGGTCTTTGCTAAGATTCAAAAAATTGACCTGCCTCAGTAAAACCCAGGATTGGGCAGGATGCCATGGCCTCACACTCCAGACTTGTACCTGTTGTCTGAGCCTCCAAGCCCACACTGGCCACAGGATGGATCCTGCAACCCCAGGAAACTCAGTCTTCGTGCTAGCTCCAGAACCATTCCAACCTCAGCATCCCCAGCTCAAGACTAATTCCAGTGCCAAGGCAGCCTCAATGGCTCCAGACGTCAGGCACATCCTAGGACAAGGCTGGCCTTGGCAGCTCCAGCTTTGAGCCTACCCCAGTGCAAGTTGGACCCTGGCACCAATGAGCTTCAGGCTTTCTTCTCCATCATGACAGCCCTAGCTGCCCCAGCTTCAGGATCATCCAAGCAACACCAAGGTTCAGGACCACCACAGTGCCAGCCTAGCCCCAGCAACACTGAACTTCAAGTCCTCCCCACCATTAGGCCATCTCCCAAAGCCCTAAGCTTTAGAGACACCCTAGCAATCCCAGACTTCAGAGTCACCTCTGTTTCAGGGCAGTCCGAACCCCCAGGCTTCAGGCTCACTCTAACATGAGTCCAACCACAGCAGCACTGGGCTATGAGTCTTCTCCACTATCAGACTAGCCCCAGCAACCCCAGACTTCAGACACACCAAGAAGCAGGCTGAATCCAGCCAAACCCCACAGACTATTGTATCTAGGGACATACCAGAACCAGGCTGGCCCTAGAAGCCTCAGGCTCCAAAGCATTCTCAGCAAAATAGCCTACACAACACTCGTCATCAGGCTGGCACTTATGGGCTCAGTCTACAGGCAAGGCCCTGTGCATACATGTTCAATGCTTGCCCAGCTCCAGGCCAGCCCCTGTAGCACCAGGCTCTAGGCATGTCCAAGGTTCCAGACCAGCACAGAACTAGATTGGCACACATAGTCCTAGGCCTCAGACCCACCCCAATGCCAGGTCAGCACACCTGGCCTCAGACACTAGACTATCACCTGTAGAAACAGGCTTTAGTCCTGACCAGTGTGAAGCCAATCCCTGTGGCCCTAACCTCCAGGCTGGCTCCTGCACCCCTATGCTTCAACAGACACAGGATCTAAGCTAGTCACAGTATATATTGTACTGGGTAATCCCCATGATCCCAGACTCCAAGACTGATCACAAGGCTGCAAGATTTAGACCAGTCTTTTAGATTTAGCCTCCAAGACAATACCTGAACACCCTGCCTTCAGACCAGCCCTAGTGGGCTTATAAGAAGAAATGCAAGAATTCCTATAAGCATAACACCTATCAAGAGTGAATCAGAAAAAAAAAGAGAAATATAATCAGACCAATTAATAAGAAAATAAGAAAGTCTCCCATAAACTTAAATGCAGAATCAGGTGGCTTTCTGGCTTAATTTGATTAAACATTCCAGGAAGTAATACAAATCAACTTCCAACACTTTCAAAAGTTGAAGAAAAAAGCAACATTTAAAAAAATATTTTATAAGGCCAGCATAGCACTAATACCAAAGCCAAAAAGTTACATAAAGTACAAAAGAAGTGCACCTCAGCCCAATAAACACTATTTATGGCGTGTCCACAACTAACATTATACTCAACAATGAAAACATGAAAGCTTATTCTCTAAGATCAGGAAGAAGACAAGGATACCTATTCTCTCCACCTTCATTTATCATAGTACTGGAATTCCTACACAAGGTGGATAGACAAATAATAACAATAATAATAAATAAAAGATATCCAAATAAAAAATAAAAAGTTAAAATTGTTTATGTTTGAAGATGACATGATATAGAAAACCCTACAAACTACATCAAAAAACTGTTGCACCTAATAAATGAATTCATTAAAACTTCAGGATACAAAATTAACTTTGTAAGTTAGCATTTCTATACCCTAGCAATATTCCATTTACAACAGTGTCAAAAAGAGTAAAATACTCAGGCATAAATTTAACCAAGGATTTGAATAATCTATATGTCAAAAACTACAAAATATTAATAACCTGCTCAGTTCTGAATTTAAAAAAGAAAACTGTTAAAACAAATTGAGGAATATTCAAAGAAATTGAAATATATCTCCTGTATATGGATTAGAAGATTTAATATGATTTAAATGCTCATACATAATCTCTATCAATATTCTAATAGTTTTCACAGAAATAGAAAACAAATTATAAAATTTGTATGAAACCATAAAGGAGTCTGAATAGCCAGAGCAAAAATTACAAAGCTGGAGGCCCTGCATTTCCTGATTTCAAAATATTAAACAAAGCTATAATAATCAGAACAATATAGTACTGGTATAAAAATAGACTCATCAACAAATTGAGCAGAATAGAAATCCAGAAATAAACTCATGCATTTATAGTGAGCTGATTTTTCACAAGGAAGAATAGAGAAGAATGAAATAGGACCATTATCTCACACAATATACAAAAATCAACTCAAAGTGGATAAAATATTTAAACATAAGACCTGAAACTTTAAAACTACTAGAAGAAAACAGAGGGGAAATGTTCCATAACATTTGTCTGGACAAAGATTTTTTTTTTATATGATCCCAAAGGCACAAACAAAAAATAGAAGACTGGGATTCCCTTGAGCTAAAAAGCTCTGCACAGTAAAGGAAACAATTAACAAAGTGAAGACATAACCCATGGTTTGGGAGAAAATATTTGCAAATCACATATCTGAAAAGAAGGTAATATCTGAAATATATTAAAAAACTCAAACAACTCAATAGCAAGGAAACAAATAACCCAGTTTTATGGTAGTCATTTTAATAATATGAGGTAATATCTCATAGTGGCTTTAATTTGTTCTTCTTTATTAGTGATGATGATTATTAGTGAAGTTTTAAATATACCTGTTGGCCAATTGTATATCTTCTTTTGAGAAATATCCATTTGAGTTATTTGCCCATTTTAAAAATCAGATGTGTCCATTACTATTGAAACTTTGGTTCCAATTAAAGGGATCACATGGTCATCCTGGTCTGCTTGGTGTTCTATAACATTCTTCTACTTAAATGTTGATACCTTTCTCTGGATTTGGGAAGTTCTCTAATACTATCCCTTTGAATAAACTTTCTACCCCTATCTCTTACTTTATCTCCTCTTCACAGTCAGCAACTATTAGATTTAAACTTTTGAGGCTTGTTTTCTATTGCATATCTTGTAGCCATGCATTTTTTCTTTTGTCTCCTCTGACTGTGTGTTTTCAAATAACCTGTCTTCAAGCTCACTAATTCTTTCTTCTGTTTTATCAATTCTGCTACTAAGAGACTCTGATTTATTCTTTGGCATGTCAATTGCATTTTTCTACTCTAGAATTTATGCTTGATTTTTTAAATTACTTCAATCTCTTTTTAAAATTTATCTGATAAAATTCTGTATTTCTTTTCTGTGTTTATCTTGATTTCTTTGAGTTTCCTCAACACAGCTATTTTGAATTCTCTGTCTGAAAGGTCACATATCTCTGTTCCTCCAGGGCTGATCTCTGGTGCCTTATTTCATTTGGTGAGGTCATGTTTTCCTGGATGATGTTGATGTTTGTAGATATTCCCTGGTGTCTGAACACTGAAGAATTTTTATTGGGTATTTATTGTAGGTATTTATTGTAGTCTACACAATCTGGGTTTGTTCATGCCTGTCCTTTCTGGGAAGGTTTTCAAAATATTTGAAGGGACTTAGGCACCAAGCTTAGTAATGCTTTAGTTTTTGCAGACTCATAGAGGTACTGCCTTGGTGGTTTTGGATAAAATTTGGAAGAATTTTCTGGATTACCAGGCAAAGATTCTTGTACTTTTTACTTACTTTCTTACAAAAAAATGGAATCTCCCTCTCTGTGCTGAACCACCTGGAACTTGAGAAATGGTGCTGCAAGAAGCTTTGTGGCCACAACCACTAGGACAGCACAGGACAGACCTGAAGCCAGCACTGCACAGTGTCTTGACCAAGATCCTTTCCTTCATGATAACAAGTTCCCTCAGGCCCCAAGCATGTCCAGAAATACTGTCTGGGAGCCAGCCATTTGAGTCAAAAACATTAGCAGTTTGCTTAGTATTTTATTCTGCTGTGAGTAATCTGGCCCTAAAACCACAATACAAAATATATCTTTCCTGCTCTCTTCTCCTCCTTCTTTTCTTTTTTGTTTTTTTCTTTTCTTTTTCTTTCTTTTCTTTTTCTTTCTTTCTTTTTTTTTTTTTTTTTTTTTTGAGACAGAGCCTGGCTCTGTCACCCAGGCTGAAGTGAAGTGGCATGATCTTTGCTCACGACAACCTCCACCTCCTGGAATCAAGCAATTCTCCTGCTTCAGCCTCCCAAGTAGCTGGGACTACAGGTGTGTGCCAACATGTCCAGCTAATTTTTGTATTTTTAGTAGACACGGGGTTTCACCATACTGGTCAGGCTGGTCTTGAGCTCCTGACCTCGTGATCCACCTGCCTCGGCCTCCCAAAGTGCTGGGATTACAGATGTGGGCCACTGCACCCAGCCTTCTCTTTCTACAGGGAGAGAAGCCTCTCCCTGTGGCCACCAACACCACCAGTCTATTGGAGGGGGGTTCTGCCTGGTCACCACTGACATCCACTTAAAACCCAAGGGCTCTTCCATCAGCTTGTGGTGAATGCTGTCAGGCCTGGGACACACCATTCAGAGCAGTGGTCTCCCTTCTGGCCCAGGGTAGGTCCAGAAATTCTGTCCAAGAGGCTATGTCTGAATTTGGGAACTCCAAGTATCTGCTTGTTGGTTGATCTACCCAACTTTGGCCAAGCTGGTAACTAAGGTGCAATACAAAGTCACTTTTAGTATTTCCTCTTCTTTTCTCAAAGAGAAGGAGTCTTTCACCATAGCCACCAAAGCTGGGAATGTGCTGGGTCTCCCCTGAAGCCAGGTTGTCTCAGAGCCCAAGGCCCGTGGTGTACCACTTGTGTATTGCTGTTGGTTTTTCAGGGCACAAGGGGTCTTTTGTCAGCAGGTGATGAATCCTGCCAGGACTGGGTCCTTCCCTTTAATGTAGCAGATTCCCTTTTGGCCTAGAGTGTGTCTAGAAATGTCACGTGAAAGCTAGAGCCTCATTACTCTGCTTGGTACCCTATCCTACTGTAGTTGATCTGATATTCAAGATGCAAAACTAAATCTTCTTTAATCTTTGCTCTCCTCTCCTCACATAGCAGGAAGGAGTCACTTTCATTGATGGGAGCTGCACTGCCTGGAATTGAGGAAGGGATGGCCCAAGGGCTCCCTCAGCCTTGCCAGCTGGTGTCTACCTAGGTCATATGCCACATTACTTCACTGATACTAAGTTCAGCCTAGCACTTGGAGTTGCCTAAGAATTGTAGTTCTTGTGTCCTAGACTGCCTTTCAAGTTTACCTAGGACTCTAGAGCACTTCAGCCTGTGGTGGCAAGGCTTGCCAAGAAACTCAAGTTCTGACTGCTGGAATGGGTGATTCCCTTCTGGTTAGTCTGGTCTAAATACTCCTTCCATGGATGTGCACTGGCTGAGCCCAGCACACCTTTATTCTCTGCTGTGACAGGGCAGCACTGAGTTTACTGTAATATCCCCCAGTCACTAAACTCTCCCACCCCAAAATGCACAGACTCTCTCTTGGTGTTACATGGTCACTGCCAGGGGATGGGGCAGAGGTTGCATCAGCGATTCAAGACTGTATCTCCTGCCATCCTCAATCCCTCTTTCAGTGATATGAAGTTAAAACCAAGTACTGTGGTTGCTCGCCTGATTTTTGTTTCTTTTGATGGTGTTTTTCTGTGGGCAGGTAGTTGTTAAAATTTGAGTTTCCAGTAGGGAGTATGAATGGTGGTAAGCTTCTATTCCATCATCTTGCTCTGCCCTCTTCTTAAAATATTTTTTAAAAGGGAAATTCTATTATTTAAAACAATATAGATGAACATGTAGGAGATTGCCTTAAGTAACATAAGCCAGATACAGAAAGATAAGAAGCACGTAATCTCACTTAAATGTGAAATTTAAAAAAATGGAATTCATACAAATAGAGAGTAGAATGGTAGTTCCCATAGGCTGAGGATTGCCAGGGGAATGAGGAGATATTAGACAAAAAACATAAAAATTCAGTTAGACAAAACGAATAAGTTTGAGAGATTTATTGTATATTATTGTGACTACAATTAATCACAATATATTGTATACTTGAAAATTGTTTAGAGAGTAAATTTTAAGTGTTCTCACCACAAAAAAAGATAAGAAGTAATGTACATATTAATTAGCTTGATTTAGTCTTTCTACAGTGTACACATATATCAAAACATCATGTTTTATACCACAAGTACGTAAAATATCTTCCAATTTAAAACATTGCATTATAGTCCACAAATATATGCAATTATTAAGTTTCAATTAAAATAAAATTTTAAAAATAAGAAATTTTATAGAGTTCTTAGAAATTTGCCAATGCCCTGCTGCTCATAATATTTCTATTGCTGCCTTGCCTAAAATGAGACAATATCATAATGCTATAAATTTATTAGTCATAATTCCAGCTATTTTTTAAATGTATGCCATAAAAACAACCAATTTTTTATCAAATAAATTTCCATCAGATCTTTAACTATGGCCATTTTAAGCCTTTCATCACCCAGAGCTAATTTTTGTTTCACTCTGACACTTCCCTAAAAGCACTTGCAAACAGTTACAGCCAAAAAGAGACTGAAGTATTCTGGGGTATATGCTTCTGATAGTATTGCTTAGCGAGCATACTACTGAACTGAGTCACAATTGCTAGAACTTTAGTGCCAAGCTGATGAGTTCATTAAACTGCCAACCCAAGATCAAGCAGAACAATAATTAATTACATGAGACTAAATAAACTGATAAAAAGATATACATTGTGTTTGGAATATTGCTGATGCTTTAAGGTTCAATGTTCTGAATATAAGGAAATATTTTCTCTTTTCTCTTTAGCCGTCTATAACTCATAACAGTTTAGTAGCTTTTGTTTTCATAAACAGAAATAAAACATTTCTTTTTTTATTTCTACCTGATCCCTCAAGAATTCAGGAACTCTTATTGAGTGTACATTTTGTGGCAATATAATTATTACAAAGGTTCAATAAAAATCTGTCCCTCTTGTAACAAGACAAAAGTTCATATTAAAGAATGAAATGATTCATATTAAAATGATAGCTAAACAACCCTGGTGATTGCACTGTTTGGGATAATGTGATACAGAGTCAGGTAATCAAGCAATTGTGAAACAATACAGAAGTCAAGGTCTGTTTTGATTTGGGGAGGTTGGGAATCAGAAATAGGCAAAAGACAAGGCAAGCACCAATCTTAGCATCAAGAACCAGTAAATGGGGTGCGGTGGCTCACGCCTGTAATCCCAGCACTTTGGGAGGCCGAGGCTTGCAGATCACAAGGTCAGGAGATCGAGACCATCCTGGCTCACACGGTGAAACCCTGTCTCTACTAAACATACAAAAAATTAGCCGGGCGTGGTGGTAGGCACCTGTAGTCCCAGTTACTCAGGAGGCTGAGGCAGGAGAATGGCGTGAACCCGGGAGGCAGAGATTGCAGTGAGCCGAGATCACGCCACTGTACTCCAGCCTGGGTGACAGAGTGAGATTCTGTCTTAAAAAAAAAAAAAAAAAAAAAAAAAAAAAAGAACCAGTAAATGAAAAGAGGGAATAAAGCAGTATTCAGCAGAGGAACATGTCATTGTCAAGGAGACGTAATCACTGCAGTTTCTGTCAGTTGTATAACTCTTGTGTGTCAGGGACTAAAGACCACTCAGTTTTGACTGGAACTGGGATTGAGGGCTGAAACTAGATTGAGATGTGACGCAAACGGACAAGAGAGTAAGAGTAGCTCCTGACAGGTTGATCCTGATATTTTTTCAACATGCTCATCTTTTCAAAAGTTTCATCTTCCACTTCTATCTGGTTAACTGTGCATTTAACTATGTAATCATTAACAGTCACTTCAATCTTCTGTATAGCATAATGAATTACTTGGTATATCCCTTTGGCTGTCCCAGTGTTATTTCAAATGTAATATGCCACAAACTGAATTTACCTTGCTCTTATAAAGGCTCCTTTCTCTTTATTAGTTCTCTTCTCTTAAAACTGGGACA
Organism: Homo sapiens; assembly: GCF_000001405.40. NCBI lineage: Eukaryota > Metazoa > Chordata > Mammalia > Primates > Hominidae > Homo > Homo sapiens. The sequence continues at coordinate 57,733,500 of NC_000023.11, read as the reverse complement.
TAGTTTTGAGACCTTGGGCCCATTTTTGACAAAGGTTTCTCCTTTAACTCCATATTCATTCGGTAACCAAGTAAATTCTTGCCAACCTCAAGACTTAAAATTCTATTTTACATCCCCCCATTTTCTGCTAATTTATGTTGCTCGCACTAGGGCTCTTGTGGACTTACTAGTGGTTTTCAAATTATGGTATGAGGCCATGCTAATCTTGAAAGAATTTCCAAAAAATTTAGATTCTTAGACTTCAGTCCTGAACATCGGAATCACAATGAGCAGGTAAGGGCCAAAAAATATGTAATTTAACAACTCTGGGTAATTCCAATGCACAGCCAACTTTGAAATCACTGATCTAAATATCTGATGATATAGATTATAAGATGCAATTCCACGGTGGATAGAACTTGGAAAGAAGCAGGTGGGATAGAAAGGAATAGATAAAAGTGTTTGTGGGAGAGAAGAAGATGAAGGAAACAAGGGTAATGCTCAGCTTCCTGGCTTGGTCAACTTGGTATATATGCTATTATCATTCACTGAGACAGGAAGAATTGAATAAGAAAAATGGGTAGACACATGTTAGAAAATGGCATTTTCATTTTTGGACTTGAGTTTGAGATGCCTATGGGACAAGTTTGCAACTTCAATTCTTGAAACAGGAAACAAACACTGTAGGCTTTAGGTAATTGACAAGAAATGTGCATTAGCACTGACAGAGATAAGATTTAGCCTAATGAGTTAATATATGCTCAATAATTTTAAAGAGTTGAAAACGTAACATGATACCAGTAATTTTATTTTAATAGAAAGAAGGGCATAATAGTAAACACAGCTTTTGAATAATTATGTAATGGATTGCTCGTGGAAGATAAAAATCTTAAGTTAAACCTCATGTATTTCTTGACATATTCATCCAATTTTTTTCACTCAGAAAGCATTTTTGAAATATTTGTTCTTATTCCCTCAGCAATTTTTAAAAATTACTAATAAGTTGCCTTTAGAATATACTTTTGGGAACAAAAGTAGAAACAGTAAGCCAATTCAAAGCTACCTCCCATAGTCTGGATAAGAAAGAAAATATCTCAGAGCAGGATGCTTTTGTCAGCGGAGATGGTAAAGGTGGTCAGATGCTGGTGATAATTACAAGGTAAAAAAACCTGGTTAGATATTAAAGATTAAGATCAGAGAGAAGTAAAAAATTCTTCCAAGATTTTAGATCTGCACATCTGAAAACCTGGAGTTGCCATCAGTTGTAAAAGGAAACACAGAGGTGGATAGAATTTTGAGGGAAAAGGAGATTAGGTATTATGCTTAGGAAATGTTAAGCTTAAGATACCTAATTGACATCCAGATATAGACATTAAGTAGGAAGTTAAATATGCAAGATTTGGTCTCAAGAGATAAATCTGGGTTTAGATATAATTGTGGAAATCATTAGCTGTGATTTAAAGCCATGAAAGTAAATGAGGTTACTAAGCATGTGTACAACACTAAGGTAAAAGATCAAGAACAGAGCCCTGAATCCAACTATCATTAAAGTTTGTGTTGATGAGGAAGAACAACAAAGGAGACTGACAAGGAGCTATCACTGAGGTAAGAGAGAAAAGCATAAAATCTTAATATCCTGGGAGCCCTGTGTAAAACATTTTGAAAGAGGAGATATGTATTAGGAGGTCAAGTTTGTTTAATGTCAGGAGAGCCAAAGGCCTGATAGCAGTGTTTGTAACACTGCAACAGAGCACATCTGAATTATGTCATGGTGTATTATCCTCACCAAGACTGGTGCAATTGAAAATGTTATAGAAATGTAATGATGCAATGTTTCCCAAATGGATTTTATTGTCTGTGATTGGATATAAAATGTTTTCAAATAATATATGTGCTATAAATTAAAATGGACATCACTATGGTAGAGATGGATCAGTAAATATAAAAAAGATTAGTTAGAGCTTTAGTGTTTCTGATGAGAGAAAGTAACTCATTGTAGTCAAAAAAAATCCAAATCTTCCAAGTCTATGAAAAACGAGAGGTCTACAGCTCACAGCATGAGCAATGCAGAAGACGAATGATTTCTGCATTTCCAACTGAGGTACTGGGTTCATCTCACGGGGGATTGTAAGAAAGTGGGTACAGGACAGTGGGTGCAGTGCACTGATCATGAGCCAAAGCAGGGGCAGGCATCACCTCACCCAGGAAGTCCAAGGGGTCAGGGAATTCCCTTTCCTAGCCAAAGAAAGGAGTGACAGAAGGCACCTGGAAAATTGGGTCAGTCCCACCCTAATACTGTGCTTTTCCGACAGTCTTAGCAAACGGCACACCAGGAGATTAGATCCTGCACCTGGCTCGCAGGGTCCTAAGCCCACGGAGCCTTGCTCATTGTTAGCACTGCAGTCTGAGATCAAACTGCAAGGCCACAGCAAGCCTGGAGAAGGGGTGCCCACAATTGCTGAGGCTTGAGAAGGTAGACAAAGTGGCCAGGAAGCTCGCACTGGGTGGAGTCCACTGCAGCTCAAGGAGGCCTGCCTGCCTCTGTAGACTCTACCTGTGGGGGCAGGGCACAGACAAACAAAAGGCAGCAGAAACCTCTGCAGACTTAAATATCCCTGTCTGACAGCTTTGAAGAAAGTGGCGGTTCTCCCAGCATGCAGCTTGAGATCTGAGAACGGACAGACTGCCTCCTCAAGAGGGTCCTTGAACCCGGAGTAGCCTAACTGGGAGGAAGCCGCCAGTAGGGGCAGACTGACACCTCACATGGCCGGGTACTCTTCTGAGACAAAATTTCCAGAGGAACGATCAAGCAGCAACATTTGCTGTTCAGCAATATTCGCTGTTCTGCAGCCTCCGCAGCTGATACCCAGGCAAACAGGAACTGCAGTGCACCTCTGGCAAACTCCAACAGACCTGCAGCTGAGGGTCCTGACTGTTAGAGGGAACACTAACAAACAGGATATCCACAGCAAAACCCCATTTGTACGTCACAATCATCAAAGACCAAAGGTAGATAAAATTGCAAAGATGGGAAAACAACAGAGTAGAAAAACTAAAATTCTAAAAATCAGAGCACCTCTCTTCCTCCAAAGGAATGCAGCTCCTCACCAGCAAGGGAACAAAGCTAGACAGAGAATGACTTTGACGAGTTGAGAGAAGAAGGCTTCAGATGATCAAACTTCTCCGAGCTAAAGGAGGAAGTTCGAACCCATGGCAAAGAAGTTAAAAACCTTGAAAAAAGATTAGATGAATGGCTAACTAGAATAACCAATGCAGAGAAGTCCTTAAAGGACTTGATGGAGCTGAAAACCATGGCACGAGAAATACGTGATGAATGCACAAGTCTCAGTGCCGATTTGATCAACTGGAAGAAAGGGTATCTGATGGAAGACCAAATGAATGAAATGAAGCAAGAAGAGAAGTTTAGAGAAAAAAGAATAAAAAGAAATGAACAAAGCCTCCAAGAAATATGGGACTATGTGAAAAGATGAAATCTACATCTGATTGGTATACCTGAAAGTGACGGGGAGAAAGGAATCAATCTGGAAAACACTCTGCAGGATATTATCCAGGAGAAATTCCCCAACCTAGCAAGGCAGGCCAACATTCAAATTCAGGAAATACAGAGAAAACCACAAAGATACTCCTCGAGAAGAGCAACTCCAAGACACGTAACTGTCAGATTCACCAAAGTTGAAATGAAGGAAAAACTGTTAAGGGCAGCCAGAGAGAAAGGTCAGGTTACCCACAAAGGGAAGCCCATCAGACTAACAGCGGATCTCTCGGCAGAAACTCTACAAGCCAGAAGAGAGTGGGGGCCAATATTCAACATTCTTAAAGAAAAGAATTTTCAACCCAGAATTTCATATCCAACCAACTAAGATTCATAAGTGAAGGAGAAATAAAATCCTTTACAGACAAGCAAATGATGAGAGATTTTGTCACCACCAGGCCTGCCCTACAAGAGCTCCTGAAGGAAGCACTAAACATGGAAAGGAACAACCGATACCAGCCACTGCAAAAACACACCAAATTATAAAGACCATTGAGGCTAGGAAGAAACTGAATCAACTAACGAGCAAAATAACCAGCTAACATCATAATGACAGGATCAGATTCACACATAACAATATTAAACTTAAATGTAAATGGGCTAAATGCTCAAATTAAAAGACACAGATTGGCAAATTGTATAAAAAGTCCAGACCCATCAGTGTGCTGTATTCAGGAAACCCATCTCATGTGCAGAGACACAAATAGGCTCAAAATAAAGGGAAGGAGGAAGATCTAACAAGCAAATGGAAAACAAAAAAAGGCAGGGGTTGCAATCTTAGTCTGATAAAACAGACTTTAAACCAACAAAGATCAAAAGAGACAAAGAAGGCCATTCCATACTGGTAAAGGGATCAATTCAACAAGAAGAGCTAATTAACCTAAATAGATATGCACCCAACACAGAAGCACCCAGATTCATAAAGCAAGTCCTTAGGGACCTAGAAAGAGACTTAGACTCCCACACAATAATAATGGGAGACTTTAACACCCCACTGTCAACATTAGACAGATCAATGAGACAGAAAGTTAACAAGGATATCCAGGAATTGAACTCAGCTCTGTACCAAGCAGACCTAATAGACATCTACAGAACTCTCCACCCCAAATCAACAGAATATACATTATACTCAGCACCACACCACACCTATTCCAAAATTGACCACATAATTGGAAGTAAAGCACTCCTCAGCAAATGTAAAAGAACAGAAATTTTAACAAACTGTCTCTCAGACCACAGTGCAATCAAACTAGAACTCAACATTAGGAAACTCACTCAAAACCGCTCAACTACATGGAAACTGAACAACCTGTTTCTGAATGACTACTGGGTACATAACGAAATGAAAGCAGAAATAAAGATGTTCTTTTGAATCCAATGAGAACAAAGACACAACATACCAGAATCTCTGGGACACATTCAAAGCAGTGTGTAGAGGGAAATTTATAGCACTAAATGCCCACAAAAGAAAGCAGGAAAGATCTAAAATTGACACCCTAACATCACAATTTTAAGAACTAGAGAAGCAGGAGTAAACACATTCAGAAGCTAGCAGAAGGCAAGAAATAACTAAGATCAGAGCAGAACGGAAGGAGATAGAGACACAAAAAATCCTTCAAAAAATCAATGAATCCAGGAACTGGTTTTTTGAAAAGCTCAACAAAATTGATAGACAGCTAGCAAGACTAATAAAGAAGAAAAGAGAGAAGAATCAAATAGACACAATAAAAAATGATAAAGGGGATATCACCACCAATCCCACAGAAATACAAACTACCATCAGAGAATACTATAAACACCTCTACACAAATAAACTAGAAAATCTAGAAGAAATGGATAAATTCCCAAAAAAAGTCCAGGACCAGACAGATTCACAGCGGAATTCTACAAGAGATACAAAGAGGAGCTGGTACCATTCCTTCTGAAACTATTCCAATCAATAGGAAAAGAGGGAATCCTCACTAACTCATTTTATGAGGCCGGCATCATCCTCATACCAAAGCTTGGCAGAGACAAAACAACAAAAAAAATAGAATTTTAGACCAAGATCTCTGATTAACATCAATGCAAAAATCCTCACTAAATTCTTGCAAACTGAATCCAGCAGCACATCAAAAAGTTTATCCACCATGATCAAGTGGGCTTCAGCCCTGGGATGCAAGGCTGGTTCAACATATGAAAATCAATAAACATAATCCAGCATATAAACAGAACCAATGACAAAAACCACATGATTATCTCAATAGAAGCAGAAAAGGCCTTTGACAAAATTCAACAACCCTTCATGCTAAAAAATCTCAATAAATTATTTATTGATGGGACGTATCTCAAAATGATAAGAGCTATCTATGACAAACCCACAGTCAATATCATACTGAATGGGCAAAAACTGGAAGCATTCGCTTTGAAAACCGGCACAAGACAGGGATGCCCTCTCTCACCATTCCTATTCAACATAGTGTTGGAAGTTGTGGCCAGGGCAATAAGGCAGGAGAAGGAAATAAAGGGTATTCTATTAGGAAAAGAGGAAGTCAAATTGTCCCTGTTTGCAGATGACATGATTGTATATCTAGAAAACCCCATTGTCTCAGCCCAAAATCTCCTTAAGCTGATAAGCAACTTCAGCAAAGCCTCAGGATACAAAATCAATGTGCAAAAATCACAAGCATTCTTATACACCAATAACAGACAAACAGAGAGCCAAATCATGAGTGAACTCCCGTTCACAGTTGCTTCAAAGAGAACAAAATACCTAGGAATCCAACTTACAAGGGATGCGAAGGACCTCTTCAAGGAGAACTACAAACCACTGCTCAATGAAATAAAAGAGGATACAAACAAAGGGAAGAACATTCCATGCTCATGGGTAGGAAGAATCAATATCATGAAAATGGCCATACTGCCCAAGGTAATTCGTCGATTCAGTGCCATCTCCATCAAGCTACCAATGACTTTCTTCACAGAATTGGAAAAAACTACTTTCAAATTCATATGGAACCAAAAAAGAGCCCACATTGCCAAGTCAATCCTAAGTCAAAAGAACAAAGCTGGAGGTATCACGCTACCTGACTTCAAACTATACAGCAAGGCTACAGTAATCAAAACAGCATGGTACTGGTATCAAAACAGAGATATAGATCAATGGAACAGAACAGAGCCCTCAGAAATAATGCCACATATCTACAACTATCTGATCTTTGACAAAACTGACAAAAACAAGAAATGGGGAAAGGTCTCCCTATTTAATAAATGGTGCTGGGAAAACTGGCTAGCCATATGTAGAAAGCTGAAACTGGGTCTCTTTCTTAAACCTTATACAAAAATTAATTCAAGATGGATTAAAGACTTAAATGTTAGACCTAAAACCATAAATACCCTTGAAGAAAACCTAGGCAATACCATTCTGAACATAGGCATGGGCAAGGAATTCCTGTCTAAAACACCAAAAGCAATGGCAACAAAAGTCAAAATTGACAAATGGGATCTAATTAAACTAAAGAGCTTCTGCACAGCAAAAGAAACTACCATCAGAGTGAACAGGCAACCTACAGAATGGGAGAAAATTTTTGCAATTTACTCATCTGACAAAGGGCTAATATCCAGAATCTACAAAGAGCTCAAACAAGTTTACAAAAAAAAGCAAATAACCCCATCAACAAGTGGGCAAAGGATATGAACAGACGCTCCTCAAAAGAAGACATTTATGCAGCCAACAGACACATGAAAAAATGCTCATCATCACTGGCCATCAGAGAAATGCAAATCAAAACCACAATGAGATACCATCTCCCACCCGTTAGAATGGCAATCGTTAAAAAGTCAGGAAACAACAGGTGCTGGAGAGGATGTGGAGAAATAGGAACACTTTTACACTGTTGGTGGGACTGTAAACTACTTCAACCTTTGTGGATGTCATTGAGGCAATTCCTCAGGGATCTAGAACTGGAAATACCATTTGACCCAGCAATCCCATTACTGGGTATATACCCAAAGGATTAGAAATCATGCTGCTATAAAAACACATGCACACGTATGTTTATTGTGGCACTATTCACAATAGCAAAGACTTGGAACCAAGCCAAATGTCCAAAAATGATAGACTGGATTAAGAAAATGTGGCACCTATACACCATGGAATACTATGCAGCCCTAAAAAATGTTGAGTTCATGTCCTTTGTAGGGACATGGATGAAGCTGGAAACCATCATTCTCAGCAAACTATCACAAGGACAAAAAACCAAACACCCTATGTTCTCACTCATAGGTGGGAACTGAACAATCAGAACACATGGACACAGGAAGGGGAACATCACACACTGGGGTCTGTTGTGAGATGGGGGAGGGGGGAGGGATAGCATTAGTAGATATACCTAATGTTAAATGACAAGTTAATGGGTGCAGCACACCAACATGCCACATGTATACATATGTAACCAACCTGCATGTTGTGCATATGTACCCTAAAACTTAAAGTACAATAAAAAGATTAAAAAAAAAGAAAAATGAGACTGAAGTCATACCACACACAAGTAAGCTCCTGTTAAGGTGTCAGAATTCCATTTTATACAGAGAACCTGTCATGTGGAAAACATTTAAACACAAAGCTGCAAATATATGGGGTTCTTGCTCTGACTATAAGTTACAAGAGATTTCTTTTAGATGTCATTTATAATGAATGATAGTTCATACAAATTACGATGTATTAAAGCATAACATGCCCTTTAAGATAAATGTGCATATTCTTAATTAAAATGACCTGTTAGAGCATTGGCTGCTGGAAGGCATCATACAATGTTTTCATTAATTTTGAATGTCTGTAAATATTTTTTAAAATATTTTGAATTTTATGACATCTCCATTTTGAGATATACTTGTGTAGGTATAGCATGTCTCTAAAGTCTAGGAAATATCTCCAGGATAATTATCTGTGTAAAAACTTTAAACAGGCATATATAAAGGTAAAATCTTCTTTAATGAAATAGTCAATTTGAAGGTAATGATACATTTTAATTTTTATTTTTGATTCAGGTATTTATTTTCCTTTATTTTTAGATTCAGGGGTACATGTGCAGGTTTGTTACATGGCTGTATTGCATAGTGATGAGTTTTAGGCTTCTAGTGTATGCAGCACCCAAATAGTAAACACTATACTCAATAGATAATTTATCAATCTTCACCCTCCTCTCACCCTCTCCTTTTTTGGAATCTCCAGTGTCTATTCTTTCTATCTTTGTGTCCATGTTTATCCATAGTTTAGCCCCCAATTATAAATGCAAACACATGGCATTATTTTATGAGGTAATTTTTTGGTCTTGATGATGACATTGATGAATGTACCAATCACTTCATGGAGTTATTTGGATAGGAGTAAATAGAAATTATGACGTATTTCACTTGAACCTGCAAATTAAAAAAAAAAAGCATTATCTGCATCAAGTAGAAAAAAATGTTCACTCTCTGGTGGTGCATTTGAAAGGGACAAGGTCCTATTAAAAACTGGACTTTCTGATGGGATTGAATAGATCTTCAAAATGAGGTAAGGAACATATTCCTGTGAAATGCACCACTGTTCTGAATTTTCATTAAGAAGATAAATTCCCCTTATGACCTGATATTTCTAAAAAAGAATGCAGATTTCATGAACTGGTTGGTAATTCCAGAAGAATAAATTTAAATTTTCACTGGGTCTACTACACTGGGCTTCTGAGGTGTCACTGAAAACAATGATCAATCTGTGTTTTATCATAATACCTTGGTTTGCATATTCTAGAATTTTATATAAATGGAATCATATGGAATTCACTCTTTTTCTTTAGCTTCACTCCATTCCCTACAGAAAACCAAAACCAAGTATACAGTGCCAAGATTATCACCAGCAACATCCCAGAACTCAAATAAAGATGAGACAGTTCCTGGGGACACAAAGAAGTGAGAATACTCTATGCAAATCTTAAGAGAATTGGACTTTTATATCCATGACAGCCTTTCTTCAATCTCCTAGGCACCAAGCATGAATAAAATTTTCCCCAAACTCATGGTCAATACACTGAAAAAAGTGAGATCAAAGTGAACACCAACTTTCCCAACATTTTGGATTTCCTAAAAAGAAAAAAAAAGACCTGCTCCTATTCAAACCATGGGAAGCAGCATGAGGGCATGAAGGAAGATAAAATTCTGATGACAGCCAGAGACAAAGCAGGGGGTGATGTTGGAGAAGGACTAATATTCCCAGACCAGGAAACTCTGCCCTGTATCTTGGCTATTTTGGGAGATGCCCCACCTGAGACAGGCAACACTTCAAAGTTTGCTAGAGCTGAAGCAAACCTGAGATTTAAGGTGCCGTCTTGGGCAAAAGAGGTGGCACCGACCAAGTGGAAGAAAAATACATTCAACAGGTTTATTACAAAGAACTTTTAAGCAAACATACCAAAAAACAAAACAAGACAAGCAGAAGATTGGAATAAATAATTTTCCAATGCAAAGGCATAGATGTATATTCAAACAAACAACAGCAAACAGAGAATCATGACTTCCCCAAATGGATAAAGCAAGAAACCAGTGACTGACCCTAATGAGATGACAATTTGTGAGCTCTAAGAATTCAAAAATAGCCATTTTAAGAAAACTCAGTGATTTTTAAGATAATACAGAAAAGGAGAGAAGATTCAAGTAAACAAAATCAGAAATAATAAGGGATATATTACAACTGACACAACAAAAATACAAACAACCATCAGAGAATACTATAAACAACTTTATGCACATAAACCAGAAAATCTAAAATAAATGAATAAATTCCTGGATACATACACTCTCCCAAGACTGAACCAGGAAGAAAATGAATCCCTGAGTAGACCAAAAATGGTTCTGAAATTGTCAGTAATAAATACCCTGCAAACCAAATAAAGCCAAGGACTAGACAGATTCAAAGCTGAATTCCACCAGAGATGCAAAGAAGAGCTAGTACCATTTCTACTGAAACTATTTCAAAAAATTGAAAAGGAGTTACTCCTCCCTAACTCATTCTATGAGGCCAGCGTTATCCTGATACTAAAACCTAGCAGAGATACAACAAAAAAAAATTTCAGGCCAATATCCTTTATTAACATCAATGCAAAAATTATCAAAAAAAATACAGGCAAACCTAATTCAGAAGCACATCAAAAAATTTATCTACCATGATCAAGTAGGCTTCACCCCTGGGATGCAAGGTTGGTTCAATATCCACAAATCAATACATATGATTCATCACATAAACAGAAAAAAGGCAAAAACCACATGATTATCTCAATAGATGCAGAAAAGACCTTTGATAAAATTCAACAGCCCTTTAGGTTAAAAACTTTTAATAAACTAGGTATTGAAGGAACATAATTCTAAATAATAATATCTATAGAAAACAAACCCGCAGCCAATATCATACTGAATGGACAAAAGCTGGAAGCATTCTCCTTGAAAACTGGCACACGAAAAAGTTGCCCTCTCTAACCACTTCTATTCAACATAGTAGTAAAATTTCTGGCCAGGGAAATGAGGCAAGAGAAAGAAATAAAGGGTGTCCAAGTAGGAAGAGAGGAAGTCAAACAATCTTTGTTTGCAGATGACATAATCCTATATTTAGAAACCCCACTGTCTCAGCCCAAAAGCTTCTTAAGCTGATAAGCAACATCAGCAGAGTCTCAGGATTCAAAATCAATATGCAAAAATCACTAGCATTTCTATACATCAACAACAGGCAAACTAAGAGCCAAATGAAGATAAAGTCCCATTCACAATTGCCACAATAAGAATAAAATACCTAGAAATACTGCTAACAAGGGAAGTGAAGGACCTTTTCAAGGAGAACTACAAACCACTGCTGAATGGAATCAGGGATGACAAAAACAAATAGAACAGCATTTCATATTCATGGATAAAAGTATGCAATATTGTTACAATGGCCATACTACCCATTTACAGAATCAGTGCTATTCCCTTTAAACTTCCATTGACATTCTTCACAGAATTAGCGAAACCTATTTTAAATTTTATATGGGAAAAAAAAGAGCCTAAGTTGCCATTCTAAACAAAAACAACAAAGCTGGAGGCATCACTTTGTTGATACCTGATTTCAAACTATATTAAACAGCTACAATAACCAAAACAGCATGGCACTGGTACAAGAACAAATAAATAGACCACTGGAACAGAATAGAGAACTGAGATTTAAGTCTGCATACCTATAAACATCTGATCTTCAACAAATCTGATAAAAACAAGCAATGAGGAAAGGATACCCTATTTAATAAATGGTGCTGGGAAAACTGTATAGCGATATGCAGAAAATTGAAACAGGACCCGTTACTTAAAACTTATACAAGAACTGGCTTGGCACGGTGGCTCACACCTGTAATCCCAACACTTTGGGAGGCCAAGGGGGGGTGGATCACGAGGTCAGGAGATCGAGACCATCCTGGCTATCATGGTGAAACCCCATCTCGACTAAAAATACAAAAAAATAGCCAGGTGTGGTGGCGGGCGCCTGTAGTCCCAGCTATTTGGGAGGCTGAGGCAGGAGAATGGTGTGAACCTGGAAGGTGGAGCTTGCAGCGAGCCAAGATCATGCCACTGCACTCCAGCCTGGGCGACAGAGTGAGACTCTGTCTCAAAAACAAAAACATAAAAATAAACAAACAAAAAAAAAACAAGAACTGCCTCAAGATGGATTAAAGATTTAAATATAAAACCCAGAACTATAAAAACCCTAGAAGAAAACCGAGGCAATACCATTCAGGACATAGGCATGGGCAAAGATTTCATGGCAAAGGTATCTAAAGCAATTTCATCAAAAGCAAACATTGACAAATGGGATATGATTAAACTAAAGAGCTTCTGCACAGCAAAAGAAACTATCAAGAGAGTAAGCAGACCTACAGAATAGGAGAAAATTTCTGCAATCTATGCATCTGACAAATGTCTAATATCTAGCATCTATAAGAAACTTAAATTTACAATAAATAAAACAACCCCATTAAAAAGTGCACAAAGAACATAAACAGATACGTCTCAAAAAAATTCACGTGGCCAACAAACATATAAAACAAAGCTCAACATCACTGATTGTTACCATGGAATATTATGCAGCCATAGAAAAAAATGAGCTTATGTGCTTTGCAGTAACACGAACAGAGCTTGAGGCCATTATCCTTAGGAAACTAAGCAGAAACAGAAAACCAAATATTGCATGTTCTCACTTATAAGTGAGAGCTGAATGTTGAGAACACATGAACACAAGGGGGAAAAAATACACACTGGGACCCATCGGAGGCTGGAGAGTGGAGGGAGGGGAGTATCAAGAAAAATAGCTGATGGATGCTGGATTTAATACTTGGGTGATGGGATGATCTGTGCAGCAAACCACCATGGCATATGTTTACTATGCAACAAACCTTCACATCCTGCACATATACCCTTGAACTTAAGATTAAAAGTCGGATAAATAAATAAATAAAATGCATAAAGTGGCTGAAAGGATATACTAAAGACTCAACTGTATGCTGCCTAAAGAATCCCAACTTGCCTATAAAGACATACATAGACTGAAAATAAAGGAATCAAGAAAGATATTTCATGCAAATGGAAACCAAAAAAGAGCAGGAGGAGCTTTACTTGCATAAGATAAAATATACTAAAAGTCAAAGGCTGTGAAAAGTGATAAAAGGCCATTATATAATAATAAAAAGGGAAATTTAGCAAGCAGATACAGTAATATTAATTGGCCTTGCACTCAACACCAGAGTACCCAAGTATGTAGAGCAAACGTTAATATATCTAAAGGAAGAGATAGATTGTAGTACAGCAATGGTAGATGTCTTCAACAGCTCATTCTCAATAATGGACAGATAATCTAGACAGAAAATTTTAAAAAATCACAGTTAAACTATATTCTAGACAAAAAAAAAAAAAAAACCTTGCTGAGATTTACAGAATATTTCAACTAAATGCTACAGAATACATATTCCTATCAGCACATGGAGCATCCTCCAGAGTAGACCTTATGTTAGGACACAAACATGTTGAACAAATATGAAAAAGTAGAAATTATATTATATATATTTTCTGACCACAATGGAATCAAATTAGAAATAAATAAACTTTGGAAACTACACAAACATATAGAAATCAAACAACATGTTCCTGAAGGTCAACAAGTCAAAGAAAAAAGTAAGAAAAAAATTTAAGAGGAAGTCAAATTGTCCCTGTTTGCAGATGACATGATTGTATATCTAGAAAACCCCATTGTCTCAGCCCAAAATCTCCTTAAGCTGATAAGCAACTTCAGCAAAGTCTCAGGATACAAAATCGATGTACAAAAATCACAAGCATTCTTATACACCAACAAAAGACAAACAGAGAGCCAAATCATGAGTGAACTCCCATTCACAGTTGCTTCAAAGAGAATAAAATACCTAGGAATCCAACTTACAAGGGATGTGAAGGACCTCTTCAAGGAGAACTACAAACCACTGCACAAGGAAATAAAAGAGAATACAAACAAATGGAAGAACATTCCATGCTCGTGGGTAGGAAGAATCAATAACGTGAAAATGGCCATACTGCCCAAGGTAATTTACAGATTCAATGCCATCCCCATCAAGCTACCAATGACTTTCTTCACAGAATTGGAGAAAACTACTTTCAAGTTCATATGGAACCAAAAAAGAGCCCACATTGCCAAGTCAATCCTAAGCCAAAAGAACAAAGCTGGAGGCATCATGCTACCTGACTTCAAACTATACTACAAGGCTATAGTAACCAAAACAGCATGGTACTGGTACCAAAACAGAGATATAGATCAATGAAACAGAACAGAGCCCTCAGAAATGACGCTGCATATCTACAACTATCTGATCTTTGACAAACCTGACAAAAACAAGCAATGGGGAAAGGATTCCCTATTTAATAAATGGTGCTGGGAAAACTGGCTAGCCATATGTAGAAAGCTGAAACTGGATCCCTTCCTTACACCTTATACCAAAATCAATTCAAGATGGATTAAAGACTTAAACGTTAGACCTAAAACCATAAAAACCCTAGAAGAAAACCTAGGCATTACCATTCAGGACATAGGCATGGGCAAGGACTTCATGTCTACAACACCAAAAGCAATGGCAACAAAAGTCAAAATTGACAAATGGGATCTAATTAAACTAAAGAGCTTCTGCACAGCAAAAGAAACTACCATCAGAGTGAACAGGCATCCTACAAAATGGGAGAAAATTTTTGCAATTTACTCATCTGACAAAGGGCTAATATCCAGAATCTACAATGAACTCAAACAAATTTACAAGAAAAAAACAAACAACCCCATCAAAAAGTGGGCAAAGGACATGAACAGACGCTCCTCAAAGGAAGACACTTATGCAGCCAACAGACACATGAAAAAATGCTCACCATCACTGGCCATCAGAGAAATGCAAATCAAAACCACAATGAGATACCATCTCACACCACTTAGAATGGCAATCATTAAACAGTCAGGAAACAACAGGTGTTGGAGAGGATGCGGAGAAATAGGAACACTTTTTCACTGTTGGTGGTACTGTAAGCTAGTTCAACCATTGTGGAAGTCAGTGTGGCGATTCCTCAGGGATCTAGAACTAGAAATACCATCTAACCCAGCCGTCCCATTACTGGGTATATACCCAAAGGACTATAAATCATGCTGCTATAAAGACACGTGCACACTTACATTTATTGTGGCATTATTCACAATAGCAAAGACTTGGAAGCAACCCAAATGTCCAACAATGATAGACTGGATTAAGAAAATGTGGCACATATACACCATGGAATACTGCAGCCCTAAAAAATGATGAGTTCATGTCCTTTGTGGGGACATGGATGAAATTGGAAATCATCATTCTCAGTAAACTATCACAAGAAGAAAAAAACAAACACCGCATATTCTCACTCATAGGTGGGAATTGCACAATGAGAACACATGGACACAGGAAGAGGAATATCACACTCTGGGACTGTTGTGGGGTGGGAGGAGGGGGGAGGGATAGCATTGGAAAATATACCTAATGCTAAATGACGAGCTAGTGGGTGCAGTGCACCAGCATGGCAGATGTATACATATGTAACTAACTTGCACATTGTGCACATGTACCCTAAAACTTAAAGTATAATAATAATAAAAAAAGAAAAAAAATTAAAAATTCATTGAAACAAATAAAAATGCAACTAAAACATACAGACATCTACGGGGTACAACAAAAACAGTACTAAGAGAAAAGTACAGAGTAATAAACACCAACACCAAAAATGTAGAAATACTTCAAATAAACAACTTAATGATGCACCTCAAGAAACAAGCAGAGTAAGAACAAACCTACAATTAATAGAAAGAAAATAATAATAAATATTGGGCATAAATAAATAAAATTGAGGGAAAAAGTATAAAACGTTGACAAAATGAAGAGTTTGTTTCTTAAAAACATAAAATTGACCAAACCTTAACTGGGCTAAGAGAAAAAGAGAGAAGATCCATATAAATAAAATCAGAAATAAAAAAGGAGACATAAAATAGAGACCACAAAATACATGAAGATTATCACAGACTATTATTAAAAACTACACACCAACAAATTAGAAAACTAGAAGAAATACATAAACTCCTGGATACATACAATCTACCAAAATTACATCATGAAGAAATAGAAAACCTCAACAAACCAATAATAAGTAACAATATCAAAGTTGTAATTATAAGGCTCCCATCAAAGGAAATACCAGGGCATAATTGCTTTACTGCTGAATTCTACAAAATGTTTAAAGAGGAATTAACACCAATTCTACTGAAACTTTTCCAAAAAATTGAAGTTTGAATACTTTCAAACTTTTTCTCAGGCCACCATTATCCCGATACCAAAACTAGGCATAGATACAGCAACAACAAATAAAACAAAAGTACAGGTCAATATCTATCACTGATGAATATAGATGTAAATATCCTAATTAAAATACTATCAAACCAAGTTAAACACCACATTAAAAGAATGATTCACTATGATCAGGTGGTATTCATCCCAATAATGTAAGGATGGTTCAACATATGCAAATCAATAAATGCCACACAATAAGAGAACCAAACCAAAAACATAATAATTCTAATAAATGCTAAAAATGCATTTGAAAAAATTCACCATCCCCTTATGATATAAAATCTTCAACAAACTGAGAATATGAGAATCATACCTTAAAATGATAAAGGCCATATATGACAAAGTGACAGCTAAAGTAATGTTTACTGAGGAATAACTGAAAACTTTTTCTCTAAGAGTAGAAACAAGTCAAGAATATCTGCTTTTTCCACTTTTACTTAATGTATATTGGAATTCCTGGTCAGAAAAGTAAGACAAGAGAAAAAAATAAACAGGGCATTTATACTGGAAACAAATCAAATTATCTTTTTGTAAAGACAACATGGTCTTACTTTATAAAGCCCTAAAGATGCCATCAAAAACCTCTTATTACTAATAAACAAATTCAGTAAAGTTAATTAACATACAAACATTAGTAGCATATATATATATATATACACATATATATATATACACACACATATATATACACATATATATATACACATATATATATATACACATATATATATACACATATATATATACACATATATATATACACATATATATATATACACATATATATATACACATATATATATACACATATATATATACACATATATATATATACACATATATATATATTTAACAATAATCTATTGTTAGGAATCTAAATCATTCTATGATAGATACATGCACGTATATGTTCATTGCTATTCCCAATAACAAAGGCATGAAATAAACATAAATGGTGTTATCCTTATTAAACAAACACAGGAACAGAAAACCAAATACTACATGTTCTCACTTATAGGTGGAAGCTAAATTATGAGAACACATGGACACATAGAGGGTAACAAAACACACTGGGGACTATTAGAGGGTGGAGGGTAGGAGGTGGGAAAGGATTAGGAAAGATAATTAATGGGTACTAGGCTAAATATCTAAGTGATGAAATAATCTGTACAACAAACCCCATAATACAAGTTTAGCCATATAACAGACCTGCACATGTACCCCTGAAGTTAGATTTTAAAAATAAAGTATTTTCAGCTTAGTGTCCTTTAATTGTTATCCAATAAAGTCAAAATAAATGAAAGGAAAATATATATTGTAAATATATATTATATATATAACTATATGTATATATTGTTCACCAACCGTCACTAAGCTGATGCCTTCTCAGATATTTAAGTGTCAGGTTCATTCTGTAGTACATTCCTCAAGAGGTGTTCATAGAAAAAAATATATTTTTCATGTTAATAGTAAGTTGTTTACTATCTTTATACTTGAAGATTAAGTTATATAAAAAATTCATAATGTACATTTTTCTGAGTCTCTTAAAAATGTTACTTCAGTATTTTCTGACATAAAGTATTGCTATTATAAACCATAGCACTAATATGATTTTCTTTTATATGTGAGTCACTTTGTTTTTTGACTAAATGCCCTAATGATGTTTTTTTTTTTCTTATTTTGTCTTGTGTCTGTGTGTTTGTTTTTATTTTTACTAGAATTTAAATGCTTGGCATGTAAAAAATATCAGATTCATCTGAGTTGTTTTTGCACAGTGCAGCACAGTGGCTTAGGTAGAGTAAATGTTAGGTGATTCAGTGGAAATATACTTCTTTTTTCACAATTATTTTTTATTTTACTTTAAGTTCTGGGATACATGTGCAAAATGTGCAGGTTTTTTACATAGACATACATGTGCCATGGTGAATTACTGCACCTATCAACCCATCATCTAGGTTTTAAGCACCACTCGAATTAGGTATTTGTCCTAATGCTCTCCCTCCCGTAGCCCCACATCCCCAACAGGCCCCAGTGTGTGATGTTCCCCTACCTGTGTCCATGTGTTCTCTTTGTTCAACTCCCACTTATGAGTGAGAACATGCAGTGTTTGATTTTCTGTTCCTGTGTTAGTTTGCTGAGAATGATAGCTTCCAGCTTCATCCATGTCCCTGCAAAGAACATGAACGCATGCTTTTTTTATGGATGCATATAGTATTCCATGGTGTGTATGTGCCACATTTTCTTTATCCAGTGTTCATTGACGGGCATTTGGGTTGGTTCCAAGTCTTTGCTATTGTAGACAGTGCTGCAAATAAAACATCTGTGTGTACGTGTCTTTATAGTATAATGATTTATAATCCTTTGCATATATACCAATCTTTTTTTATTTTATTATTATTATACATTAAGTTTTAGGGTACATGTGCACAATGTGCAGATTAGTTACATATGTATACATGGGCCAGGCTGGTGTGCTGCACCAAATAACTCGTCATTTAGCATTAGGTATATCTCCTAATGCTATGCCTCCCCACTCCCCCGACCCCACAACAGTCCCCAGAGTGTGATGTTCCCCTTCCTGTGTCCATGTGATCTCATTGTTCAATTCGCACCTATGAGTGAGAACATGCGGTGTTTGCTTTTTTGTCCTTGCGATAGTTTACTGAGAATGATGATTTCCAATTCCATCCATGTCCCTACAAAGGACATGAACTCATCATTTTTTAGGGCTGCATAGTATTCCATTGTGTATATGTGCCACATTTTCTTAATCCAGTCTATCATTGTTGGACATTTGGGTTGCTTCCAAATCTTTGCTATTGTGAGTAGTGCCGCAATAAACATATGTGTGCATGTGTCTTTATAGCAGCATGATTTATAGTCCTTTGGGTATATACCCAGTAATGGGATGGCTGGGTCAGATGGTATTTCTAGTTTTAGATCCCTGAGGAATCGCCACACTGACTTCCACAATGGTTGAACTAGCTTACAGTACCACCAACAGTGAAAAAGTGTTCCTATTTCTCCGCATCCTCTCCAACACCTGTTGTTTCCTGACTGTTTAATGATTGCCATTCTAAGTGGTGTGAGATGGTATCTCATTGTGGTTTTGATTTGCATTTCTCTGATGGCCAGTGATGGTGAGCATTTTTTCATGTGTTTTTTGGCTGCATAAATGTCTTCTTTTGAGAAGTGTCTGTTCATGTCCTTTGCCCACTTTTTGATGGGGTTGTTTGTTTTTTTCTTGTAAATTTGTTTGAGTTCATTGTAGATTCTGGATATTAGCCCTTTGTCAGATGAGTAGGTTGTGAAAATTTTCTCCCATTTTGTAGGATGCCTGTTCACTCTGATGGTAGTTTCTTTTGCTGTGCAGAAGCTCTTTAGTTTAATTAGATCCCATTTGTCAATTTTGACTTTTGTTGCCATTGCTTTTGGTGTTGTAGACATGAAGTCCTTGCCCATGCCTATGTCCTGAATGGTAATGCCTAGGTTTTCTTCTAGGGTTTTTATGGTTTTAGGTCTAACGTTTAAGTCTTTAATCCGTAATGAATTAATTTTTGTATGAGGTGTAAGGAAGGGATCCAGTTTCAGCTTTCTACATATGTTTGGCCAGTTTTCCCAGCACCATTTATTAAATAGGGAATCCTTTCCCCATTGCTTGTTTTTGTCAGGTTTGTCAAAGATCAGATAGTTGTAGATATGTGGCGTTATTTCTGAGGGCTCCGTTCTGTTCCATTGATCTATATCTCTGTTTTGGTACCAGTACCATACTGTTTTGGTTACTATAGCCTTGTAGTATAGTTTGAAGTCAGGTAGCATGATGCCTCCAGCTTTGTTCTTTTGGCTTAGGATTGACTTGGCAATGTGGGCTCCTTTTTGGTTCCATATGAACTTTAAAGTAGTTTTCTCCAATTCTGTGAAGAAAGGCATTGGTAGCTTGATGGGGATGGCATTGAATCTATAATTTACCTTGGGCAGTATGGCCATTTTCATGATATTGATTCTTCCTACCCATGAGCATGGAATGTTCTTCCATTTGTTTGTATCCTCTTTTATTTCATTGAGCAGTGGTTTTTAGTTCTCCTTGAAGAGGTCTTTCTCATCCCTTGTAAGTTGGATTCCTAGGTATTTTATTCTTTTTGAAGCAATTGTAAATGGGAGTTCACTCATGATTTGGCTCTCTGTCTGTGATTGGTGTATAAGAATGCTTGTGATTTTTGTACATCGATTTTGTATCCTGAGACTTTGCTGAAGTTGCTTATCAGCTTAAGGAGATTTTGGGCTGAGACAATGGGGTTTTCTAGATATACAATCATGTCATCTGCAAACAGGGACAATTTGACTTCCTCTTTTCCTAATTGAATACCCTTTATTTCCTTCTCCTGCCTGATTGCCCTGGCCACAACTTCCAACACTATGTTGAATAGGAGTGGTGAGAGAGGGCATCCCTGTCTTGTGCCAGTTTTCAAAGGGAATGCTTCCAGTTTTTGCCCATTCAGTATGATATTGGCTGTGGGTTTGTCATAGATAGCTCTTATCATTTTGAGATACGTCCCATCAATACCTAATTTATTAAGAGTTTTTAGCATGAAGGGTTGTTGAATTTTGTCAAAGGCCTTTTCTGCTTCTATTGAGATAATCATGTGGTTTTTGTCTTTGGTTCTGTTTATATGCTGGATTACATTTATTGATCTGTATATATTAAACCAGCCTTGCATCCCACGGATGAAGTCACCTTGATCCTGGTGGATAAGCTTTTTGATGTGTTGCTGGATTTGGTTTGGCAGTATTTTACTGAGGATTTCTGCATCAATGTTTATCAAGGTTATTGGTCTAAAATTCTCTTTTTTGGTTGTGTCTTTGCCCGACTTTGGTATCAGGATGATGCTGGCCTCATTCCCTCTTTTTCTATTGATTGGAATAGTTTCAAAGGAATGGTACCAGTTCCTCCTTCTACCTCTGGTCGAATTCAGCTGTGAATCCATCTGGTCCTGGACTCTTTTTGGTTGGTAAGCTATTGATTATTGCCACAATTTCAGAGCCTGTTATTGGTCTATTCAGAGATTCAACTTCTTCCTTGTTTAGTCTTGGGAGGGTGTGTGTGTCGAGAAATTTATCCATTTCTTCTAGATTTTCTAGTTCATTTGCGTAGAGATGTTTGTAATGTTCTCTGATGGTAGTTTGTATTTCTGTGGGATCGGTGGTAATATCCCCTTTATCATTTTTTGTTGCATCTATTTGATTCTTCTCTCTTTTCTTCTTTATTAGTCTTGCTAGTGGTCTATCAATTTTGTTGATCCTTTCAAAAAACCAGCTCCTGGATTCATTGATTTTTTGAAGGGTTTTTTGTGTCTCTATTTCCTTCAGTTCTGCTCTGATTTTAGTTTATCTCTTGCCTTCTGCTAGCTTTTGAATGTGTTTGCTCTTGCTTTTCTAGTTCTTTTAATTGTGATGTTAAGGTGTCAATTTTGGATCTTTCCTGCTTTCTCTTGTGGGCATTTAGTGCTACAAATTTCCCTCTACACACTGCTTTGAATGTGTCCCAGAGATTCTGGTATGTTGTGTCTTTGTTCTCCTTATTTTAAAGAACATCTTTATTTCTGCCTTCATTTCATTATGTATCCAGTAGTGATTCAGGAGCAGGTTGTTCAGTTTCCATGTAGTTGAGCAGTTCTGAGTGAGTTTCTTAATCCTGAGTTCTGCTTTGATTGCACTGTAGTCTGAGAGAGAGTTTGTTATAATTTCTGTTCTTTTACATTTGCTGAGGAGAGCTTTACTTCCAACTATGTGGTCAATTTTGGAATAGGTGTGGTGTGGTGCTGAAAAAAATGTATATTCTGTTGATTTGGGGTGGAGAGTTCTGTAGATGTCTATTAGGTCTGCTTGGTGCAGAGCTGAGTTCAATTCCTGGGTATCCTTGTTAACTTTCTGTCTCATTGATCTGCCTAATGTTGACAGTGGGGTGTCAAAGTCTCCCATTATTATTGTGTGGGAGTCTAAGTCTCGTTGTAGGTCACTCAGGACTTGCTTTATGAATCTGGGTGCTCCTGTATTGGGTGCATATATATTTAGGATATTTAGCTCTTCTTGTTGAATTGATCCCATTACCATTATGCAATGGCCTTCTTTGTCTCTTTTGATCTTTGTTGGTTTAAAGTCTGTTTTATCAGAGACTAGGATTGCAACCTCTGCTTTTTTTTGTTTTCCATTTGCTTTGTAGATCTTCCTCCATCCCTTTAATTTGACCCTATGTGTGTCTCTGCACATGAGATGGGTTTCTTGAATACAGCACACTGATGGGTCTTGACTCTTTATCCAATTTGCCAGTCTGTCTTTTAATTGGCGCATTTAGTCCATTTACATTTAATGTTGATATTGTTATGTGTGAATTTGATCCCGTCATTATGATTTTAGCTGGTTATTTTGCTCGTTAGTTGATGCAGTTTCTTCCTAGCCTCGATGGTCTTCACAATTTGGTATGATTTTGCAGTGGCTGGTACCAGTTGTTCCTTTCCATGTTTAGTGTTTCCTTCAGGAGCTCTTGTAGGGCAGGCCTGGTGGTGACAAAATCTCTCAGCATTTGCTTCTCTGTAAAGTATTTTATTTCTCCTTCACTTATGAAGCTCAGTTTGGCTAGATATGAAATTCTGGGTTGAAAATTCTTTTCTTTAAGCGTGTTAAATATTGGTCCCCACTCTCTTCTGGCTTGTAGAGTTTCTGCCATGAGATCCACTGTTAGTCTGATGGGCTTCCCTTTGTGTGTAACCCGACCTTTCTCTCTGACTGCCCTTAACATTTTTTCCTTCATTTCAACTTTGGTGAATCTGACAATTATGTGTCTTGGAGTTGCTCTTCTCGAGGAGCATCCTTGTGGCGTTCTCTGTATTTCCTGAATGTGAATGTTGGCTTGCGTTGCTAGATTGGGGAAGTTCTCCTGGATAATATCCTGCAGAGTGTTTTCCAACTTGGTTCCATTCTCCCCGTCACTTTCAGGTACACCAATCAGATGTAGATTTGGTCTTTTCACATAGTTCCATATTTCTTGGAGGCTTTGTTCATTTCTTTTTATTCTTTTTTCTCTAAACTTCCCTTCTCGCTTCATTTCATTCATTTCGTCTTGCATCACTGATACCCTTTCTTCCAGTTGATTGCATCGGCTCCTGAGGATTCGGCATTCTTCACGTAGTTCTTGAGCCTTGGCTTTCAGCTCCATCAGCTCCTTTAAGCACTTCTCTGTTCTGGTTATTCCAGTTATACATTCGTCTAAATTTTTTTCAAATTTTTAACTTCTTTGCCTTTGCTTTGAATTTCCTCCTGTAGCTCAGAGTAGTTTGATTGTGTGAAGCCTTCTTCTCTCAACTCGTCAGGCATTCTCCGTCTAGCCTTGTTCCATTGCTGGTGAGGAGCTGCATTCCTTTGGAGGAGGAGAGGTGCTCTGATTTTTAGAGTTTCCCGTTTTTCTGTTCTGTTTTTTCCCCATCTTTGTGTTTTTATCTACTTTTGGTCTTTGATGATGGTGATGTACAGATGGGATTTTGGTGTGGATGTCCTTTCTGTTTGTTAGTTTTCCTTCTAACAGACAGGACCCTCAGCTGCAGGTCTGTTGGAGTTTGCTAGAGGTCCACTCCAGACCCTGTTTGCCTGGGTATCAGCAGCAGTGGCTGCAGAACAGCTGATTTTCGTGAACTGCGAATGCTGCTGTCTGATCGTTCATCTGGAACTTTTGTCTCAGAGGAGTACCTGGCCGTGTGAGGTGTCAGTCTGCCCCTACTGGTGGGTGTCTCCCAGTTAGGCTGCTTGGTTGTCAGGGGTCAGAGGCCCACTTGAGAAGGCAGTCTGCCCGTTCTCAGATCTCCAGCTGCATGCTGGGAGAACCACTGCTCCCTTCAAAGCTGTCAGGGACATTTAAGTCTGCAGAGGTTACTGCTGTCTTTTTGTTTGTCTGTGCCCTGCCCCCAGAGGTGGAGCCTACAGAGGCGGGCAGGCCTCCTTGAGCTGTGTTGGGCTCCACCCAGTTCGAGCTTCCAGGCAGCTTTGTTTGCCTAATCAAACAACTAACTCGGCAATGGCTGGCACCCCTTCCCCAGCCTCTCTGCCGCCTTGCAGTTTGATCTCAGACTGCTGTGCTAGCAATCAGCGAGACTCCGTGGGCGTAGGACCCTCCAAGCCAGATGCGGGATATAATCTCCTGGTGCGCTGTTTTTTAAGCCCATCGGAAAAGCACAGTATTGGGGCAGGAGTGACCCGATTTTCCAGGTGCCGTCTGTCACCCCTTTCTTTGACTAGGAAATGGAACTCCCTGACCCCTTGCAATTCCTGAGTGAGGCAATGCCTCACCCTGCTTCGGCTCACACATGGTGCACTGCACCCACTGTCCTGTGCCCACTGTCTGGCACTCCCTAGTGAGGTGAACCCGGTACCTCGGATGGAAATGCAGAAATCACCTGTCTTCTGCGTCGCTCACACTGTGAGCTGTAGACCAGAGCTGTTCGTATTCGGCCACCTTGGCTGCCAGCCACCCTATATACCAACCTTTTATCAAGTTTCTTATCTTCCTTGCATTGGGTTAGAACATGTTCCTTTAGCTCAGAGGAGTTTATGATTACCCACTTGCTGAAGCCTACTTCTGTCAATTCATCCAACTCATTCTCCATCCAGTTTTGTTCCCTTGCTGGAGAGTAGTTGAGATAATTTGGAGGAAAAGAGCATTCTGGTTTTTGGAATTTTCAGCACTTTTGTGCTGGTTTTCCCTCATCTTCATGGATTTATCTACCTTTGATCTTTGATGCCAATGACCTCTGAATGGGGTTATTGTGTGGGCATCCTTTTTGTTGATGTTGATGTTATTGGTTTTTGTTTGTTAGTTTTCCTTCTACCGGTCAGGCTCCTCTTCTGCCAGTCTGCTGCAGTTTGCTTGGGGTGCACTCCAGACCCTGTTCCCCTGACTATCACCTGTGGAGGCTGAAGAACAGCAAAGATTTCTGCCTGCTCATTCCTCTGGAAGCTTCATCCTAGAGGGGCAGTGGCCTGATGCCAGCCAGAGCTCTCCTATATAGTTTATTTTGACACCTGTTGGGAAGTTTTCCCAGTCAGGAGGCTCACAGGCCAGGGACCCACTTGAGGAGGCAGTCAGTCCTGTAACAGAGCTAGCTTGCTGTGCTGGGAAAATCCTGCTTGTCAGGATCAGCTGCTCTCTTCAGAGCAGGCAGGAATGATTAAATCTGCTGAATTGGTGCCCACAGCTGCCCCTTCCCCCAGGTGTTCTGTCCTAGGAAGAAGGGAGGTTTGTCTGTAAGCCCCAGACTGGGGCTGTTACCTTTCCTTTGGAGATGTGCTGCCCAGTGAGGAAGAATCTAGAGAAGCAGTCTGGCCACAGCTGCTTTGCTGCACACAGCCCAGACCTCCCCTCTTTTTTCTTATTTTGAAAAAATAAATAATTTTTACTAAAATATATCTCAATATTAGCCCTTCTGATTCAATCTCCCAAGTACATGGTATTCCTATATAGTATATATCATAAAATTTGCTTTTTTTACAGGAAAACTTTTCAGAATAGTAATTTTAGCTTTGGATTAAGAGAAGAGTGTTAACATCTTCTATTATAACTGTCTACTTACTTACTATATTATGCTGACTGTCTTTATAATTACTGTGCATAGTACTGAATTTTAATATAAAATATTCATAATCAATATCTTGATTTTATATAAAGATGCTCTGAGTTTTCTTTTTTTCTAGTTTAATTTATTTTATTATTTTTTATTATTTATTTTTCTGCAGGTATCAACCCATCATCTAGGTTTTAAGCCCCACATACATTAGGTATTTCTCCTAATGCTTACCCCCCACCCCTTGACAGGCCCCGGTGTGTGATTATTTCCTCCCTGTGTCCATGTGTTCTCATTGTTCAGCTCCCACTTATGAATGAGAACATGTGGTGTTTGGTTTTCTGTTCCTGTGTTAGTTTGCTAATGATGATGGTTTCCAGCTTCACCTATGTCCCTGCAAAGGACATGAACTGATTCTTTTTTATGACTGCATAGTATTCCATGGTGTACATGTGCCACATTTTCTTTATCCAGTCTATCACTGATGGACATTTGGTTTGGTTCCAAGTCTTTGTTATTGTAAATAGTACTGCAATAAACATTCATGTGTATATGTATTTATAGTAGATTGATTTATAATCTTTTGGGTACATATGCAGTAATGGGATTGCTGGGTCAAATGGTATTTCTTGTTCTATATCCTTGAGGAATCACCCCACTGTCTTCCACAATGGGTAAACTAATTTAAACTCCCACCAACTGTGTAAAAGTGTTCCTATTTCTCCACATCCTCTCCAGAATTTGTTGTTTCCTGACTTTTTAATGATCGCCATTCTAACTGATGTGAGATGGTATCTCATTGTGGTTTTGATTTGCATTTCTCTAGTAACCAGTGATGATTTTTTTTTTCATGAATTTGTTGGCCTCATAAATATCTTCTTTTGAGAAGTGTCTGTTCCTATCCTTCTCCCATTTTTTTGATGGGGTTGTTTGGTTTTTTTTCTTGTAAATTTGTTTAAGTTCCTTGTAGATTCTGGCCCTTTGTCAGATGGATAGATTGCAAAAATTTCCTCCCATTGTATAGGTTGTCTGTTCACTCTGATGATTGTTCATTTTCTGTGCAGAAGCTCTTTAGTTGAATTAGATCCCATTTGCCAATTTTGGCTTTCGTTGCAATTGCTTTTGGTGTTTTAATCATGAAGTCTTTGCTCATGCTTATGTCCTGAATGGTACTGCCTAGGTTTTCTTCTAGGGTTTTTATGGTTTCAGGTTTTATGCTTAAGTCTTTAATCCATCTTGAGTTAATTTTTGTATAACGTGCAAGGAAGGGGTCCAGTTTTAGTTTTCTGCATATGGCTAGCCAGTTTTCCCATCATCATTTATTAAATAGGGAATCATTTGCCACATTGTGGTGAGTTCTGCCTAGCCTGAACTTCCCAGCAGCTTCCTTAACACTGAGCGGGGAAAACCACATACTGAAGCCTCAGTTATGGTGGATGTCCCTCCCCACACCAAGCTCGATCATCCCAGTTCAACTTCAGACTGCTGTGGCTTGCAGTGAGAATTTTAAGCCAGTTGTTCTTAGCTTGCTGGGTTCCATGGGAGTGGGACCCTCTGAGTGAGACCACTTGGCTCCCTGGCTTCAGCCCCTTTCCAGGGGACTGAACAGTTCTGTCTCACTGGGGTTCCAGGGGCCATTGAGGAAGGGGGAGGGGGGAAACTCCTGCAGCTAGCTCAGTGTCTGCCCAAACAGCCGCCAAGTTTTGTGCTTGAAACCCAGGGCCCTGGTCATTTAGGCACACAAGGGAATCTCCTGGTCTGCGAGTTGCAAAAATCATGGGAGAAACATAGTATCTGGGCCTGATAGCATGGTCCCTCATGGCTTCCCTTAGCTAGGGGAGGGAGGTCCTTGGCCCCTTGCACTTCCTGGGTGAGTCAATGCCCCACCCTGCTTCTGCTTGCCCACCGTGGGCTGCACCCACTGTCTCACCAGTCCCAATGAGATGAATCAGGTACCTCAGTTGGAAATGCAGAAATCACCTGCCTTCTGCATTGGTCTGACTAGGAGCTGCAGACTAGAGCTGTTCCTATTTGGCCATCTTCGCTCTGAGTTTTTCTAACTATGCCCTCTGTAGAAGCCTAAAAATAATGACTAAACCAATAGTAGACCAGGTTGTGATCTTAAATACCAATTCTTACCATAAAGAACAAGGTATTTTTGAATAAATAACTAAATTCATGATGGTGTATGTAACATATAAGATAAGCCTGGGACATCTTTTCAAACATGTAATTAAAAAACTATAAAAGACTATAACAGAAATTGAGAGCCAACTTGGAGAAACACCCAGTCTCCAAACTGTCTGAGGCTGGGCCTATTTATTAGCATTTCTCACCCTCAGCGTAAATACCTTCTGAAGCAGTGTTTCTCAAAATGGGGCTAATGAGAATCACTAGGTGTGCTAGTTGAAAACAGATTATCACACTCCATCCTAAACCTCAAGAATCAGAAACTCCACAGGTGAGACCTTGGCATAACTATCTTTATTAAGTGCCGCTGGGTGAGCTAGGTAATCTGCAAAGTTTAGGAAACATTGGCTTAGAAAAATCCGGCTACTGCTTGAGTTCAAGAGCATGAAATGAACCAAGATGTTTTATTTTTTTAAATAAACATTATTTCCTTGAGCAGTTTTACATTTACAGAGAAGCTGAGTAGATAATAAAGATTTCCCAAATATTTCACACCGATTTTTCTATTTTCCCTTATTTTTAGCTTCCTACATAAGTATGGTGTATTTGTTACAATTAGTGAACTGATGTTAATTTCTTGTTCTAATTAAGTGTATAGTTTATTCACATTTCCTCAGTTTTTGACCAAATGTTCCTTAGCTTCAGGAACACATCTTAGATACCACATTGCATTTAGAAGTCACATTTCCTTAGGCTGTTGTTGGCTGTGACACTTTTCCAGAGTTTCCTTGTTTATGATGACCTTGAAAGTTTTGTGGAGGAGGCAGAGCAAGATGGCCAAATAGAACACTCCAGTTATTATTCCCCTGACAGGAACACAAAATTGAATATTCACTCAAGAAAGCAGCTTCATAAGACCTAAAAATCAGGTGATTGGTCACAGTAATGGTTTTAGCATTCTATCAAGGAAAGAGGCACTGAATAGCGTAGAAAAGACAGTCTTGAATTGGTAATACCACTCCTCCCCCATCTTCCAGCAATACAGTGTGGCACAGAGAAGGAATATGTTTGTAGGAGGGAGAGTAAGGCTACTGTGGGACTTAACATTGGAACTTAGTGCTGCCCTGTCATAGTGAAAAGCAAAACAGGGCAGAATTAAGCTGGCACCAAGGGATGGAGCATTTAAATCAGCCCTAACCGGAAGTGAATTGTCCCTCCTAGCATTCGGAACCAAAATTCCAGCTAGCTCCTCCAACATGGCCTAAAGCACTCTGGGGTCCTATCTAAACATAGACTGCCTAAAAAAGGCAGTCTAGGCCACAAAAACTGCCATTTCTGGGCAAATATTATTGCTGTGCTGGGCTCAGAGCCAGTGGACCTAGGTGCATATGGTCCAGGGAGCCACCAGCTCGGGAAGCCAAGGGAGTGCTTGCACCACCCCTTCCAAAACTCCAGGAGGAGTAGCTCACAGATCTGGGAGGAGAGGAAATAATAAAGAGAATTTTATCTTGCAACTTGGATGTCAGCTAAGCCACAGTAGAATATAGCACAAAGCAGAGTCCTAAAGTGCCCATTCCAGGCCATAGCTTCCAGATGACATTTCTAGATCGACCTTGGGCAAGAAGAGAACCCATTGCCCTGAAGGGAAAGATTCAGTCCTGGTAAAATTCAACTCCTGGTGACTGAAGAGCCCTTGGGCTTTGAATAAATATCAGCAGTAGCCAAGAAGCAGTTACCATGGGCCTTGAGCTAGACCCAGTATTGTGCTGGCTTCAGCTGGGAACCAGCACAGTCCCAGCTTTGTAGCCATAGGGAGAGACTTCTTCTGCTTGAGAAAACAAAAGGGAAGAGTAAAAAGAAATTTGTCTTGCAACTTGGGTACCAGCTTAGCCACAGTAAAACAAAGCACCAAGCAGACTCCTAAAGTCCCCATTTCCAGGCTTTACCCCCTAGCCCATTCTGGTTCAGAAGGGAACCCACTACCCTGAAAGGAGAGAATCAATCCTAGCAGGATTTGTCACTTGCTGACTAAAGAGCCATTGGGCCTTGAATAAGCATCAGTAGTAGCCAAGAGATAGTCACCACAGGTCTTAAGTGAGACATAGTACTGTGCTATTTTCAGGTGGGACCCAGCACAGTCTTAGCAGTGGTATGCACGGAAATGTGTCACCCTCCCCCATCTCCGGGCAACTCAGCTTGGAGAGAGAGACTCCATTTGCTTGAGGGAATGTTAGGGGAAGAAAACAAGAAAATCTGCCTGATAATCCAACGAGTTTTCCTGGATCTTACCCAAGACCACTGAGGTAGTATCTCTGCAAGTCTAGAGGAAACACAGCATTACTGGGTTTGGAGTGCCCCTAATGCACATATGGCTACAGTGACTAAAGGCTTACATCATAACACTCAACTTTTATTAAATACTTGGAAAGCCTTCTCAAGAAGGACAGGAAAAAACAAGCCCAGATGACAAGTATTAGAATAAATTCCTAACTCTTCAATGCCCAGGCATTGACATACGTCCACTAACATGAAGACCAACAAAGAAAACATGATCTCATGAAACAAACTAAATAAGGCACCAATGACCAGATTTGGAATGACAGAGATATGTGATATTGAAGAAAGAGAATTAAAGATGGATGTTTTGAGAAAGCTCAATGAAATTCAAGATAATGGAGAAATAATTCAGAATATTATCAGGTAAATTAAACAAAGAGCTAGAAATTATAAAAAATAAGCAAGGAAAAAAATTCTATAGCTGAAAAATTCAACTAACAAACAGATAAATGCATCAGAGTCTCTTAATAGCAGAATTGATCAAGCAGAAGAAAGAAATAATGATGTTGAAGACAGGGTATTTAAACATACATGGTCAGAGTAGTCAAAAGAAATAAGAATAAAAAATAATGAAGCATACCTATAGGGTCTGCAAAATAGCCTCAAACGTGCAAATCTAAGAGTTATTGGCCTTAAAAAGAAGGTAGAGAGAGATCTGGATAGAAAGTTTATTCGAACACATAACACAGAACTTTTCAAATTTAGAAGAATGTATCAACGTTAAAGTACAAGAAGATTATAGAACACCGAGCAAATTTAAACAAAATAAGATTACTCTAGGCCTTTATTAATCAAACTCCCAAAGATCAAGAATAAAAAAGGAACCTAAAAGCAGCAAGAAAATGGAAATAACATATAAAGGAGTTCCAACACATCTGGCAGCAGACATCTCAGTTGAAACCTTATAGTCCAGAAGGGAGTGACATGACATTTTGAAAGTGCTGAAGAAAAAAAAAAAAAAAAACTTATCATAGATTAGTATATCCAGAGAAAATATCCTTCAAACATGAAAAAAAAAATAAAGACTTCCCCAGACAAACAAAAGCTGAGAAATTTCATCAATACCAGACCTACAAGAAATGCTAAAGGGGGTTTTTCAAGCTGAAATAAAACAATGTTAATAAGCAATAATAAATTGTCTGAAAGTATAAAAGTCACTGGTAAGAGTAAGTACACAAATACAGACTATTATCACACTTTAATTTTGGTGTGAAAACTACTAGTATCTTGAGTAGGAAGACAAAGACAAACCTATCAAACAGAATAACTACAACATTTTAAGATATAGCATAATAAAAGATATATAGAGAAACAAAAAAATTAAAAATGGAGGGATGAAGTTAAAGTGCAGAGTTTTTATCAGTTTTCTCTTTGCTGGTTTGTTAATTTTTTGTTTCTTATTGCGATCAGAGATAAGTTGTCATCAGTGTAAAATAATGAGTTACAAGATGTTATTTCGAAGCCTTAGGTAACCTCAAATCAAAAAACCTACAACAGATACAAAAAATATATAAAGCAAGAAATTAAATATACCACCAGAGAAAAGCAACTTCACAAATAGGAAGACAGGAAAGAAAGAAGGAAGAGAAGACTACAAAACAATAAGAAAACAAATAACAAAATGGCAGGAGTAAGTTGTTACTCATCAATAATTACATTGATTGTAAATGGAATAAATTCACCAAGCAAAGCATGTTGAGTGGCTGAATGGACAAGAAAAATGAGACTCAAAAATCTGTTGCCTACAGGAAATACACTTCACCTTAAAAACACATATAGATTAAAAATAAAGAGATGGAAGATGACATTCCATGTAAATGGAAACTAAAAATGAGCAGGAGTACCTAAGCTTATATCAGACAAAATAAATTTTACCTGATAAAACTATAAAATGATCAAAAGAAGGTTACTATATAATGATAAAGAGATCAATTCAGCAAGAGAATGTAACAATCGTAAATGTATATGGACCCAACGCTGGAGCATTCATATATATAAATAAAATACAATTAGATTTATATATAAATTAAATACTATTAGAACTCAATAGAAAAAATCTAATAATCTGATTTCTAAATGAGCAAAAGATCTGAATAGGCATTTCTGAAAAGAAGACATGCAAATGGCAAACAGGTATAAGGAAAGGTGCTCAACATGATTGATCATCAGAAAGATGCAAATCAGAACTACAATGAGATACTATCTCACTCCAGTTAAAATGGCTTTTTTCCTAAAGACAGGCAATAATGAATGCTGGTGATGGTGTGGAGAAAGGAGAATACTTGTACACTGTTGGTGAGAATGTCAATTAGTACAGCCATTATGGAGAATATTATGGAGATTCCTTTAAAAACTCAAAATGGAACTACCCTATGGTGCAGCAATTCCACTGCTAGGTATATACTCAAAGAAAGTAAATTAGTATATTGAAGAGATATCTGCATTACCTTGTGTATTGCACCACTATTCACAATATCCGAGATTTTGTATCAACCTAAATATCCATCAACAGAGGAATGGATTAAAGAAACATGGTACACATACACAATGGACTACTATTCATCCATAAAAAGGAATGAGATTCTGTAATTTGCAATAACATGGATGAAACTGGGCAGACATTTTTAATTTAAGTAAATTCCAACTTATTAATTAATTAATTTTTTAAAATTGTGCTTTATATCGTATTAAGTGATACAAGCCATGCACAGAAGGACCAGCTTTGCAAGTTCTCACTCATTTGTGGGAGGAAGAATTAAAATAATTGAGCTAATGGAGACAGAGAGTAGAATGATGTTTAAAAGAGGCTGGAAAGGGAAGTATGTGTATGTGGTGGAAGGGGCAGAAAATGGTGATGGTTAATGGGTACAAAAATACAGTTAGGTAGATTGAATAATAATATATAATATATAATAACATATAATAGTATTTGGTAGCACAACAGGGTGACTACAGTCAGCAGTAATTTGTTGTACATTTTAGAATAACTGAGTTCAAATGGAATGTTTGTAACACAAAGAAATGATGAATGCTTGAGATGATGAACACCCCATTTAACCTAAAGTGATTATTTACTGTACACCTGTACTAAAATATCTCTGGTATCATATAAATATGTACAACTTCTATGTACCCATAAACATTAAAAATTTAAAAATGTTAAAAAGAAAGTTTTAAGGAACAATTTTATAATTTCCCTCAATTAAGACTCGATGTTTTCCTTATGATTATACTGGGCTAATGAGTTTTGAGGAGGAAGAACACACATGTAAACTGCTATTTTCAAACATTATATCAAGGGTGCATACCACCTACTTGACTTATGAATGTTGAGGTCAATCTTGATCACCTGGCTGAGGTGCAGCTTTTCAGGCTTCTTCTAAAATCACTGTTTTTTACTCCTCTTTTCCATACTCAGCCAAATTGGGCTCAGTATCCATGTACACTATTTGAAAATCTTCTGCTTGGGATATTTGACTCTTCTCCCTTATTTATTTTTTATATCAGTATTGACTCATGGATATTCATTTTATATTTTGTGTTACAAGCCATTGCTACTTTATTTTGTTGCATAAATCATCCCGAGTTTGGCCAAAGGTAGCTCCTTTAGTTGGTTCCTCCGTCCCCTCGATATACAACCAATCAATGAGAGTCTTGTTGATGTTGTTGTTGAGCATTTCCTTACTTTCTGGCACTATGAGATTCTCCAGGCTGATCCTGAATAATGCCTGCCCTGGTCCATGGAATCAGCCACTTCTTTTAAGGTTCCTTTTATTGGGGAATTGTATTAGAAAGCAAGATCTAAGTGCTGGTGTACTCATTACTACTGGAGTGTTGTTGCTTTTAGAACCATATAGCTGACAGAAAACAGAAAGGGATTTGTGCACACTAATTTGTGTATATAAAAAATATTTGAATATTTTATTTGTAACCATCGGTAACCATATAATAAACTGATCTAAACAAGTGTTAATATTGATGTCTCAAAATTTATTCCATTACAACATAGAAAATTCTAGCCTCCTTCTTTGGTTTATCTATAATTTTTATGCCAAGGGTGAGAAACGTGGGTTTGTCATTTGCCATTCATTTAATAAAT
Organism: Homo sapiens; assembly: GCF_000001405.40. Classification (NCBI taxonomy): domain Eukaryota; kingdom Metazoa; phylum Chordata; class Mammalia; order Primates; family Hominidae; genus Homo; species Homo sapiens. The sequence goes on along the minus strand of NC_000023.11, from coordinate 57,698,865 downwards.
TGCTCAATCCCAATATAAAACTATAGTGGTATCAGAATTGTTAACCCATTCCTTCTGTGGGAAAAGATTTTGTCAACTACAATGTAATTTTTATGTGTAGCTCTTTTTACCTTTAATCTTATAGTATTCACTTATATCCAAAGTTGCTTAGGTCTGCAAATTTTTATCCTCCAACTCTTTCAATTCTATATATATTATAATATATATATTATATATATAATATATAATTTATATATAATATATATCATATAGAATTTATATATAATCTATAATATATAATTTATATATAATATATATCATATATAATTTATATATAATATATAATATATAATTTATATAATATATAATATATATAATATATAATTTATATATTATATAATATATATAATATATAAATTATATATATTATATAATATACATTATATATAAATTATACATATTATATAATATACATTATATATAAATTATATATATTATATAATATACATTATATATAAATTATATATATTATATAATATACATTATATATAAATTATATATATTATATAATATACATTATATATAATTTATATATCTTATATAATATATATAACATATAATTTATATATATTATATAATATATATAACATATAATTTATATATATTATATAATATATATATTATATAATTTATATATATTATATAATATATATAATATATAATTTATATATATATCATATAATATATATATTATATATATTATATATTATATATATTATATATAATATATATAATATATAATATATAATTTATATATATTATATATAATATATAATATATAATTTATACATATTTTCTATATAATATACATAATGTATAATTTATATGTATTTTTTATATAATATACATAATATATAATTTATATATTTTATATATAATATACATAATATATAATTTATATATATTTTATATATAATATACATAACATATCATTTATATATATTTTATATATAATATATATTACATATAATATACATGTTATATTATATAATATATGTAATATATAATTTATATATATATTATATATAATATATAATATATAATTTATATATTATATTATATACTATATATTATATATATTTTTATATTATATTATATATAATTTATATATGTTATATTATATACAATTTATATATGTTATATTATATATAATTCATATATGGTATATTATATATAATTTATATATAATATTCTATATAATTTATATATAATATTATATAAATTATATATAATATTATATATAATTTATATATGTTATATTATATATAAATTATATAATATTATATTATATATAATTTATATATGTTTTATTATATATAATTTATAATTATATTATATTTAATTTATATATGTTATATTATATATTTTTTATATATATTATATTATATATAATTTATATATGTTATATTATATATAATTTATATATATTATTATATATAATTTATATATTATATATAATTTATCTATGTTATATATAATTTATATATGTTATATATAATTTATATATATTGTATATAATTTATATATTGTACATAATTTATATATAGTGTATAATTTATATATAGTATATAATTTATATATATTATATTATATATAATTTATATATATTATAAAAAATTTATTTATATTATATTATATATAATTTATATGTATAATACTATATATAATATATAATTTACATGTATAATACTATATAAAATATATATTTTATATAATTTATATATATTATATTATATATTATATATATTATATATTATATATAATATATATTATATATTTTATATATTTTATATATATTTTATATATTTTATATATAATTTATATATATATAATTATATATATGAGTTAATGTTTCTCATCACAGACTGCATTTCTTACTGGGATCCTCCACATAACTCGATGATTACTTAAAGTTTGCATGCATTAATAAATATCCTTTGTGATATCAAGTTCTACAGATTTTGACAGATGTATAATGACATAATAATATCCACCATTACAGTACCATACAGAATATTTGTAACATCCCAAAATGCTTATTTTGCCTCATCTATTTAACCTATTATTCCTCCTCTTGAACCCCTGACAGCCACCGATATTTTCTTTCTTTAGTTACTAGTTTTGCCTTTTCTAGAATGACATATAATTCGAATCATGCAGCGTGTAGGCTTCCAGACTGTTTTTCTCACTTAGCAATACGAATTTAAGGCCTACACATTTTTTTCATGATTTCATAGCTCAAGATTTGTTTTTATCAAAAGAATTCAAGTGTATAATTATAGCATATTTTGTTTATCTATTCACCTACTGGAAGACACGTTGGTTGCTTCCAGTTCTTGGTAACTAATAATAAAGTGGGCATAAAACATTAACATATAGGTTTTTGCATGGACATATTTTTCAAATCGATTAGTAAAAACTCAGGAGAATGATGGATTGTATGGTAAGACTGTGATTAGGTTTGTAAGAAACTGAAAAACTCACTTCCAAAGTAGCTGTACTATTTTGCATTTCCACCAGCAATGGATGAGTGTTCCTGTTTCTCTGCATTCTCACCAGCATTTGAGATTGTCAGCTTTTAAATTGTAGTAATTTTAATAGGTGTGTAGTGGTACTTGGTAGTTTGAAGTTACAATTATTTAAAGACAAATAATATTGAACTTCATTTCTGCTTATTGGAAATCTGTATACATTTCTTGGTGAGGTGCCTATTTGAGTCTTTTGCCAAGTTATTATTTGCATTGTGTATTTTCTTATTGTTGAGTTTCAAGAGTTATTTGTATATTTTGCCCACAAGTCCTTTATCAGGTAAGTCTTTTATAAATATTTTCTCCTAGTCTGTGCCTTGTCTTTTCATCCTGCTAACAATGACTTCCACAGGGCAGATGTTTTTAATTTCAGTAAAGTCCAACTTATTAATTTTTTTCTTTCTTGAAATGTACCTTAGTGTTGTATCTAACACTCATCACCAAACCTATGGCCAATCATATTTTTGCTTGTTTGTATTCTGTAGTTTTATAATTTTGCATTTAACATTTAAGTATATGATTTATTTTAACATAATTTGTGTGAACATTGTAATGTATCTGTTGAAATTCATTTTTTTGTAACATGAATGTCCAGTTCTTTCAACACCACTTGTTGAAAAAACTATTCTTTCTTTATTAAGTTTTCTTTTCTTTTCTGTCATAGATTGGTTTACCCTGCTCGTGTGAGTCCACATGTATATCTGAGCTCTGTATTATGTTCCATGGATCTATGTATTTACTCCTTCACCAATACCACAGTTTGTTAATTACTTTAGTTTTATAGTAATTCTAGAAGTTGAGAAGCTTGAGTCTTCTAAATTAGGCTTCCTTTAGTATTCTGTTGACTGTCTAGGTCTTTGACGTTTCCCTACAAACTTTAGAATAAGTCTGATAACATCTACAAAATACCTTGCTGAATTTTGATTGAAATTTTGTTCACTATAAAATAAAGTGGGAAAACCTAGCAACTAGCTATATTGAATCTTTCAATATATAAACATGGCTCCATAAAAGAAGACATTTATGCAATCAAAAGACACATGAAAAAATGCTCATCATCACTGGCCATCAGAGAAATGCAAATCAAAACCACAATGAGATACCATCTCACACCAGTTAGAATGGTGATCATTAAAAAGTCAGGAAACAACAGGTGCTGGAGAGGATGTGGAGAAATAGGAGCACTTTTACACTGTTGGTGGGACTGTAAACTAGTTCAACCATTGTGGAAGTCAGTGTGGCGATTCCTCAGGGATGTAGAACTAGAAATACCATTTGACCCAGCCATCCCATTACTGGGTATATACCCAAAGGATTATAAATCATGCTGCTATAAAGACACATGCACACATATGTTTATTGTGGCACTATTCATAATAGCAATGACTTGGAACCAAGCCAAATGTCCAACAATGATAGACTGGATTAAGAACATGTGGCACATATACACCATGGAATACTATGCAGCCATAAAAAATGGTGACTTCATGTCCTTTGTAGGGACGTGGGTGAAGCTGGAAACCATCATTCTCAGCAAACTATCACAAGGACAAAAAAAACCAAACACCGCATGTTCTCACTCATAGGTGGGAATTGAACAATGAGAACACATGGACACAGGAAGGGGAACATCACACACCGGGGCCTGTTTTTGGGTTGGGGTAGGGGTGAGGGATAGCATTAGGAGATATACCTAATGTTAAATGACGAGTTAATGGGTGCAGCACACCAACATGGCACACGTATACATATGTAACTAACCTGCAGGTTGTGCACATGTAACCTGAAACTTAAATTATAAAAAAAAAAAAACAGTCAGGAAACAACAGATGTTGGAGAGGGTGTGGAGAAATAGGGATGCTTTTACACTGTTGGTGGGAGTGTAAATTAGTTCAACCATTGTGGAAGACAGTTTGGTGATTCCTCAAGGATGTAGAACTAGAATTACCATTTGACCCAGCCATCCCATTACTGGGTATATACCCAAAGGATTATAAATCATGCTACTATAAAGACACACGCACACGTATGTTTACTGCGGCACTATTCACAATAGCAAAGACTTGGAACCAACCCGAATGTCCATCAATGATAGACTGGATTAAGAAAATGTGGCACATATACACCATGGAATACTATGCAGCCATAAAAAAGGATGAGTTTGTGTCCTTTGCAGGGACATGGATGAAGCTGGAAACCATCATTCTCAGCAAACTATCACAACAACAGAAAACCAAACACCGCATGTTCTCACTCATAGGTGGGAATTGAACATTGAGGTCACTTGGACACAGGTTGGGGAACATCACACAATGGGGCCCGTTGTGGGGTTGGGGTCTGGGGGAGGGATAGCATTAGGAGAAATACCTGATGTAAATGATGAGTTGATGGGTATTGGGAGAAATATCTAATGTAAATGATGAGTTGATGGGTGCAGCAAACCGACATGGCACATGTATACTTATGTATCAAACCTGCACATTATGCACATGTACCCTAGAACTTAAAGCATAATAATAAAAAAAATCTGACCTGCCAACCAATGATGAATATGTATAAAGGGTGAAAAATAAATTTTTATTTGGTGTTAATCAAAAAAATATTATTTTTGATTGATAAATCATAATTGTATACATATTTGTAGTACAATGTGATGTTATATGTATACAATGTACAATAACAAAATCAAACTAATTAACATAATCACCTCACTTACCTATCCTTTTTGTTTTATGGTGAGGCATTTGAAATTTACTGTCTTAGTAATTTTAAAATACGCAACACAATATTTTTTACTATAGTCACAATGATATGCAATATATCTCAAAACTTTTCCACTTATCTGAATCTTTGTACCTTTGGTTCAAAAGCCCCCTATTATGTCACTCCCCATGCACTCTCTCAACACCCTCAATGTCAACCACTAACAGGTATGTAGTTATATCTCATTGTCATTTTAGTTTACATTTCTCTGGTAATTAGTAATTCTGAGCATTTATTAATATGTCTGTTGGACATTTGCTTGTCTTTTAAAAAAGTTGTATTCAAGTCTTTTGTCTATGATTTAGTCAATTACTTTCTTGCTAATCAAAGTTTTTTATGCATTCTGGATAAAATAACTCATTGTTGGATGTATAGTTTGCAAATATGTTTTCTCATTCTCTGAGTTGTCTTTTAACTTTGTTCATTATTTCCTTTGCTGTGCAGAAGCTTTGTATAGTGACATAATTCTATGTGTCTATTTTTCTTTTGTTGTCTATGCTTTTGGGGTCATATAAAAAAGTTATTGCCTAGACCAATATCATGGGGTTTTTTCCTATGTTTTCTCCTAGTAGTTTTTTACCATTTCAAATCTTATGTTTAAGTATTTACTCCATTTTGAGCTGGTTTTTCTATATGATGTGAGACAAGTTTCCAATTTTATACTTCTGCATGTGGACATCCAGTTTTTCCAACACAATTTATTGAAGAGACTATTTTCTCCATTGTGTGATATTGGTAGCTTCATTAAAAATTAACTGACTGTAAATATGTGGGTTTGTTCCTGGGCTCTCTCTTCTCTTTCTATGATCAACGTGTTTGTTTTTAATGCCAATATCATGCTTTTTTTATTACAACTGTTTTAAAATATGTCTTGAAATCAGGAAGTGTGAAACCTTCATCTTTGCTCCCTTTGCTCAAGATTGTTTTGGCTACTCTGGCTCTTTTGTGAGTTCCATATAAATAGAATAATTATTTTTGCTATTTCTGTGAAAAAATGACATTAGGATTTTGATACTGATTGCAATGAATCTGTAGGTTAATTGGTTAGTATGGACACTTTAACAATATTCATTCTTCCAATTCATTAATATGTGATATATTTTTATTTACTTGTATTTTGTTCAGTTTCTTTCACCCTTGTTTTATAGTTTTCAGTATATGTGTGTTTTATATCCTTGGTATATTTACACCTAGGTATGTATTTCTTGTGAGTATTTTAAATTTGATTGTTTTCTTAATTTCCTTTTTGGATGATTCATTACCTCTATACAGAAATGACACTGATGTTTGTTTGTTGAATTTGTACTGTGCAACTTTACTGAATTTTCTTATCAATTCAAACAAGATTTTTTTGGTTGAGTCCTTATGGCATTCTTTATATAAGATCATGTTGACAGAAAATAGAGACAATTTACTTCTTCATATTTTATTACAATGAATTTTATTTCTGATACCAGAGAAATACAAATTATCTTAAGAAACTACTATAAGCAATTATATGCCAATAAATTGTATAACCTAGAAAAAAATGATGTATTTCTAAAAACATAAAACCTACCAAGACTAAATCATGAACAAATAGAAACTCTAAATAGATCAATAATGAGTAAAAAGATTGAATTAGTCTCATCAAAGAAAAGCCTTGGACTGGCTGAATTCTATAAAACATTTATTTGGGTTGTATTTATTTATTTATTTATTTATTTGAGATGGAGTCTCACTCTGTCACCCAGGCTGGAGTGCACTGGCATGATCTCAGCTCACTGCAACTTCCATCTCCTCGGGTTCAAGATATCCTCCTGTCTCAGCCTCCTGAATAGCTGGGATGCACCACCACACTCGGATTGCTTTTGTATTTTTTGTAGAGATGGGGTTTCACCATGTTGGCCAGGCTGGTCTCAAACTTCTGAACTCAGGTGGTCCACCTGCCTTGGCCTCCCAAAGTGCTGGGATTACAGGCATGAGCCACTCACGTGGCCCTTTTTTGTTTATTTGTCTATTTGTTTGGTGGGAATTCTACAAAACATTTAAAGAAGAACTAATATCAATTCTTCTCAAACTCTTCCAAAAAAGTAAAGTTGGAAGAATCCTCCCAAACTTGGTTTATGAGACCAGAATTACCCTGATACTAAAACCAGACAAGGATGCTACAGGAAGATAAAATTACAGGATAATATCCCTGATAGACATAGTTGGAAAAATCCTCAATAAAATACTCACACACCAAATTCTACAACACATTAAAAGGGTTATGCAACATGATCAAGTAGGAATTTTTTCTCTAGAATGCAGGGTTAGTTGAGCATAGGCAAATCAATAAATGTGGTGCACACCACATTAACAGAATGAAGGACAAACATTTTATGATCATCTCCATAGATACAGAAAAAGCATTTGACGAAATTCAATATCACATTTGACAAAATTCAATATCCTTTCATGATAAAAAAAAAAAACTCTCAACAAATTTGGTACAGAAAAAATTTTCCTCAACACAATAAAGGCCATATATGACAAGTCCATAGTGAGCATCTATCTCAACAGTGAAAAGTTGAAAGCTTTTCCTCTAACGTCACAGACAAGACAAGGATGTCCACACTCACCACTTTTTGACATAGTATTGAAAATCCTAGCCAGAGCAATTAGGCAAGAGAAATAAATAAAAGGACTCATGTATTTTGATCCTCTGTTAAGAATACAAATAGTTGAATTATTATGTCTTATCAGATAATTGATCATTTTATCATTAGGTCATGTTGCTTTTTATTACCAATAATTTTCCTTATTGTGACATCTGCTTTGTTTGAAATTACTATATCTCTTCTGGGTTTTTGTAAACTGTGTTAGCATAATGTATCTTTCTCCATTGTTTTACTTTTAATCTCTCTAAATATTCATATTTAATGTGAATTTTTCATAGATCACATATTGTTGAGTTTGTTTTTGTTAATCCAATAGGAAAATTTTATTCTTTTTATTTGTGTATTTGGAACATTCACATAGAGAGAGACTATTTTTATAGTTGGATTGATATTAACTATGTTTGATACTGTTTTCTGCACTTTGCACTTCTTTTCTTCTCTCCTGTTTTTTTCTTTTACTGGTTTAATTGAAATTTTTTTTTTAATTTTATTATTATACTTTAAGTTTTATGGTACATGTGCACAAGGTGCAGGTTTGTTACATATTTATACATGTGCCATGTTGGTGTGCTGCACCCATTAACTCATCATTTAGCATTAGGTATATATCCTAATGCTATCCAACCCCCTCCCCCCACCCCACAACAGTCCCCAGTGTGTGATGTTCCCCTTCCTATGTCCATGTGTCCTCACTGTTCAATTCCCACCTATGAGTGAGGACATGAGGTGTTGGTTTTTTTGTCCTTGTGATAGTTTGCTGAGAATGATGGTTTCCAGCTTCATCCATGTCCCTACAAAGGACATGAACTCATCATTTTTTATGACTGCATAGTATTCCATGGTGTATATGTGCCACATTTTCTTAATCCAGTCTATCATTGTTGGACATTTGGGTTGGTTCCAAGTCTTTGCTATTGTGAATAGTGCTGCAGTAAATGTACGTGTGCATGTGTCTTTATAGCAGCATGATTTATAATCCTTTGGGTATATACCCAGTAATGGGATTGCTGGGTCAGATGGTATTTCTAGTTCTACATCCCTGAGGAATTGCCACACTGACTTCCACAATGGTTGAACTAGTTTACAGTCCCACCAACAGTGTAAAAGTGTTCCCATTTCTCCACATCCTCTCTAGCACCTGTTGTTTCCTGACTTTTTAATGATTGCCATTCTAACTGGTGTGAGATGGTATCTAATTGTGGTTTTCATTTGCATTTCTCTGACGGCCAGGGTTGATGAGCAATTTTTCATGTGTTTTTTGGCTGCATAAATGTCTTCTTTTGAGAAGTGCCTGTTCATATCCTTCACCCACTTTTTGATGGGGTTGTTTGTCTTTTTCTTATAAATTTGCTGGAGTTCATTGTAGATTCTGGATATTAGCCCTTTGTCAGATGAGTAGGCTGCAAAAATTTTCTCCCATTCTGTAGATTGCCTGTTTACTCTGATGGTGGTTTCTTTTGCTGTGCAGAAGCTCTTTAGTTTAATTAGATTCCATTTCTCAATTTTGGCTTTTGTTGCCATTGCTTTTGGTGTTTTAGAAATGAAGTCTTTGCACATGTCTATGTCCTGAAAGGTGTTGCCTAGGTTTTCTTCTAGGGTTTTTGTTGTTTTAGATCTAACATGTAAGTATTTAATCGATCTTGAATTAATTTTTGTATAAGGTGTAACAAAGGGACCCAGTTTCAGCTTTCTACATATGTCTAGCCAGTTTTCCCAGCACCATTTATTAAATAGGGAATCCTTTCCCCATTGCTTGTTTTTGTCAGGTTTGTCAAAGATCAGATAGCTGTAGATGTGTGGTATTATTTCTGAGGGCTCTGTTCTGTTCCATTGGTCTGTGTGTCTGTTTTGCTACCAGTACCATGCTGTTTTGGTTACTGTAGCCTTGTAGTATAGTTTGAAGTCAGGTAGCGTGATGCCTCCAGCTTTGTTCTTTTGGCTTATGATTGACTTGGTGATGTGGGCTCTTTTTTGGTTCCATATGAACTTGAAAGTAGTTTTTTCCAATTCTGTGAAGAAAGTCATTGGTAGCTTGATGGGGATGGCATTGAATCTGTAAATTGCCTTGGGCAATATGGCCATTTTCACGACATTGATTCTTCCTACCCATGAGCATGAAATGTTCTTCCGTTTGTTTGTATCCTCTTTTATTTCATTGAGCAGTGGTTTGTAGTTCTCCTTGAAGAGGTCCTTCACTTCCCTTGTAAGTTGGATTCCTAAGTATTTTATTCCCTTTGAAGCAATTGTGAATGGGAGTTCAGTCATGATTTGGCTCTCTCTTTGTCTGTTATTGGTGTATAAGAATGCTTGTGATTTTTGTATATTGACTTTGTATCCTGAGACTTTGCTGAAGTTGCTTATCAGGTTGAGGAGATTTTGGGCTGAGATGATGGGGTTTTCTAGATATACAATCATGTCATTTGCGAACAGGGACAATTTGACTTCCTCTTTTCCTAATAGAATACCCTTTATTTCCTTCTCCTGCCTGATTGCCCTGGCCAGAACTTCCAACACTATGTGGAATAGGAGTGGTGAGAGAGGGTATCCCTGTCTTGTGCCCGTTTTCAAAGGGAATGCTTCCAGTTTTTGCCCATTCAGTATGATATTGGCTGTGGGTTTGTCATAGATAGCTCTTATTATTTTGAGATATGTCCCATCAATACCTAATTTCTTGAGAGTTTTTAGCATGAAGGGTTGTTGAATTTTGCAAAGACCTTTTCTGCATCTATTGAGAAAATCATGTGGTTTTTGTCTTTGGTTCTGTTTATATGTTGGATTACATTTATTGATTTTCATATGTTGAACCAGGCTTGCATCCCAGGGATGAAGCCCACTTGATCATGTTGGATAAGCTTTTTGATTTGCTGCTGGATTTGGTTCACCAGTATTTTATTGAGGATTTTTTCATTGATGTTCATCAAGGTTATCGGTCTAAATTCTCTTTTTTTGTTGTGTCTCTGCCATGCTTTGGTATTAGGATGATGCAGGCCTCATAAAATGAGTTAGGGAGGATTCCCACTTTTTCTATTGGTCGGAATAGTCTCAGAAGGAATGGTAACAGCTCCTCTTTGTACCTCTGGTAGAATTCGGCTGTGAATCCATCTGGTCCTGGACTTTTCTTGTTTGCTAAGCTATTGATTATTGCCTCAATTTCAGAGCCTGTTATTGGTCTATTCAGAGATTCAACTTCTTCCTGGTTTAGTCTTGGGAGGATGTATGTGTCCAGGAATTTATCCCTTTCTTCTAGGTTTTCTAGTTTATTTGCGTAGAGATGTTTATAGCATTCTCTGATGTTAGTTTGTATTTCTGTGGGATTGGTAGTGATATCCCCTTTATCGTTTTTTATTGCATCTATTTGATTCTTCTCTCTTTTCTTCTTTATTAGTCTTGCTAGCAATCTATCAATTTTGTTGATCTTTTCAAAAAACCAGCTCCTGGATTCATTGATTTTTTGAAGGGTTTTTTTGTGTCTCTATTTCCTTCCGTTGCACTCTGATCTTAGTTATTTCTTGCCTTCTGCTAGCTTTTGAATGTGTTTGCTCTTGCTTTTCTAGTTCTTTTAATTGTGATGTTAGGGTGTCAATTTTAGATCTTTCCTGCTTTCTCTTGTGGGCATTTATTGCTATAAATTTCCCTCTACACACTGCTTTGAATGTGTCCCAGAGATGCTGGTATGTTGTGTCTTTGTTCTCCTTGGTTTCAAAGAACATCTTTATTTCTGCCTTCATTTCGTTATTTACCCAGTAGTCATTCAGGAACAGGTTGTTCAGTTTCCATGTAGTTGAGCAGTTTTGAGTGAGTTTCTTAATCCTGAGTTCTAGTTTGATTGCACTGTGGTCTGAGAGGCAGTTTGTTATAATTTCTGTTCTTTTGCATTTGTTGAGGAGTGCTTTACTTCTAACTGTGTGGTCAGTTTTGGGGTAGGTGTGATGTGGTGCTGAAAAGAATGTATATTCTGTTGAATTGAGGTGGAGAGTTCTGTAGATGTCTATTAGGTCTGCTTGGTGCAGAGCTGAGTTCAATTCCTGGGTATCCTTCTTAACTTTCTGTCTCGTTGATCTGTCTAATGTTGACAGTGGTGTGTTAAATTCTCCCATTATTATTGTGTGGGAGTCTAAGTCTCTTTGTAGGTCACTAAGGACTTGCTTTATGAATCTGGGTGCTTCTGTATTGGGTGCTTATCTATTTAGGATATTTAGCTCTTCTTGTTGAATTGATCCCTTTACCGTTATGTAATGGCCTTCTTTGTCTCTTTTGATCTTTGTTGGTTCAAAGTCTGTTTTATCAGAGACTAGGATTGAAACACCTGCTTTTTTTTTGTTTTCCATTTGCTTGGTAGATCTTCCTCCATCCCTTTATTTTGAGCCTATGTGTGTCTCTGCACATGAGATGAGTTTCCTGAATACAACATTCTGATGGGTCTTGTTTCTTTATCCAATTTGCCAGTCTATGTCTTTTAATTGGAGCATTTAGCCCATTTACATTTAAAGTTAATATTGTTATATGTGAATTTGATCCCGTCATTATGATGTTAGCTGGTTATTTTGCTCGTTAGTTGATTCTGTTTCTTCCTAGCCTTTATGGTCTTTACAATTTGGCATTTTTTTTTTTTTTTTTTGCAGTGGCTGTTACCGGTTGTTCCTTTCCATGTTTAGTGCCTCCTTCAGGAGCTCTTTTAGGGCAGGCCCGGTGGTGATGAAATCTCTCAGCATTTGCTTGTCTGTAAGGTATTTTATTTCTCCTTCACGTATGAAGCTTGGTTTGGCTGGATATGAGATTCTGGTTTGAAAATTGTTTCCTTTAAAAATGTTGAATATTGGTCCCCACTCTCTTCTGCAGAGAGATCAGCTGTTAGTCTGATGGGCTTCCCTTTGTGGGTAACCCGACCTTTCTCTCTGGCTGCCCTTAACATTTTTTCCTTCATTTCAGCTTTGGCGAATCTGACAATTATTTGTCTTGGTGTTGCTCTTCTCAAGGAGTATCTTTGTGTCATGCTCTGTATTTCCTGAATTTGAATGTTGGCCTTCCTTGCTTGGTTGGGGAAGTTCTCCTGGATAATATCCTGCAGAGTGTTTTCCTACTTGGTTCCATTCTCCCCGTCACTTTCATGTACACCAATCAGACGTAGATTTGGTCTTTTCACATAGTCCCATATTGCTTGGAGGCTTTGTTCATTTCTTTTTATTCTTTTTCTTTAAACTTCTCTTCTCACTTCATTTCATTCATTTCATCTTCCATCACTGACACCTTTTCTTCCAGTTGATCACATCAGCTACTGAGGCTTCTGCATTCGCCACGTAGCTCTTGTTCCTTGATTTTCAGCTCCATCAGGTCCTTTAAGGACTTCTCTGCATTGGTTATTCTAGTTATCCATTCGTCTAATTTTTTTTCAAAGCTTTTAACTTCCTTGCCATTGGTTTGAATTTCCTCCTGTAGCTCGGAGTAGTTTGATCATCTGAAGCCTTCTTCTCTCAACTCGTCAAAGTCATTCTCCATCCAGCTTTGTTCTGTTGCTGGTGAGGAGCTGCATTCCTTTGGAGGAGGAGAGACACTTTGATTTTTAGAGTTTCCAGTTTTTCTGCTCTGTTTTTTCCCATCTTTGTGGTTTTATCTACCTTTGGTCTTTGAGGATGGTGATGTACAGATGGGTTTTTGGCGTGGATGTCCTTTCTCTTTGTTAGTTTTCCTTCTAAAAGACAGGACCCTCAGCTGCAGGTCTGTTGGAATTTGCTAGAGGTCCACTCCAGACGCTGTTTGCCTGGGTATCAGCAGCGGTGGCTGCAGAACAGTGGATATTGGTGAACCGCAGATGCTGCTGCCTGATCATTCCACTGGAAGTTTTGTCTCAGAGGAGTACCTGGCCATGTGAGGTGTCAGTCTGGCCCTACTGGGGGGTGCCTCCCAGTTAGGCTACTCGGGGGTGAGGGATCCACTTGAGGAGGCAGTCTTCCCATTCTCAGATCTCAAGCTGTGTGCTGGGAGAGCCACTACTCTCTTCAAAGCTGTCAGAGAGGGACATTTAAGTCTGCAGAGGTTACTGCTGTCTTTTTCTTTGTCTGTGCCCTGCCCCCAGAAGGGGAGCCTACAGAAGCAGGCATGCCTCCTTGCGCTGTGGTGGGCTCCACCCATTTCAAGCTTCCTGGCTGCTTTTTTTTACCTAATCAAACAACTAACTCAGCAATGGTGGGAACCCCTCCCCCAGCGTCGCTGCCACCTTGTAGTTTGATCTCGGACTGCTATGCTAGCAATGAGCAAGAGTCCATGGGCGTAAGACCCTCTGAGCCAGGTACAGGATATGATCTCCTAGTGTGCCGTTTTTTAAGCCTGTTGAAAAAGGGCAGTATTAGGGTGGGAGTGACCCGATTTTCCAGGTGCTGTCTGTCACTGCTTTCTTTGACTAGGAAAGGGAATTCCCTGACCCCTTGTGCTTCCCGTGTGAGGGGATGCCTCACCCTGCTTTGGCTCACACACGGTGTGCTGTACCCACTGTCCTGCACCTACTGTCTGGCACTCCCCAGTGAGATGTACCCAATACATTTTTATGACTCCTTTGTTTATCTTCTTTTACCATATCGATCATATTTATTTGTAAGGTTTTTAGAGTCTGTTTCTGAAGTTTGCATTTTCCTTCAGACTTTAATTGTTGTTACATTTTTGCATGCCTTGTAATGTTTTGGTTGAATGTTGTACATTATTTATTGGGTAATAGAAACTGAGGAATGCATACACAAATTATTTGTTTTTGTATTCAGTAAGAGTGAACAATCCAAAACAAATTTTTTAATCCCATTTACAAAAGTAATAAAAATACTTAGAAGCAAATTACACCAAGGAGGTACAAGACCTTTATACTGAAAACTATAAATATTGCTGAAAGAAATTGATGGAGGTGCAAATAAATCAAAAGATATCCAGTGTTCATGAATTAGACGATTATTATTTTTAAAATGTCCATGCTACAAAAGTTACATACAAACTGAATGCAATCCCTATAAAAATTCCAATAGAATATTTCACAGAAATAGAAGACAAAATTCTAAAGTTAGTATAAAACTTCAAAATACCGTGAGTAGCCAAATAATTCTTGAGAAAAAGAAGAATTCTTGAAGGCAGTACACTTCCTGGTCTCAAAATATGTAACAAAGCTTCTGCAATCTGAAAGTGAAGTGCCACCACAAAAACAGAGAAATAGACAAATGAAACAGAATAGAAAAACCAGAAATAAACTGACACATATAGAGACCACTAACTCTGACAAGGGTTCCAAGAACACACAATGGGTAAAACAAACTCTCTTCAACAAATTGTCTTGGGAAAACCAGATCTCCACAAACAACATAATTGAATTAGATTATTATCTTATACCATGTATAAAATACCTTTAATGAACTAAAGACTTAAATATAAAACCTAAAACTGACAAAATCCAAGGGGAAGCCTGGGACATTGGTCAATGATATTTGTTAGTGCAACCCCAACAGCAAAGAAGACAAAAGCAAAATTAACAAGTTGGACTACATTAAACTAAAAAGCTTCTGCACATAAAAAGAAACAATCAACAGATAAAAAAGACAATCTCCATATTGGGATAATATATTTTTAAAGCATATATATGATAAGAAGTGAATATCCAGAATATATAAGGAACACATACAATTCAATAACAATAAAGTTAAATAACCCAGTGAAAAAATGAACATAGGATCTAAAAAACATTTTTCCAAAGAAGACATAGAAGTAACTCATACCTAAGGTTATTTGAGTGTGAGTCTTCTGGGCTGCTCTTCTTACTTTGGCCTAAGTAAACTCAAAATAATATTTTGGGCCTCAGTCTCTTCCTTTTAGGTTTACATTTCTGGCCCTGTGAGCAGGATTCAGAGTAACTTCACCCAACCACCGAGTGTTTCTCTCTGAAAGTGATACTCAGTATCAGCATAAACACATTGCATTCTCTCCATCTTCAGAAGTCCCATCAAGTATTTCAAGTGAGTGCTCCTGAATTTAGATCTCCCACTCGGTGATTGAAGGTCTAGACTTTATTTGGGATATTTTCCAACTCCTTTTTTTCCACCCTCAAGAGTGAAAACTTCTGTCTTTGTCTTTGGACAAAAGATTTGGGTAAGGAGATCTGCAGAGAACTGCCTTTTTCTGCCTCTGTCTCACAGCAGGAGGCTGAGGTCAAAGGATTGATACTTAGGCACTGTTGGTTTTGTTTCACATAGGATGCTTTTTACATTGCAGCTGTTTCCTATTACTTAAAAATTTAGACTTAGTTTTTTTATTTGTGACTAATTCCTATTAGTTCCTAATTGAAACATGGTAAGTTCTCTTGCCCCAAAGAAAGCAGGGTGAATTCTCTTTCCCCAAAGAAAAGAGGTGATTTGCTCACTCTGACCCATTTGAGTGCTCCAAGTGACTGCAGACTTTACAGACGTATCTAAGTCATTACCCATGATGTGACACAGCCTCATAGGGACCTTACCACCAGAAGAACATTTTTAAGGGACAGCTTTTCTGTTCCTCCAGATGGGTATGAGGAATTGACCCACAACCCCCATAATATGAGCACTCTGCTGTCACTTGGCACTTAGAGGCAGTCCAAGACACATATGCAAGTGATTTATGATGCTTGGGTAAAACCTAGAAGAGTGACACTCATAAGCAGCACACTTTTTACCCACACATATTCCTGGGTTTGGCCACTTTTGAAAAGCTCCTAGATTATAAAAAAAAAAAAAAAAAAAAAAAAAAAAAAAAAAAAATCAAGCTTCAAAATTCGAGCAGTCTTTTACAAAACAACCACCATTAGAAACACCAGCTAGATTTATGCATGACACTTATGGGACAACTCCTTGTAAATATCTAGAAGAGTGGACTCACCTAACCCAAAATAGTCATAAGCAACAATGACCAAAATTATGATCTTTTGAAATGACTAACAATTTATTTACTGGCACAATTGGAAAAAGACAGTTTGAATAGGAAAGTTACTTCTAATGGCACTTAAAAACTTCTAAAAGAAATCTTGAGAGAAAAAAATTACATTCAAGGCATAAGTAAAAGGATATTTGAAAGTATTTAAACATATTTTCAAGACTTTCTTTTTATTGCCTCCAACTGCTCCTTCTTCTTCTATCCTTGTGATCTGAACTCATTCCTTTCTGCTTGCTCCTTTGGCTCTCATATATATCTTAGGCAGATTTTTTTTCCTTTTGGAATTTCACAATGCACACGTTTTCTTCTTTTAGAAAGAAACTCTAAAAGAATTTGGAATAAGTAAACAAATGAAAAAACTATAGAATGAGAATAACACCACTGAGATTAAAAAAATGCAGATCCAACAAATTGTTTTCTAAGCCAGAGGTAATGAATGGAATTGATGATTTATTGGCCATTTATCAGACAATACCCTTTAAATGCCCTGCACTCCTTTGGAAATGTAAATCTTTTAATGTACTTGAAATGCTAACATCCAGGGAATTAGCTAAGCCGCATTCCATCTTAAATAAGATTTGAAACAAGTTAAAATATGTCAAATGCTCAAAAGGCCTGCTTTGGATTTCCTGCAGGATTAAAAACAACAACAACAACAGCAAGGACAAAACGGCAGATCACTTGAGGTCAGGAGTTTGAGACCAGCCTGGTCAACATGGTGAAACCCCATCTCTATTAAAAATACAAAAATTAGCCGGGCATGGTGGCACAGGCCTGTAATCCCAGCTACTGGGGAGGCTGAGGCAGGAAAATCGCTTGAACCCGGGAGGCAGAGGTTGCAATGAGCTGAGATTGTGCTACTGCACTCCAGCCTGGGCGACAGAGTGAGACTCTGTATAAAAAATAAAAATAAAAATAAAAACTATATTATTTGTAATCCAATCTATGTAAAGTGTCAGGTGGTAACTTTTTGTCCATTGTCACTGCCATGTGTACTTGCTGAGCTATTCTTTATTTTTTATTGCAATTATGTTATCTGTTAATTTATAAAGGCCAGGCACGGTGGCACAAGCCTGTAATCCCAGCACTTTGGGATGCCAAGGCGGGCAGATCACTTCAAGTCAGGAGTTTGAGACCAGCCTGGCCAGCGTGGTGAAACCCCATCTCTACTAAAAATACAAAAATTAGCCAGGCATGATGGCAGGTGCCCGTGGTCCCAGCTGCTCGGGAGGCTGAGGCAGGAGAATTGCTTGGACCTGGGAGGAG
Organism: Homo sapiens; assembly: GCF_000001405.40. Taxonomy (NCBI): domain Eukaryota; kingdom Metazoa; phylum Chordata; class Mammalia; order Primates; family Hominidae; genus Homo; species Homo sapiens. The sequence goes on along the minus strand of NC_000023.11, from coordinate 57,680,693 downwards.
GATGTTACAGTGAGCAGAGATCACACCACTGCACTCCAGCCTGGACAGCGGAGTGAAACTGTCTCAAAAATAAATAAGTAAATAAGGATAAAGTGAGATGAGGTCTCTCTCTGTTGCCCAGATGGGAGTGCAGTGGCACAATCAAGACTCACTGAAGCGTCAACCTCCCAGGCTCAAGCCATCCTCTCGTCTCAGCCTCTTGGGTGGCTGGGACTGTGGGTGCACACCACCACCCTCTGCTAACTTATTTTTTATGGAGATAGAGATCTCACTATGTTGCCCAGGCTGGGAATTTGTTCTTGAAGAAGCAAGGTAGATGGTGAGAGTATCCTTGTTCATGGCACAGAGGGGACTCGGTTGAGACAGGATTGCTGACTCACCATCCCTTTCCATTCCTCCCTTAATTCTCATCAGAGTTCCCACGTCAGACGAGATGGTGTCTTCTGCACAGCTGGACTTCAACCTGCAGGCTCTTCTGGGACAGCTCAGCCAGGATGACTTGTGCAAGTTCAAGTCTCTGATCAGGACCGTCTCCCTGGGAAATGAGCTGCAAAAGATCCCCCAGACATAGGTAGACAAGGCTGATGGGAAGCAACTGGCAGAAATCATCACCAGCCATTGCCACAGCTACTGGATGAAGATAGAGACCATCCAGGTCTTTGAAAAGATGCACCGAGCGGATCTGTCTGAGAAAGTAAAGGATGAACTCAGAGAAGACACTTTGAAATCAAGCCTGTATCATTAGGGAAAACAGGGAAAGAAGAGCCAAAACCTATAGACCTGAAACAAATGCTGGGGCGTTTCGAAGCAGAAGCACTAGAGTTTATAGAAACGGAGGAAGATGTCACCAGCCTAAGAGAAGCTAAAGAAGTCTTGAAAGGAGAAAAGCCAGGTAAAGAGGATAGGTACAGGAGTATATTGAAGACGAAGTTCTGGCAAATGTGGAAAACCTGGCCTGGAGACCTCAAAGTGGTCCATATTATGGCTCAGAGATACAAGATGCTGATCCCGTTCAGCAACCCCAGGGTGCTTCCCGGGCCCTGCCCACACACGGTGGTGCTGCATGGTCCTGCGGGCCTTGGGAAAACCACGCTGGCCAAGAAATTAATGCTGGACTGGGCAGAGGACAACCTCAGCCAGAAATTTAGATAGGCTTTCTACCTCACCTGCAAGGAGCTCATCTGCCTGGGCCCGTGCAGTTTTGCAGAGCTGGTCTTCAGGAACTGGCCTGAATTGCAGGATGACATTCCAAACATCCTAGCCCAAGCACAGAAAATCCTGTTCGTGGTCGACGGCTTTGATGAGCTGGGAGCCCCACCTGGGGCACTGATCTAGGACATCTGTGGGGACTGGGAGAAGCAGAAGCCGGTGCCGGTCTTCTTGGGGAGGTTACTGAAGAGGAAGATTTTACCCAGGGCCGCCGTGCTGGTCACCACGTGGCCTGCGGGCCCTGAGAGACCTCCGGCTGTTGGTGGAGCGGCCGATCTATGTAAGGGTGGAGGAGTTCCTGGAGAAGGACAGGAGGGCATATTTCCTGAGACACTTTGGAGACGAGGACCAAGCCATGTGTGCCTTTGAGCTGATGAGAAGAAACGCGGCCCTGTTCCAGCCTGTCTCGGCACCCATGGTGTGCTGGATCATGTGCATGAGTCTGAAGCTGCAGAGGTTAGAAGGGGAAGGACCCGCCCCACCCGCACGGGGCTGTTCCTGCGCTTCCTTTGCGGCCGGTTCCCGCAGGGCGCACAGCTCTGGGGCGTGCTGCGGGCGCTGAGCCTCCTGGCGGCACAGGGCCTGTGGGCGCAGATGTCAGTGTTCCGTGGAGAGGACTTGGCGAGGCTCGGGGTGCAGGAGTTCAACATCCGCCCGTCCCTGGACAGAGACATCCTCCGCCAGGACATAGTCTCTAAAGGCTGCTATTCCTACATCCACCTCAGCTTCCAGCAGTTTTTCACTGTGCTGTTCCACGCCCTGGAGAAGGAGGAGGAGGAGGAGGAGGAGGACAAGGACGGCCACGCCTGGGACAATGGAGACGTGCAGAAGCTGTTTTCTAGAGAAGAAAGACTCAAGAACCCCGACCTGATCCAAGCAAGACACTTCTTATTCGGCTTCGCCAACGAGAAGAAAGCCAAGGAGTTGGAGACCACTTTGGGCTGCCTGATGTCACCGGAGATCAAAAAGGAATTACTGTGATGAGAGATAAATTGTGAAAAGGTTGGACACTCAACAATGATGAACCCGAAGGAGCTCTTGTGCTGTCTGTACGAGTCTCAGGAGGAGGAGCTGGTGAAGGGAGTGATGGCTCCGTTCAAAGAAATATCCCTGCACTTAAATGCAGTAGACATTATGCTGTTTTCAATCTGCCTCAAGCATTGTCGAAACTTGCAGAAAATGCCACTGCAGGCAGCAAAGGCAAAGCTCCCAGAGAATGTCACTGTGTCTGAATCAGATGCTGAAGTTGAGAGATCCCAGGATGATCAACACATGCTTCCTTTCTGGACCGACCTTTGTTCCATATTTGGCTCAAATAAGGATCTGATCATTCTAGAAATCAATAATAGCTTTCTTGGTGCCACATTAGTAAGGATCCTGTGTGAACAAATAGCTTCTGACACCTGTCGTCTCCAGAGAGTGATGTTCAAAAACATTTCACCAGCTGATGCTTATCGGAACCTCTGCCTAGCTCTTTGAGGTCACAAGACTGTAAGATATCTGACCCTTCAAGGCAATGACCAGAATGATATGCTTCCTGCATTGTGTAAGGTCTTGAGACACTCAAAATGTAACCTGCAATATCTCGGGTTGGTGTCTTTTTCCACCACCACTTAGCAATGGGCTGATCTCTCCTTGGCCCTTGAAGTCAACCAGTCCCTGACATGTGTAAACCTCTCTCACAATGAGCTCTTGGATGAGGGTGCCAAGTTGCTGTACACAACTTTGAGACACCCAAAATGCTTCCTGCCGAGGTTGTTGTTGGAAAACTGTCACTTTATAGAAGGCAATTGCAAGAACTTTGCTGCTGTTTTGGTTGTCAGCGGGGAGCTGACACACCTGTGCTTGGCCAAGAACCCCCCACTCGGGGATACATGGGTGATGTTTCTGTGTAAGGGTTTGAGTTACCCCCATTGTAAACTACAGACCCTGGTGCTGTGGGACTGCGACATAACTAGCAATGGCTGCTGTTATCTCGCAGAGCTTCTCCAAGAAAAATCAAGCCTAATGTGCTTGGATCTGGGACTGAATCACATAGGAGTTACTGGAGTGAAGCTCCTATGTGAGGCTTTGAAGAAACCACTGTGTAACTTGAGATGTCTGTGGTTGTGGGGGTGTTCCATCCCTCTGTTCAGTTGTGAGGACCTCTGCTCTGTGCTCAGCTGCAACCACAGCCTCGTCGTTCTGGACCTGAGCCAGAATCCCTTGGGGTCTAGTGGAGTAAAGATGCTGTTTGAAACCTTGACACATCCAAATTGCACCCTCCAGACACTCAGGTTGAAAATAGATGACTTTAATGTTGAACTCGATAAGCTGCTGGAAGAAATAGAAGAAAACAACCCACAACTGCCTGCTGATAACTGAGAAACATGATCCTTTGGGGGGGAAAAAAGGCTTTCTTTTCATTACTTCATTATCTGAATCCCCCCAGAGTCATTCATTCTCAATGAAGTCATGGATTTTCCAGGTGTTGGTGAACAGCCTGTGACTCTTCCCCTCCCCTATCCCCACTTCTCAGGGATAATGAGTTGATTGCTGGGCTAGGTGTTTTAGCCATGGTTCTGCCTCTGTTTTACATAGAATGTGCGCATGTCCTTAACCTTGTTATGTATGAAATATACGTATCACGGGTATATTGAGAGAAATAAAGGTGAGAGCATTCACAAAAAAGAAAAAAAAAAAAAAAAAAAAAAGAAAAGAAAAAAAAGCAACTCTATCTTTTGGCTAGAATTCCGTACTTTCATTGCCAACACCCAGAATCCATTTCTGGTCAGAAAACCAATCCCATTTGTATAATTTTTGAACTTTTGGGATACTCATTTGTTATTGATTATTTTCCCTTCCATTGATCCTTTTTGATTTCCTGGCTTTTTTCATCTATGGGGCATATGGAGAGTTTGGACCTTCATACTTGGGTGCTCACTGAGAAGCATAGGTGCTAGAAGATATGACCAGATGGAAATGTGAGTTGTAATCCACTTAGAGCTGGTGAAACTTCCCTTTTTTGAGCTATCTTATCAGTGGTTCTGAATCTTGTGAAGGCTGCTTTGCACTTCTTTGGAATGTGAAAGGAAAATAAATTTTGAAACCCCAAACTCACTAAGCAAAAGGGAAACGTCAAGCAGGGAACTGGGTCATGCAAACATGCCTCCAACTTTTGTTCCTAGATGAGATGGATACAAAGATGAAAAGGTACATACCTCCTTCACATTTTGCCCACAAGGAAATTTTTTTGTGAGCCCCAAGATCTTTAGCCTAAAGCATTTCTGATAAAGTTCACCATGGCAATGTAAATTGATAGCTTATTTTCACAGGTATGGAGGACATAGGACAGAACTAAAAGTCGTCCCTCTACCCACCTAAGACAAACACATATCTTATTATTTTTCTCTATTCTATTGTCTATGTTATCTTATGTAAAAAGGCAGATTCACTGAGCCAGACAAATACATAAATGACTATTTTCCCCTCCTACCCTCTCACATGAAAATTGTGTATTTCTCAATATTCCACCCTTTCCCCTTTAAATTTGAAGCCCTCATAATCATCTTGGAAGAAAGGCATATACCAGTGTCCCAGGCATACATACTTAACTTTGGGAAATAAACCTCTTTGAGGTTATTTCTTTGATTGACATCTGGTAACAACAGAGGGATCCTGAGTGAAGGTTGCCAAGTCCTGCAGCAGCTTTCCTATTGAGGCAGAAGAATAGGGGCTGGGGACAGGGAACCTAAGGACTTCCTAGAACTAAATCAAGCAGAAAAACCACAACTTTCTAAGACCAAGTAAATAACTTTGTAGCTCAACTTCAGCTATGGCAGGAAACATCCGCTTCATTTGCATAGGGTGTACATCAAGTATATAAGTTTATAAGCTCACTTCATCCTCTTAATTTGTATAGGGTGTACACCAAGTAAATAACTTTGAAACTTCACTGCAGCCTCTTCATTTACATAGGGTGTATACCAAGTTAAAAATGGGAAACCTATAAAGGATATTTAAATGTCAGAAAATTCCATAACTGGGTCCTTGAGCCACTTGCTCGGGCCACTCCCACCCTGTAAAGTGTTCTTTGGTTTTCAATAAATCTCTGCTTTTGTTTCTCATTTTTTCCAAGATTTCTTTGTACATTTTGTCCAATTCTTTGTTCAAAACACCAGGAACCTGGACACCCCCGACTGGTAACATATTTTGGTGAGCCAGCCAGGCAGTAAGCCCAAAGTTTAGGGTTTATTTTTCTCCTTTTTCTTTCTCCTCCATACAGGGGAATCTCTGTCTCTCTTTTCCTTTCCAACTCAGGACCCTTGGTGGGCAGCACCTAAACATGGAGGTAACTGCCGGTTTCTGGCCAGGGCCATGCTCCTGTGTTGCCTGAAGGCCGAGGAGTGAATGGAGAAGTTGCTCTGCCCAGAAAGGGGAAGAACTCTTTTCTATCTTTTCTGTTTGTGGTTCCTGATCTCTACATGTGGCACAGCTCTTCGGGGTGAACCTGCATGCATTTCAGGTCATTTAAATCTTCTCATGTTATGCTAAATTCTTCCCTTCCTCTACTTGACTGGCTAAGTGTTGCGGGAAGTCAGGGACCCCAAATGGAGGGACTGGCTGGAGCCACGGCAGGGGAACATAAATTGTGAAGATTTCACCTTAATATGGACATTTATCAGTTCCCAAATAATACTTTTATAATTTCTTATGCCTGTCTTTACTTTAATGTCTTAATCCTGTTATCTTCGTAAGCTGAGGATGTATGTCACCTCAGGACCACTGTGATAATTGTGTTAACTGTACAAATTGACTGTAAAACATGTGTGTTTGAACAATATGAAATCAGTGCACCTTGAAAAAGAACAGAATAACAGCGATTTTTATGGAACAAGGGAAGACAACCATAAGGTCTGACTGCCTGCAGGGTCGGGCAAAAAGAGCCATATTTTTCTTCTTGCAGAAAGCCTATAAACGAATGTGCAAGTAGGAAAGATATGGCTAAATTCTTTTCCTAGCAAGGAATATTAGTATTAATACCCTGGGAAAGGAATGCATTCCTGGGGGGAGGTCTATAAACAGCTGCTCTGGGAATGTCTGTCTTGTGCAATTGAGATAAGGACTGAGATACACCCTGGTCTCCTGCAGAACCCTCAGGTTTACTATGGTGGGGAAAAACTCTGCCTTGGTAAATTTGTGGTCAGACTGGTTCTCTGTTCTTGAACCCTGTTTTCTGTTGTTTTAGATGTTTATCAAGACAATACGTGCACTGCTGAACATAGACCCTTATCAGTGGTTCTGCTTTTGCCCTTTGCCCTGTGATCTTTGTTGGACCCTTATCAGTGGTTCTGCTTTTGACCTTTGTCCTGTTCCCTCAGAAGCATGTGATCTTTGTTAGACCCTTATTAGTGGTTCTTCTTTCTGCCCTTTGAAGCATGCGATCTTTGTACCTACTCCTTGTTCTTACACGCCCTCCCCTTTTAAACCCTTAATAAAAACTTGCTGGTCTGAGACTCAGGTGGGCATCACGGGGGTGTGATATCACCCCCAGTGGCCCAGCTGTAAAATTCCTCTCTTTGTACTGTCTCCTTTTATTTCTCTGCTGGCCAACACTTATGGAAAATAGAAAGAACCTATGTTGAAATATTGGGAGCGGGTTCCCCCAATAGCTAAGAAAAAAAAAACCCACTCAGCCTCCAGTTCCTATCATTACAGTTCATGGCTATCACTGTAGTCAAACGGGATTCATGGGAAAGCATGGTCTTATCAAATTATAAGGATGCTAAAAGTCAGGGATGATACCCAGGAACCAAAGGAAAGCTCATAGAAAGTCATTGCCTCTGAAGGGAAAACAAAAGAAGTGGTACCGGTGCCCACATAAAGTCAGAGATTTCTGACACTGTAATACTGGACCCCAAAAGGGGATGCCCCCGGGGGATCAAACTCCAGACCTTCACCTCTCCAAAGGGGATGCCCTAGGTAGAGATTCTGAGGTCCAATACTAAGCCCTTTCTAAAATTTTCTCTCACAGATCACAATGGCAACTTTGGTAATGCTGTTTGGCACCAATACTGTTTGGAATCTGGAGTTTGCTGTTGAATGGAAAAGTGAGATGAAGTTGCATGTATCTAGGCTTTTGTGCTGCTCTTCTAAGCAAAGGACTGACCTCAGTGTTCTTTGGAGTCTGAGGAGGTTTGGCCTTTAAAATTAAAACTGCCATGGGAACTGCTTTACCCAAAACTTTGGTTCACAGCCTTCATTGGATTAGCTATTGGGGCAAACAAAGTAAAAGCAGTGAGCTTGTATTACTATCTCATGGCTAGAGTTACGAGGTAAAAGCTGTTAGATCTTCATCTGTGTGTGTGTATACATGTCTAGATGTGTTTACTTGTAAGTATACTTATTTTTATATATTGCATCTACCAAATTGGCTTGTAAGTAAAAGAGCACTCATAAATGAAATAAGTCTAGGCAATTTTCAAGTTCATGTGACTTAAGTATAACTTTACTAAATGAGCTGGTTTCAAAATTATTGGTAAAATTAAAATAGAAATGCCTTGAGAATTGGCAGCATAAATTTTTTTCTGTATTTTATATTGGTCTCTGCCAGATATTTTGAGGTGTTAGGGTTTAGCATAGAAGGTTATAAAACTCTAAATCTAACCAAAACAAAATGATCTTGGTTTGCATGCCTTCATTTTTTTTTTTTTTTTTTGACAAATGAGAGTAATTTAATGTTTTTAGCTAAATCTTCTGAGTTACTGGCAAAAATACCTATGTATTTAACTCTGAGCCTCTTAGGTTTAGGTGAGCATCTGATGTTCTTTGGCTATTAATAACATGGTTAACAAGAAAATAACTTTAAATGATAGTGTCTAATATCTCAGTTTACAGAAGCAATCTAGATAAACTGTTAAAAATAAAATAATTGAGTACAGTGAATGGGATAAAAGTTTTAGGTAAACTTTTTCTGTAAATTAAAATCTTAAAATTATTTTTGATGCTCATTTAATATCTGGATCATTTCCAATTAAGAAAGGGCTCTGATATGAGGAACAATGTTTCTAAAATTGTAAAATTGTTCTTATCTATAAATGCTTATATCTAATAGTTCAGGATTTCTTGCTTTTTAGGGTTTCACTAAAGTTTTAGGTTACTAATGATAAGAATTCTAGTTAACACACAATTCTGTATGCAAAATGTGCCATAAAGTGTTGTGTTATTAGTGAGAAAAAGAATATTTTTTCTAATTCAGAAATTATTTAAAAGTTAGTTCAAATTACAGATTTGAAAAGGTTATTTATGAAACAATGTAGTAAGGAACCAGTAAGTAAGGGAGAAAGATGTGGAAAAACTTTAGATAATAAAATATTCTTTAAAATCTGATAGAGTTGGAGAAATTTGGCTAATTAACATTTTCATAGTTAAAGCTTTTAGTCTTGATTAAAGTCAAATAAAAAATACTGTAAGGAAATGTATTAGCAGTTTTTTAATACAGTTAAGCATAAAGCCAGATAGAGTGTGGAGTCAAATTTCACATATGTGCTTGCATTCTTTCACACTATGTTCACTGTTTTTTTTTTGTTGTTGTTTTGTTTTGTTTTTGAGATGGAGTCTTGCTCTGTCACCCAAGCTGGAGTGCAGTGGCGTGATCTCGGCTCACTGCAAGCTGAGCCTCCCAGGTTCGTGCCATTCTCCTGACTCAGCTTCCCCAGCAGCAGGGACTACAGGTGCACGCTGCCATGTCTGACTAATTTTTTTGTATTTTTAGTAGAGACGGGGTTTCACCATATTAGCCAGGATGGTCTCGATCTCCTGACCTTGTGATCTGCCTGCCTCAGCCTCCCAAAGTGCTGGGATTACAGGCATGAGCCAACATGTCCAGCCTATGTTCACTGTTTTGCACAGATAATGCTGACACTGGAGTACTTATTGGTCACATGCCCAGAGTGAATTTCTTGATTTCACAGGATGTATGGTGATATTGGTCGACTTAAGAATATTGAATTGTGTATCAGGAATAAAATATTCATTATGTGGGTTTGAGGGGCCCTGGGTAACAGTGTAAGCCCCAAGGTAGATTGAGTAAAAAAAAAAAATTAGGATTGGTTTCCTGTTTATTTGTTTTTGCTTCTGACTTTTATTCATTTGTTCCTTATTCTCCTCTGGGTTTTGCTTGTGTATCCATATATATAAAACAATGGGTTTTTTGTTTTGTTTTTTTGTTTTGTTTTGTTTTGTTTTGTTTTTTGTTTCTGGTGGAAGGCTTCTCTTTGGTTCTGTGAATAGTTATTTTCTTTCTTATTCATTTCTAGCAAGTCATCATTTGTTCCATTTATCTGGAATTCCTAGGCTACCTTTGTCATGCCTGCTGGAATTGATGGAGCACATCAGCTTTTTAACCTTAAAGTAACTCTTTGGATAATAGGCTCCCTGATACTTTAAGTGTATTGAGTATACTTTCACAAAGAGAATTTGAGTCATGTATCTTTCTCTGTGCCTAATTTCTCCAAAATTTTAGAACTATTTGTGAATGTTCTTAATACATGGCAATGTGTTTGTTTGCATAGTGTCAAGCAGGATCATTAGGGCTGCTCAAGGAAGGAGAACCCAGAAACCTGACATGCTGGCAAAGAGGTAAGAATTTCTTACCAGTTGGACTTCTGGCCTCCTCTCTCTCTATGTGAACTGGTCGAATGAATGGTAAAAATTACTGTTTATCTCCTCCGTAAAGTTTTGATTAATGTGAAAAGAAATTCTGAGGCTAGTCTTAAGCTGCAGCAAATTTGGTATATCTTGTGCTATAAATTTGTCTTTATGTGTTGTTCTGTCATGAAGAGGAGTACCTTAGGAGAGAATACGGTCTTAGGACCCCATAAGCTCACTGCTCAATATGACACAGCAGGCTAGTCAGTAACAAACTTTGCTGCAGTTTGCTGAAACAAAAATAACTGGATGAGGTCTCCATCTTGCTTTATGTCCCTGGGAGCTTGACCCTGTAACCATGTGGAAGTACTTTCTCTTAGTCTCTGCCATCCAGAAGAAGAATTTTGGGGTTCATGTCATAACTCTAAAAATTTTCTTGAGTATTTGGAAGCCTTTACAAGCTTATAATGAACTACTCTAGACTCCTTCTCTGAAGGGCAGTGGAGAATGCCCAATGTTGCCGATCTGCAGCTGGGGCTTTGCCATTTTATAGTGGTGGCCCAGATTCAATCCTGGCTTGGGGAATGAGTCCTTTCTGGTTTGATATCTGTGTGACCTTTACCATTTGTTTGTTCTCTTCCCCTCCATGAACTATCTTGAAATTGTCTTTCTCTGAGCACCTTGGACAGTACCTTAGGTAACATTCAAAAGACAGAAGTATTGGCCACTTAGTGTGGCTAAAGTTGGGAAATAAGAGACTTAAAAGAGTTCTTTTTTTTAGAGTGCCATGGTTAAAATCAGCTTAATTAAAAGTGGATATCCAAGCTACAGGTATATTTAAAAAGGTTTTTTCTCTTCTTGGATCTTGTTTTTCTGGAAAATTTTTTTCTCAGTCAACGGAATTACTTTCTTCCATTTTGTCTTGTCACTCTTAATGCACACATTTGAGGCCCTGAGATAACTTCTGGTAGCCTGGGACTCCTTGAGAAAAACAGATGAGGTGCCATAAGACCTCATTTTGGAAAAACCTCTGTTTTCTCTGTTTTCCTCATGAAACTCTAGTATTTAAAAGTGGATAGATCCCTCTCAAAATCTAAGGCTCTGTCCTGTTTTGCATTGTGTTATCAGATGATCTTGAGTTTGTTGGGGAGTATCCGAAATTACTTCTCATTATGAGAGAGCTTTGGTGTGTAATAATTAGGTAGGAAATACACTTTTGAGGATGGCTAATGGCAGTTATCTGGGTGATACTCAGCTCTTTGCACATTTGGATTAGAGAAGCATGATCTTGACCACCTAGAAATTATGGAAATTTCTCCAATCCCCTCTGAGAGAGAAGACTCCCAGGGAAGATGGCTGATTCCCTCTTTTTGTGATCCAGTATCTGGTATAAAAATGGGACCCTTAATTTTGGGGATCTGTATTTTACTTCCAGCTGTGCCTTCTTATTAAACCCTAGAAACTACATGTTTTCCTAGCCCTGTTTTTTGAAGGGCTCTACCCTGAGGCCAGTAATCCAATCAAAAAACAGGCAAATGAAAAATCTTACAACTATTAGATCTTCTGTCTGTGTAGTTATAGGTGTGTTATGTGTGTAATGTTTATATAAAAGAGCTCTAATTAATTGGCTTAAAGAAAAATAAGCATATTTGATCTAAATCAAATATTTTGAAAGAAAAATAAAAGCTGTAATGACTTTTAGTTCACATGATTTTAGTAATCTTTGGGAATTAAAAACAGCTTTAAAACTTACTGGTAAAATAAAGACATTTGATCTAAAGTAGGCTGGTCGAATATTAAGTTTGCTAAATGCTTTAAGGTCATAAACTGCTTCTTTGGGCTTTTAAAAATTGTTTGACTTGCCTGCTTTACAGCTACATAAGGACTGAAGACATGTGAACTTGGCCACGCCCCTAGCTATGATGGAAATAGTGAGAACTTATAGGCACCTAGTACATATTTAAAATGACTTACCAGGTTTTTCACCAAAATTAAAAGATAATGAAAGATTTTTCTTTGCCTTTTGAATAAACTACCAAAAAAAAAAAAAAAGCAGGGTGGGGGGGAAGATAAGAGACAGATTGTTTGGAAAACTAAGTCTTCCCTCTATCAATTAGTAAAGGTTTTGACCTTTTAAAATTTTTGAGTCATCATTTTGGCTAAATGAATGACTTATTGTAATATGAAATTCAATGTCATAATATCAAGTGTTTTAAACATTTAACATATTTGATAGTCTTCCCAAAATCAAATTTCAGCTTCAAAATTGTCTTTTCTGACCTCTAACTTTGAGATGCTACAGAAGTCCCCTGAGCATGAAAAAAGAGTTAAACAAGATTATTTGACACTTTTAATTATGTGGAAACATTGTTAAAATAAAAAAATAATGTTTAATTTTCTTCAGGTTATATTTTTGTGAATGATATTAATATTGAATACCAAGAAAATACTTTGCCAGATTTTCAATGAAATCAACTGATACTGAAATTTTTGGTTATATAATTTGAATAAACTTCATGGCCCCTCTAAGTCAAATTACTTATGCTAACTCATTAGTTATCAGTGCTATGTACCTAAATTGGAGAAAACACTAGTATTCAAGAGGACATAGTCCAATGTTATGGGGAACAGTTCTCATGGGGAACCAGGATGTCCTCATCTTTTCTAAGTCTTAAAAGCTTTTTTTTATTAAAGGTAATGCATTCCATGACTCACTATGGAAAGATAAAATGATCCAAATTAAATATATTTTGGTGTGCGTACTGATAAATTGCTAAAATAGCTTATAATCAATGTTTACCTTGTCAAATCCATATTTCTGGGTAGATGATCAAAGCTCTGGGTACATTTGACTACCTGATGGGCCATTTGAACATTTCAATTTTCATTTTCACTGCATGTTTTCTGGTTGTATAAAAGCTTTCTCATGCAAGAGCTTTTATGCACAAGTGAGAACCTGACCAGAAAGGGAGAAATTTTTTAAACAAAATTATGAGAGGCCATTGTTTTAGACTGAGCTCATGTGCTAGGCCCCAACAGACCAAACCAAACTGAAATGGAGTCATTCATGCTAAGACATTAAGGAAACACATAGATCTCAGAACAGACCAGGATTTTTCTCCTGCAAATCTCTATAAGAAACATTCCTGACAGCATAGGTATCCACCCCCTGAAGTTTCCCTTAAATATTTTAACCAAATTCATTTCCTGTCACCTAGAGACCATCAAGCTTCAGATGATCATGTGATGAGGGTTACAGCCAGTTCCAAGTAAAGATATCACCCCTGGTTATCAAGAAGCTACCCTGTCTTCACTAGAAAGAGCAGGACAAGAGTTCCATGATCCCCAATAGGTAAGGACTATGCTCCAAGCCAGCATGAAGCAGTTCCAGAATAAAGACCATTGGTCCCTCTTCCTCACATAATTGTAGGCATCATGTCTTTCCAGGGGGAAGATGAGGCAGGATATTAGGGTCTCAAAGCAGGGAACCTAAGGACTTCCTAGAACAAAATCAAATGGAAAACCCCAAACTTTATAAGACCAAGTATATAACTTTGTAACTCTACTTCAGATATGAAAGGAAACATCCTCTTCATTTGCATAGGATGTGCACCAAGTAAATAACTTTGTAACCTTACTTCATCCTCGTCATTTGCATAGGGTGTACACAAAGTGAATAACTTTGTAAATTCACTTCAGCCTCTTCATTTACACAGGGAGTGCACCAAATAACCAGTGGGAAACCTTTAGAGGATATTTAAGCCCCCCAAAATTCCATAACTGGACCCTTGTGGCACTTGTTCAGGCTCACTCCCACTCTGTGGAGTGTGCTTTCATTTTCAATAAATCGCTGCTTTTTTTGCCTCATTCTTTCCTTGCTTTGTTTGTGTGTTTGGCTTAATTCTTTGTTCAAAACAGCAAGAAGCTGAACGTCCTCCATCAGTAACACTATCGGTGCTTGGTACTGGCTTTGGGCTCTTTATAGCTCAAAATGATAAAACAATTTGCTGAGGTCTGGGACCTCCTTTCTCCAAAGATCCCTGAACTTTCAAAATTTTTTAGTTGGGGACTGAGGTTTAATTTGCTGCTAAAAAAATTTCTGTTTTCCTGAGAGTTTCTGCTTGCTTCTGTTGATGAAAATAGTTAAACTCTGTAAAATATTTAAAGAGATTATTTCTGAAACATATATCAGTGACCATGGCCCTCAGGAGGTCCTGGAAACATGTGCCTAATGTGGTCAAATGTATTTTAAAAATACTTTGGTTTAGTCCAGAAATGTGGGACACCTCAAAATGGAAGGAGGAGTGCTTCCAGGTTATAGGTAGATTTAGAAGTTTTCTGGCTGACAACTGTTTGAGTTTATCCAAACACCTGGGATCAACAGAAAAAAATTTCTGGGTTGTTATAAGTGATTGTGGAGACCACAGTTTTATCATGCAGATAAAGCCTCTAGGTAGCATTTTAAAAAGGAGATGAAAAGGAGACAGAGTGAGAAGTTAATATTCCCCTGAAGTCTAGCAATCTCTGGCCAAATTTTTCTCTAAAGTTATGCCATTAAGCTGTCCCTCTGAAGTCAAGCTGCTTCTCTCTGACATCCAGCCATAGTCTCTGATGTCCAGCTGCTTCTCATTTCTCTGCTGGCTGACCCTGAGGTTTTTATAGGTAGAAAATGGGAGGTGAGGTGGGCCATGGGTGGTTTTGGAAAAGGCAAAATTCAAGCAGATGTTAAGTTCTCACTTAGGCCCTGGTTTCAGGCTATTCAGCTGAAAGCTTCTTAAACTAATAAGGACCTTCAGCAAAGTGTCAAAATACAAAATCAATGTGCAAAAATTACAAGTATTACAACAGGAGGCTCTGCCTCCTGTTCATATCACTGATACACTGTGCCAGGTAGCTGCAACATGGGTGGACAAAACAAGTTCAGGGAGTAATGGCCGTAAAAAGCTAGGTCTGCAAGCAGCACACTTTGGGCCCAACACACTCCCTGACTTGGTCAAATCTGAAGGAGAACTCTAAATTATGGAGAACTGGGCCTCTAAGCTAGCTAAAACCCCTGCATCTTGGAAACATAAAGTTCCACTCTTAGAAACTCTGGTAGGATATATGCAAAATACTTCTGGTGAATTGTCATGTAAATATTTAATTAAGTAGACCATTATAACATAACCAAAGCAGATCCTAAGTTATAATGGCCTAGATGAGGATTTTTTTGAGATGCCCAGATAAGTGTACCTGAGAACTAGAATGGAAAATGCTGACACAAAAGCTAAACAAACAAAATGTGAGAACTACTTTCAATGGTACCTATAGAGTAGCAAAAAACGGGGGAGAAAGACCGCCTCATCATCAAGAGGCCAACAAACAACTTAGAAATGCTAACCAATAACTCTCAAATGTTTTATCTCTCTAAAAGAAATCTTCAGAATTTCCTTTTTTTCTAATTTAATTTTTTTTTTTTTAAGTTCCAGGACACAAGTGCAGGATGTGCACTTTTGTTACATAGGTAAATTTGTGCCATGGCGATTTGGTGCACCTATCAACCCATCACCTAGATATTAAGCCCAGCATGCATTAGCTATTTGTCCTGATGTTCTGCCTTCCCCCACCCTCCCAGCAGGCACCAGTGTGTGTCATTCCCTTCCCTGTGTCCATGTGTTCTCATTGTTCAGCTCCCACTTATAAGTGAGAATATGCAGTGTTTGGTTTTCTGCTCCTGTGTTAGCTTGCTGAGGATAATGGCTTCCAGTTCCATGCATGTTTCTGCAAAGGACATGATCTTGTTCCTTTTTATGGCTGCATGGTATTCCGTGGTATTCCATAGTATTCCATGGTGTATATATGAATGGGAGTTAATTCATGGTTTGGCTCTCTGCTTGTCTATTGTTGGTGTATAGGAATACTTGTAATTTTTGCACATTGATTTTGTATCTTGAGACTTTGCTGAAGTTCCTTATTAGTTTAAGAAGCTTTTGGGCTGAGTCAGTGGGATTTTCTAGATATAGGATTAGGTCATCTGCATCTGCATATGTACCACATTTTTTTTACCAGTCTATTGATTGGCATTTGTGTTGATTCTATGTCTTTGCTATTGTGAATAGTGTTGCAATGAACATACATGTGCATGTATTTTCACAATTGAATGATTTATATTCCTTTGGGTATATACCCAGTAATAGGACTGCTAGGTTAAATGGTATTTCTGGTTTTAGGTCTTTAAGAAAGCACCACACTATCTTCCACACTGGCTAAACTAATTTACATTCCCACCAACCGGGTAAAAGCATTTCGATATCGCCACAGCCTCACCAGCATCGGTTTTTTTTTGGCTTTTTGACAATGGCCATTCTGACTGGCATGACATGGTATCTCATCATGGTTTTGATTTGCATTTCTCTAATGATCAGTGAGGTTGAGCTTTTTATAATATGTTTCTTGAATGCATAAATGTGTTGTTCTGAGAAGGGTCTGTTCATGACCTTTGCCTACTTTTTGATGGGGTTGTATTTTCCTTGTAAATTTGTTTAGGTTTCTTGTAGACTCTGGATATTAGACCTTTGCCAGATGGATAGATTGCAAAATTTTTTTCCCATTCTGTAGGCTTTCTCTTTGCTCTGATGATAGTTCCTTTTGCTGTGCAGGAGCTCTTTAGTTTAATTAGATTCCATTTGTCAATTTTTGCTTTTGTTGCAATTGCTTTTGACATTTTCATCATAAAATACGTGGCTGTACCTATTTCCTGAATGGTATTGCCTCGATTTTCTTCTAGGGTTTTTATAGTTTTGGTTTGTAAGTTTAAGTCTTTGATTTATCTTGAGTTAATTTTTGTATAAGATGTAAGGAAGGGGTCCAGTTTCAATTTTCTGCATATGGCTAGCCAGTTTTCCCAGCCCTATTTATTAACTAAGAAATCATTTTCTTGTTGCTTGTTTCTGTCAGGTTTGTTGAAGATCAGATGGTCGTAGATGTGTGGTCTTATTTCTGAGATCTCTATTCTGTTCCATTGGCCTACGTTTCTGGTTTTGTACCAGTACCATGCTGTTTTGGTTACTCTAACCGGGTAGTATAGTTTGAAGTCAAGTAGTGTGATGCCTCCAGCTTTGTTCTTTTTGGTTAAGATTGTTTTGGCTATACAGGCTCTCTTTTGGTTCCATATAAATTTTAAATTAATTTGTTTCTGATCCTATGAAGAATGTCAATGTTAGTTTAATGAGATTACCATTGAATCTATAAACTACTTTGGACAGTATGTCCATTTGCATGATATTGATTCTTCCTATCCATGAGCATAAAATGTTTGGTTTGTGTCCTCTCTGATTTCCTTGAGTAGTGGTTTGTAGGTCTCCTTGAAGAGGTTTTTCACTTTCCTTGTTATCTGTATTTGTATCTTATTTTCTTTGTGGCAATTCTGAATGGGACTTGATTCATGATATAGCTCTCTGCTGGTCTATTGTTGGTGTATAGGAATACTTGTAATTTTTGCACATTGATTTTGTATCCTGAGACTTTGCTGAAGTTCCTTATTAGTTTAAGAAGGATTTGGGCTGGGTTGATGGGATTGTCTAGATACAGGATTATGTCATCTGCAAAAAGAGAAAATTTTACTTTCTTTCTTCCTATTTGAATACTATTTATTTCCTTCTCTTGCCTGATTGCCCTGGCCAGAATTTTCAATACCATTTTAAATAGGAGTGGTGAGAGAGGGGATCCTTGTCTTGTGCTAGTTTTCAAAGGCAATGCTTCCAGCTTTTGCACATTCAGTATGATACTGGCTATTGGTTTGTCATAAATGGCTCTTATTATTTTGAAATATGTTCCATCAATACTTAGTTTATTGAGAGTTTTTAACATGAAGGGATGTTGAATTTTTTATCAAATGTTTTTTCTACATCTATTGAGATAATCATGTAATTTTAGACTTCAGTTCTGTTTATGTGATGAATTACATTCATTGATTTGTGTATGTTGCACCAGCTTGCATCCCACAGAAGAAGCCGACTGGATTGTGGTGGATAAGCTCTTTGATTTGCTGCTGGATTTGGTTTGCCTGCATTTTATTGAAGATTTTTGAATCAATGTCCATCATGCATAATGGCCTGAAGTATCCTTTATTCGTTATATCTCTGCCAGGTTCTGGTATCAGGATAATGCTGGCCTCATAAAATGAGTTAGGAAAGATTCCCTCCTTTTCAACTGTTTGAAATAGTTTTAGAGGAAATGGTACCAGTTCCTCTTTGTACCTCTGGTAGAATTCAGTTGTAAATTTGTCTGCTCCTGGGCCTCTTTTTGTTGTTGTTGTTGGTAGGCTACTCATTACTGCCTCCATTTTAGAACTTGTTATTGGTCTATTCAGGGATTCAAATTCTTTCTGCTTCAGTCTTGGGGGGTGTATGTGTCCAGGAATTTATCCATTTCTTCTAGATTTTCTAATTTATTTGCATAGAGCTGTTTATAGTATTTTCTGATTGTTGTTTGTATTTCTGTGAGGTCAGTGGGGATATCTTTTTTATTATGTTTTATTGTGTCTATTTGAAAATTCTCAGAATTTCTTACTTCCCATTTGGTGCCCCCCACACCTCCACCTCCACCCTCACTTTACTCTGATCTTTCTGAACTTCCTTGACCAGATCTCTTTTCTCTTTCTCCTGCTTGTTCCAAGCTACCATCTTTCCCTCTGTCTGCCACTCACTCAACAGAAGTCAGAAGAGAGACTAACTTCCAAGACTCTACCTCCTGCCTATTCCCTGATATCCCTGCTGGCAACTTCTCATCTGGAAGATGAAGGAAAGGGGGACCCTGCAAGAACATCTTATATGATTATTCTTTTTCAGGAACAACTGGTGCAGGTAAGGAAACCTCATTGATTGTCTATCAACCCTGGTCTCATTACCAGAACCTGTGACCTATGTCATTCAGACCTTTAGCAGCTGTTCTGCATTTTGGTCTCAGAATTAATACTAAGAAACAGCTAGAAAAAGCACACCAGTCAAGCCCTATAGCTCACTTAGTCCCTGAAGGCCCAATAGTGCCACAATAACCAGCCCCCAAACATCCAGAAGACAAGCACAAAGATACATGGAAATGAGTGACTGCTCTGTTAAATATCATTCTATCATTATTCTAAAGAGTTGTGGGTTGGAATAAAATCCAGTAATGTTGCCAGAACCCAAGTGAATCAGCTTTAGTTTATTGTACACATTTTAATAAAACTTTGAGACAATATTGTGGGATGTCAACTGATTGCTTTGAAAATAATAAAAATGATACATTATTAAACACAAGTTTCTTAAACAGATTAGAAGACAATTTAGCTAGCCTTGTAAAATGCCATATGACAAAGTGGGGCACAACCAGAACTAATGAACTAGTTAACTTAGCTGACCAATTATCTCGTACTATGATAAAAAAGGAAAACCAAAAGACTGTTTGAATCATGCATTTACAGTTAAAGCAATTAACTTCTCTAACCTCTCAGCCTCAAAAAAATATTAAGCCCTCTTAATCTGAGGACTCTTCCTTTCCAGTCTGTTACTGCTGTACCTCAGAAGGGACTGCCTGAGACTGAAATGGAAGCAACAGCAGGAAGGTGCAACTCAGGAAGACTAGGGGTGCTCTGAGAAAGTTAAAGGGTTTCATCTCTGCAAATATTCTACCCTGACAAATTGAGAGAGATTAATATAATAAACCATGAGTGTTCATCTGCCTTAATTGACATGGGAGCAACTATAACTTTTATAAATCGTACCTTATTTAGAAACCCCATTTCACAGAGTGATAAAAGGTTTAACATGGTTGATGTGTCTGATCAAACTATCTCATGTTTTAAGTCCATATCTATAACTTACACTTTAATTGGATTGAGCTTTCCCCTTGAAGGCTCTAAATGTGACACACTTAGTTTGTCCCATGTGTTTCTAATAAACTGTGGGACCTTCATCAATGTTCTGGGCTATGATATCCTCAAGATCCATAATGCCCATATCTCTTTTTCATCAAACGATAAACTTTTTTTAAGAATTCGAGACAGGAGATAAAAAATTCCAAATTAAAAAACATCCAGATAATGTACCAGGATTTAGTACTAATGATGTTAAAACACTACCTTGTGACTGGGAATATGAAATAGAAACAGAAAATAAAATATTACAGGAGAAGAGAGAACATTGGAATAAAGGGCAGAGAATGGTAAATTTATTTTAGCCTCCCCAATCTTTCTGTTAACTTCAGAAGCAGAGCATTTGCTTAAGAGTATACCATCCCAGTCAAATACAGACATAAAGAAAATATTCTCAAGCACACCAATAAAGGTTGAGATACACTCTAATAAACCACTACCCAACTGTAAACAATATCCTCTGTGACAGAAAGCCATAGATGGAATTGCCCCATCATACAATATTAACTCAAAAGGGGGCTCATTATTCTTTGTACTTGTCCCTGAAAAAGCCCTATATTCTCTGTAAAACAAAAACAAAACAAGTGGGAGAGGATGATAATTCATACAGGACTTGAGGGCAGTAAACAATATCATAATACCCAGACACCCAGTAGTCCCCAATCCTCATACCCTTCTATCAGCTGTACTGACTGCCAGCCAACATTTCTGTTATGGATCTCTGCAATGCCTCCTTTAGAATTCCTGTAGATCCAGAGAGCCAATATTTGCTTGCCTTTACCTGGAAAGAATGACAATATACGTGGACTGTAAATCCCCAAGGGTATGCAGAAAATACCACTTATTTTTCTCAAATATTAAAGGCTGATTTACAGGATTTATTTTTTTTCCCCAGGGTGCAACAGTCATCCAGCATGTGGATGACCTTCTCACTTGTTCAGACACATATCTACTTTTCAGGAAGATATCTAGATTTACTCAAACAGCCACCGAGAGATACAAAGCGTCTAAAGACAGACTTCAGCTATGCCTGCCACAAGTTAAGTATTTGGGGCATATTATCTCAGTGAAAGGACTTAGTATTAACCCTGATAGAGTGAAAGAAATTTAATGTTTTCCAATACCTATTACTGAAAAACAACTTAGAGAATTTTTGGAACTGGCTGGCTACTGCAGGAATTAGATTCTGCATTTCTCTCTTATGGCTCAACCTTTGTATGCATACCTATAAAAATGAACAATCTGACTCCATCATGTGGACTCCAGAGAGACAATCAACTGTACAACAATTAAAGAAAACCCTTCTAAAGTTTCATCATATTCAAAGCCTGTCTGCCAGCTAGCTGGCCTCTTATAAAGTTTCATTTTTCATCTCCAAATATTACCATTTCCTTCTGTAACAATCTTAATCTGGGCACTCTCTTGCTGGGCCCTTTTGACAAAACCTCTCATGACTGTGTTCTTATGACTGCCCAACTTCCTACCCCAAAGACAGACCTACAGGAGATGCTACTGGATAAAGCTGTGATAGGTTGGGTATCTATCTATAAATGGGTCTTATTTAAGAGAAGAGCATGGAAATTTTAGAACAGGATATGCTACGGTTTTCTTACTAGAGGTAATTCAAAGCCAGTCATCTTTCCTAAGCGAGATCAGCTCAAATTACCAAATTGACAGCCCTGACCTGAGCTTGTCAATTGGCAAAAGACAAGGCTGAGAACATATCCACTGACTGTCGCTATGCATTTGGGGTTGCTCATGACAATCAGATGCTATGGAAGAAGAGGGAATATTTAACCTAAAGAAAACCCATTAAAAAAAAAAACAGAAAACAAGTATCAGTATCAGAGCTGTTAGGAACTATTCTAAACCCAGACTTTTGGCAATTCTAAAAATCCCAGGTCACTCTAAATTGGACATCACTGAAAGTTGGGGTAACCAATTTACTGAAGCTAACCTGAAAGAGCAGCATTCGAGCCACCAGTCTCAATCTGGGAAATGGCCATAAAATCGAAAGCAGTTAAGAACATGTTGAAGGAAACTCAAAGCATTGCCCCAACTAAAGAGATATCTACTTGGAAACAGAAGGAAGCCTATCTTCTGAAACTGAAATATGGTGTAGACCTAATAATAATCCCATTACTCCAATGGGATGTCAAATGCCCCTTATGGAATATGTTCATAATCTGACCCATTGGAATCCATATAAAATGATATTCTGGTGTAAACAATATTACTGAAAACTGAAACTGAAATACAGTATAGACCTAATAATAACCACATTATTCCAATGGGATGTCAAGTGCCCCTTATGAAATATGTTCATAATCTGACCCTTTGGAATCCATATAAAATTATATCCTGGTGTAAACAATATTACTGAAAACCATCCTCTATGACAGCACAAAATGTTTACTCCCAATGTGTTAGTTTTCCCAGATATAACCCATGGAATTTCCTCCATGGGGCCCAGGGTCATTTTCCTCTTCCAGCTGACCTTTTGAGGTATGGCAGCTTGATTTTACTCAGCTGACATTATCTCAGGGTTACAGATATGTTTTAGTAATGGTCTGCATATTTTCCCATCAGGTTGAAGATTTTCCCTGCAGGCAAGCAACAATAATGACAGTTAGAAAATTCTATTAGAAAAAAGTTATTCCATTATGGGGAGTCCTCTGTAAACTTCACAGTGTTACTGTGAAGTTTTACGGGCAAGATTATTCAAAATATTTGTAAAATTGGGTCCGTATTTTAACACTTTCATTGTGCCTTTATCCCAGTCCTCATGGCTGGTGGAAAGGACCAATGGAATAATTAAAACACAACTGGCTAAGTTCATAGAGGCATTTCACCTCCCCTGGCCCAAAGCACTCCCTGCGGTGCTGCTTATATTCCAATCCACCCCTTTTAGAAAACATCAGCGATCCTCTTATGAAATTATAAGGGGAAGGCCTTTGTGTATGGGAAGCAAAATAACCAACCCAACTTTTTAAAATGGAGGTATATATATTGCAATATTGTAAGGGAGTCATTCATCATAGTTTTTTAAAAAGCCAAGATTTGGCTTATTTGAATTTGTCAATTCCTTTCACAGTTGACTATCTGAAGACAGGGTACCTGGTCATAATCAGTAGCATGGAGACCTTGGCTTTTAGAAAAAAAACATTTAATAAAGGACTCCCTTCAACCCCAATGGAAGGGCCCATACCAGACACTATTGACTAATCCATGTGCCACGAAAATAGTGGGTATAGGCTCATGGAATCACTGCTCTCATCTTAAAAAGGCTAAATCTCCTGAGTGGACTGTAACTTTCAGCAAAGATCTTCAACTCCAATTTACTAAACACTGATATTCTATCCAGGATGAGAATCAAATGACATGTTGTGGACTGCTTAAATCCAAGACACAGGACCGGGCCTATATACAAAAGAACATCTATGGTTATAGTATAATAGCCATTACAATTATTGTCCAAGAGATATTGGCAATTGCTATCTTATGCAAAATGGCACTTGCCTTTTCTTATTTAATATCCTTTTAGTAGTTAAAAAGAATTTCAAAACCTTGCTTCTACTTATCTTATGTTTCTATGCATTCTTGCCACTGCTACCCACTGTTGTCCATAAAAGAAACCTGTTTCTACAATGGGATCAGAATTATGCAGACAGATTACAAAAGGATGCCTGCTGGATATGTGGACTCATGACTCTTTCCAGTAGATCTAGCCTGCTATGGTGGGCATCTCCTTTTCAAGGTGAGGACTGGATAAAATACCATAAAGTTATTATATCACAGAAATGGTCTGGTATCCTTAGTGGCTAATATAAGAAAAGATGGTGTATATAATTGCCCATTCAAAACATTCTTAAGAGCAAGGCCTATGGAAAAAGTTTCTCAACAGAAAGGTTAAGTTCACTAACTCTAACTTTAGCAACACTGCTAGCAAAAAGAGAAGGAAATAACCATGCTGCACCTCAAACAATGGCCCATTTTCAAAATGGCATAATGAAACTTTGGAATCGGTTCATCTGGCTCACCCCTTCATTTGGCAAACTCGGCCAAAATGCTTCTTTATGCTGGGGAACAAAGAAACTACACCAAGGGCCAATTGCCAAAACACTTCAAGAGATATGGGGTGAATACCTGGAGAACTTTGTTATCTCATTATTATATTATAATACACTGACTGGCATGCCACTGATTGGGTACAGCAGCCAGGTATTTATTAGCTATTTCCAAATGGGACATTTTGGCTATGTGACACTAACCTATGGCCGTGGTTATTGCCAAGATGGTTCAGACAATGTTCTCTAGTTTATGCTTGGGCACAAGGACAAGTAATTCAGTCTCTGCCAAAACCAACAAACCTTTTTCATTTACAATCTCACTGCACATGATCTGTATTTCAATGGTATTGATGCAGAGTTTTTGCTGCTTAGTTCAGCTAAATTGAGGTTCTTTTATCATGATGAGGAAAAATTAGTCACATGGACACATTGAAGGATGAGGAGAGCAGAATTTATTGGGTAAAAAGGAAAAAAAAGAAAAATTCTCAGCAAAGTGAAAGTCCTGCCAATAGGCTCCCACTTCACATATTAAACACCAGACCACCACACATGAGCTGAAGAGGTCAGGCTGCTCCCCACTGCACAAAGCATGAACTTCCCATGATTCTACCCCATCCTCCCAGTGCACAGATTGGTCCCCAGTCCATTGCAGGCATGCACAGAGAAAACTACAGGCAGGTTCCCTCATCTGCACAAAAGCGTATGATACAAACACTGGTGGAGTGGATTGGAGATTCTCCAGTGACCTCCCTTCTCTGCCTCTTGTGTCTATTATTCCCCCTCTAAATAAGTACATCTAAGTGCCATTAGAATAAGGATAATGATGCGGATGAAAACCAATCTTAACTGCTTTCTGCTGACAGAGGGTGCTGCTTTTGAAAAACAGCAGTCCAATCTGCCTCCAAGGCCTATCTAAGGGTCTCTGGCAAAAGGGGCCATAATTCAAGGCTCCAGTTGCATGACCATTTGGAGTTTGATGGCCTAAAGGTGAGAACAGACAAACGAGGTTATTAGAAAACATGTATTTAAATGAAACTTTAAAAGGGGGGGCAGTAAGGACAGCTCAAAAATCCTGAGGCCTTTACTGGTTTGCACAGAGAGAGGGAGGCCAAAAGCCCAACTGGTAAAAAAATTTTTAGCCTTTTGCTGGCATGTCAGGCTTCTGGTTTCCCTTCCCCTGAGCCCAATCCTAAGCCAACCAGTTTAAGGTCTGGAAAATTAACTTTTCCCAGCTTGAAGGATGTATCCAAAGGGAGTGTCCCACAGTACAGAGACACACTTACCTATCAGTGAAGAGAGGACGGAGGAGGAAAAAAAAAAAAAGAAAGAAAAAAAGAAGCCATTTTTCAAAGGAGCCCCAGGGGTTCAGGATGCATTTGAAGGAGGTACAGACTAAAGATGAATGGCTACTCATTTAGAAAGAAGGAAGCAAAGTGTCCCAGTTTCCCTTCTCTTCCTAGTGAATATCCAGCATATGTGAGTGAGAGAAAGTGAGGTGTTTTTCTGTCTTCTTGTTCTTACATCCCCAATTCCCGGTGACCATGACAGGGTTCTGGCCATGTGTGTTAAAGCAGCTTTCACCCATGTTAACAGGGGTGCCTAGGGGTTGGGCATATTCACTCTTACCCATGTACGTCCTATATACCCTGCTGTCAGATGCCTTCAAATTTGCTAGACCTCATTTATGCTGTGGATACTACCATGACCTTTATCCATGAAACAAGAAACTTGAGTTAATCAGCAGGAATCAGTCATGCTCACCTGCACTCTGCCTTTTAACTTCCATTATTGTCTGCCTCTAGATTCCTCAGATCCAGCTTTCTTTTCTAGGACTTTGACCTGAAGCTTAGAATTCAGTTTAGGACAAAAAAAAATGTGTCTCATGGGGGCTTTCATGGGCTCCTTATTATAAGCCAACTGCTAAGGTGAAGCTGCAGAATTTCTCCAATTAGAAAGAGAAAAGAATGTTTTGTGGCATGCCCAGATAACTTGTGGCTATAGTTATACTTGCCAAGATTTGGGTGCATGGTGCTTGGGTTTGGTTAGCTCCCTTGGTTTTACTTACCCAATAAGGAAACCTCCAGGTGATAGGCATCCTATTTATTTCCATCACCTGGCAGGATCTGCAGATAATTGCTCAGAACTAGAATATTAATCCATATTTTTACATTACCCATCCTTTTTTCTTCCTTTTGAGCTGTAGCCAGAGATTGCTGGTTGGTTTACATAAATAAGCAAGGTTAGTCTAAAATGTAGGAAAAAACTTAAAAACAACTAATGAGTCTAGGCTTTAATGACAAATGTATGACAAATTTTGAAACATAAGTTCTCTTTCTCCAGTCCTCATTTTCATTAAAAACAAATCGTGATAGGACTGAGTTGTTTGCAAAACAGGATTTAGTCTTATACTTGGCCTGATTATTTGCATAAAGTGCAGCAAGAATAATTATTTTTACATAGGACTTTTAGGTTGACTTTGATAACACTTTGCTCCACCTGGAATCTCAGATAGGACTTTCTAAAGCCCAGCCCAGCCATGGGTTTGTACCTTCAAGTACCTGTGAGTTGAGTAAACTCCTCTGTTTTTGAGGCCCCGAGAACATGATGTTCCTGGGCCTGTTAGAAAATAACATTCTTTACTCGCTGCAGATTAGGAACCCTGTACAAGGACAGTATAGACAAGATATGAGGCCAGTTTTCCCAAGGAGTTTTTGTCAGCTCTGCAAGTCAAGCTTGATTCCTTAAAGGGAAGCATACCCTTCCAGTCAAAGCCTTGGTAAAACAGCCAGTTTCTCCAATTGCATCCTGTTGAAGAAGAAAACAGACTCTTAATGCACGGAGGCAAACAACTATATTGCCATAAGTTAAAATACTCACAATTAGTTTCCAGATTCTGGAGAAGCCAGGAAGAATGAGAGAGACAAATATACTTAAAATTTTATTCACAGAAGTATACGTTACTGAATTATTAAATGCTGTAAGTAGCTAAAAATTTGACTCTGAAAAACAAAACAAGAATCAATAATGTTCCAAGAAAAAGTTCAAAAAATTATTTCAGTTGTCTATTCATTCAGTCCATTCAGTTAACTGTTGTTTTCCTTGATATTTGTGAACATTTTAGCTCTTCATGAGTCCTGTACATTTTTTCTTTATTCCAATGTTACAATCTCCAAAGTTCTTAGCAACCTACATTTGAGAGCACCTGTCAAAGATTCTTTTTGTTTGTTTGTTTGTTTTTTGAGACAGAGTCTCACTCTGTCAACCAGGCTGGAGTGCAGCGGTACAATCTTGGCTCACTGCAACTTCCACGTCCTGGGTTCAAGTGGTTCTCCTGCTTCAGCTTCCCTGATAGCTGGGTCTACAAGAACGCACCACCATGCCCAGTTAATTTTTGTATTTTTTTAGTAGAGATGGGATTTCACCATGTTTGCCAGGCTGTTCTCAAACACCTGACATCAAGTGATCTGCCTGACTCAGCCTCCCAAAGTGCTGGGATTACAGGTGTGAGCAACCATGACTGGTCAAAATTTCTATAGTTGATTATAAACCATATTTTGAAAAGGATTAACACAAGACAACAATTGTCCATGAATACAGTCAGAAACATGATTGACAGAGAAATTTTATTATCTCCTTGGTTTACAATAACTTAACATAACCTTGATTGTGATTGATAGCATATACTCAGACATTAGAATTTTAGACATTCCAAACAATTTTAGAGCATATATTAATATTATTCCCTAAAATATAACCTGAAGATTAAACATTATTTTGGCAATCCCAGATACCTAGACATGTTAACTAATCCTGTTTACCTTCCTTCTGGATGCTCCAGGGGCCCTCTGTAGCATCCAAAAGCCAGGCATCACGAAAGACAATTTTTAAACTGAAGTTTGATTTTTAGAAACCTGTTAAATGTTGGAGATTTAAAACACTTGATGTTATGAAATGGAATTACAGATTACCATAAATTATTTATTTTGCCAAAATGATGACTCAGACATTTAAAAAGGCAAAAACCTTTTATAAACTTTTAAAAATATCACTGAAGAACAGATTAATGCCTTAAGTACCTTGTTGTGCTTTTATTTCAATGATCAATTTACAAAAAAAAACCCCACTTAATACCCTTTTGAATTTAGCCAATATGTTCAGATGAAGAATTTCTTTTGCAAGTATAATTTTTACAATCCTTCCACAACTTGTTTGAACTTTTAGCTTTACTTATCTAATTTAAAACAATCTCTTAATCCTAGGCAAAAATTTACATTTTGACTACATTTGCACTTTACCAGTAATTTTTAAGGCTTTTTTTTTTTTTAATCAAAGAATAAAGTCACATGAACTAAAAGGTACAACAGCTTTTATCTTCTCTTTTGAAAATATTTGATGCAAGTGCTTATTTCTTGAAGTTAATTAATCAGAGATCTTTTTTTATAGACATTACACACACAACACTTATATAACTACACGGTGAGGCAGAAAAGAATCCAGTAGCTATAAGAGTTTTCATTTGCCAAACTCCTAATTGGATTATTGGCCTTTGGGTGGAGCCCTTTAAGGGCAAGACCAGGAAATCCTATGGTTTCTATGGTATAATAAATAGGTATAGCTGGAAGACAAAAACAGATTTTGAAAGGGATTTATCTGCCTTTAATTCCTGGGGCTCCATAAGGAAAACAGAGGTCTCTTCCCTCTCAGGCTTGTATTAAGAGTGGCAAGGCAAAATGGAGAAAAATAATTCAGTCAACTGAGTAAAAGCCTTTTTCCAAAAAAACAAGATCCAAGAAGAGAAAAACATAAAGGTCTATTAATTAGGCCTATAACTTGGATATTAATTTTTAATTAAGCTGAGTGCTCTTTAAGAAAATCCTTTTAAATCCCTTGTTACCCCCACTTTAGCTGTGCCAAGCAGCCAATATTTCTGTCTTTCAAACTTTACTAAAAGCTCAGAAAAAGGACTATTCAAGGTGGTTCATGGAGGGGCAGAGAATCAACAAATGGCAAAGGTCACACAGATTTCAAACCAGAAAGAACTCATTCCCTATGCCAGGATTGAACCTGGGCCACCATTGTAAAATTATGGAGGCTAAAACAAAGCACTGCTATGTGCTTACAGATCACACTCCCAAGAATGTAAAACAAGATGGAAGCCCTTAGTAAAGTCTGCTACTGACCATATAGAAAGACATGCAAAGCACACCGGATTGGCTACAGCTTAAGACAAACCTCACAAATATTTTTTCATAAATAAAACCTTACAGAGAAAATAAACAGTGATAGTTGGGGTTGTGGCTTGGTAAAATGTTTGCTAAAAGTAAAACAAAACTATTGCTTAAAAGTTAACTCTTGATCTGATGGAGAAAAGAAAAATAGCTTAAACTGCACAGTTGTGCTGTAACTGCTGACAGGGTACAGAAAAGGGACAAAAAAAGCTTAAAATGCAGAGTTGGAAAGACGCCTGGGGAAAGAACCTCTTATTCTTATGCAAATAGATTCCTCCAATGGGGAGAGAAGCTTAATTGCTGTCAGATAGAGCTGGACCCCCTGACTGGGGGAGGGGAAGACTCTACGGATGTATGCGGGGAACTCTGGCCAGCCTGCCATGTAGGGCCCAGGGCAGTGGCTCATTCCCACCTTTCATGACCATTGGATGCCACACACACATGCAGCTGACATGGCCTTGTGCCCCAGCTGGGAGAGAAGAGGGGTGGGGATCTGCCATTTGCCTGTCCATTCCACACACATTTCTGTGGCTGTTGAGATGGGATTGTACTCAGTTTCCTCTACCCTCAGAAGTCTAAAGAAAAAAAGTCTCAAGAATGAGAGGGAAGAGGATTTTTTGGTTCACATCTTACCCTTTCTCATGTCCCCATATGGGCCACCAAAATGATGCAGAATTTTTGCTCCTTAGTTTAGCTAAACCCAGGTTCTTTTGTCACAACCAGGAAAAATTAGGCACATGAACACATTGAAGGATGAGGAGAGCAGAATTTATTGGGAGAAAATGAAAAAAAAAGAAACAGTAAATCTAGAGGAAGTCCTGCCAATGAGTTCCCACCTCACTAATTGAATACCAGGCCACCACTCATGAGCTGAAGAGGCCAGGATCCAACCCCTTGGCCAAGGCACAAACTTCCATGGCTCTACCCCATTGTCCCAGTGCACAGGTGGATCTCCAGTCTGTTGTGGGCATGCACAGACAAGACGCTGGGCAGTTTCCCTTATCTTCACAAAAGCATCTAATGTAAACTCTTGTGAGGTGGGTCAAAGATTCTCCAGTTCCCCACTTATCTGCCTCCTGCATCTATCATTATGATCGTTTAGCTTCAGTCTTCATACCACAAATAGATATTGAAGATGTTATATGGCATATATGGCATTAACAAATGATACACAAAAGGTATACACAAAATGATATCCACATGAGTATCACTTTGCTAAACAATGAGGTCTCACTCATGAGGAAAGCAGTGCTGCAAAATTTTATGGCCTTAGATATACTCACTGGAGCCCAAAAGAGAACCTGCACCATCATAAAAGCCAAATGTGTTTATTTTTAGGAGATCATGTCTTCTAAATTTGTATCTGATTGTTTTCTCTGCCCTATTGTCTACACTATTTTATGTTAAAAGGTAGATTCACTGAGCCAGACAAAGGCATAAATGACTATCTTCCCCTACTTCCCCTCACAAAAAAAAATGTGTATTTCTCAATATTCCACCCTTTCCCCTTTAAATTTGAAACCCTCAAAATCATCTTGGGAGAAAGGTATAGACCTGTGTCCCAGGCGTGCATCCTTAACTTTGGTAAATAAACCTTCTAAAATGATGGAGATTTGCCTTGGTCATTTCCCTTGACTGATAGGAGACACCTTGTTTATCCTTGGTTAAGTCATAATCTTAAGGATTACTGGTTTTGGTGATTAAGCCTTAATCAAGATAATGGGAGTGTACCTTTGGTAAAAAGAAGTTCAAAAGCTAAAAATATCAGCTGTTTGTTACAGCTAAAATCTAAGCGTAAAAAATTTCAAAAGATGTACTTTTTTAAACAATAAAGCTCTATGGTCAGAAGTTAGCTTCATTAAAACCTGATATTAAAGCTATTCCTTCCTCTTTTCTGTCTTCAGTACAACATAAAAGTGTTACAGGTAGTTAGGTCTGAGCAGTGCAGGAAAGGGCTCTCCCCCCACCCACTAGAAATGTTGGGTGATGGTACAACAATTATTGCATTGCCTCTATAAAAAATGATAATTTGGTAGTGCCAGGGAGAAACCATTTCCTGATGGTCCACACCTGTTAACAACAAAATGTTAATTGAATGGAGACCCCAGGAGAAGCAACTTCCTGGGCATGCATGTTAAGAGACAAAAATGATGAAGTATTATCTTCTGGGGGTATATTCCATCAGTAAAGGGAAGAAAGCCTCAGTTGGTGATGCTTATAACTTCCTAAACACACTCTCCAGGCTCAATTCCAAAGGGTAAGGAAAGCACTGAGCATGTGAAAAGCCCAACCTAAGGAAAGAATCTTGGGAAAGAGGTGAACTTATTAAAGTTCTAGGATCACGGTTAAATGAGGAACTTGACCTTCTCTCTTTAACCTTCATGTTCCCACTTGGGTTTCTTCCAAGTGCACCTTCCTCTTTTTCTTGTTCCAAGGTCTTTTTAAATAAACTTGCATTTCTGCTCTGGAACTTGTCTCCATCTCATTTTCTGCTTTATGCTCCTCAGTTGAATTCTTCTGAGGATGCACGGACTGAAGTTGCTATGGACCCATAAGGATAGGCCACTGGTAACTCGGGGTGACTCAGATCTCCTCCACCAGTAACAAAAGTATCTAGAGTGGACTTCTAATTACTCAGACCCCTTAAAAACACAGAAAAAGGCACTACTCACATACTTTTTCAGTCTTCCCTGTTGCTCTAGGGTATTAAAAGGTTTTCATGCTCTAGTCATGGAAACGTTCCTCTCAGGTCTAATACTCTGCTCTTTTTTGTATTCTGTTACATGATATATTTGGCTCTTGGTGGTACTGGAGGTTACTTTATACCATGAGAGAACACCTGACCTTTGTGTGTGTGATGGCTGGTGAGTTGATGTTGAGAGTTGCAGTTTTGGAGGTGGCTTACAGCAGTTGTTTATGGTGGATATTTATTATTACAGGGGACTACTCCTATCTTTATGTGTTAGGTTGAGGACTAAACTTTGACATATTTTCTTCTCTTGCCCAAATTTCCTCTATCTAATGGGTGTGGGGAGTTATGCCATACAAATCATAAAGTCCCACCAGAGGGCTTTTATTTATCCCTATATAACATGACTTACTTTCCAACCTGACACTGGCATAACATCACATGACATATATATATATATATATACACACACACACACACATACACACACACATACATATACATATATCATGACATATATATATACACACACACACACACACACACATACATATACATATATCATGACATATATATATATACACACATATATATGTATATATTAACCCAAAATATGTTTATTTGCCATATCTTGAAATAGCCCTGCCAAGTTGTCTCTCATGGGGAAAAATCTACATTCTGTAGAGATTCCTCTTTCCTTTTTTCAGTACTTCTTCCTGATCTAAGAATCAACTAAGAGTCTGACACCTTTTTAAGTTTGATAAGAAACATTTACAATCTATTTTCTCTGAAGCCTGCTACCTAAAGGCTTCATCTGGACAAGAACCTTGGTCTCCACAATCCCTTATCTTAACCCAGACATTGTCTTTCTATTAATTCCAAGTCTTTAGACAAATTTTTTCAACTAGTTGCCAATCAGAAAATCTTTGAATCTGCCTATAACCTGGAGACCCCTACTTCCAGTTGTCCTGCCTTGTCAGACTGAATCAATGTACCTCTTACATATATTGACTGATGTCTCATGGCCCCCTAAAATGCATAAAACCAAGTTGTTGCCTGGCCACCTTGGGCACATATTCTCAGGGTTTACCTAGGGCTGTATCATGGGCCATGTTCACTCATGTTTGACTCAGAATATACCTCTTGAGATGTTTTACAGAGTTTGACTCTTTTCACCAAAAAGTGAAGAAAGGCATAGTTTAAAAACTTAGAAAAATATTTTGTAGTGAGGTGTGTTGTGAAAGTTTGGCCTAATCTCATGGCACTTTTTTCCTTTGGGGGACCCAGGATTCAAAGTAAAAAGTGGGATCCTTGATTTTTAAAAATCTAGATTCTCTGCTTTCCAGTTGTACCTTCTCCTCAAACAATTAAATATTAGGCCCTGAAAACTGCAAATATTTTATTTATCCTGTTCTTTAAAGGCCTCCACCCAGAAGTATGTAATCTATTCAAGAAGCAAGCTAAGCTGAAAAGACCACAATTTAACTGTACTGGTCTCTAAAATATGACTTTCTGACATTAAGCTGTTATTTTGAAACTCTTTCTAAAAGAAGTTTACATCTACAGAGGAAATCTTCATTTGGAAGAGCATCTCCCTGCTCCCAAGCCACTGGAAACTACTTTTACAACAGGGAAGACATTGGCTTAAAGTTTACCTGACTAATTGTACCTTTAAGATGCTTGGCCAGCACTCTTGTCTTGACTAAGCCTACACCTATCCCTTTGTCTCAGCAAATAATGTTGTTTAGATTTAAGATCAGTGCCTTTGAGATGTAAATTTTCACTTAAGGATCATCCTTTTAGAGGTGCAAATTTAGAGTTGCCTAGTTAACCATTGTTTAAAACTTGATAGTCAAAGGGGGGAGAGAAATTATTTACACACTGGGAAGTGAAGAACCTTATAATGCTAAATAATCTGCTTCTGTGTGTCTGTATGCCTATACATTTATATATTACCCTTGTAAGTGTGTTTTACTGCACAAATATATAAAAGAGCTCTACTTAATTGCTTAAAGAAAAATTAAATGCCTAAATCAAATACTTGATCAGAAAAGTAGAAAGTAACTCAAATGTCTTTTAGTTCTCATGACTTGGGTAATTAACTAGACAACACTAGTTAATATTTTTGGTTTAATAAAAACAGCTGTGACTTATGAACAGCAAAACACTTAAGTACCCTTGACTTCTTGCTTAAATGGCTACAGCCTAACATTTATACAATGTAAATGGTTAACAGGAAAATAACTAAAGATGATGGCTAGCTTTGTTCAATATCTTATAAAATTCTATGAACAGTTCAAACATGATTGAATGAAATAAATTAGGCATAAATGTTTCATAAAATGTTGGTATGTGGTGAATTTTTTAAATTACTTACATTCTAGGTTTACACAAAAGCTAAGGTTACTGAAATTTTAAACTACATATGTTAAAATTCTAATTAATATGTAATTAAAACTACCAAATTAAAGAAAATAATTTTTTAAAACAATGTTGTGGGTACGTAGTAGGTATACATTTTTATGGTTTACATGAGATATTTTGACACAAGCATGCAATACTTAATAATTACATCAGAATAAATGTGGTATCCATCCACTCAAGCATTTATCCTTTGTGTTACAAACAATCCAATTATATTGTTTTAGTTATTTTAGAAATGTTCAATTAAATTATTTTTGACCATCAACATCTTGCTGTGTAAGAAGATACCAAGTCTTATTCATTCTTTCTTTTTTTTATTCACTAACCATCCCACTTTCCTCTCATCCCTCTACTACCCTTTTCAGCCTCTATTAACCACCCTCTGCTCTCTATCTCCATGAGTTAAATTTCTTTAATACTTAGCTCCCATAGTGAGAATATGTGATATTTGTCTTTCTGTACCTGGCTTATTTCATTTAATATAATGACATCCACTTCCATCCGAGTTATCGCAAGTGAAAGAATGTCATTCTTTTTATGACTTGCTAGCACTCCAATGTGTATATGTACATTTTCTTTATCCGTCTGTTGAAGAACACTTAGATTGCTTTCAAATTTTGCTATCGTGTAGTGCTGTAATAAACATTAAAAGTAGATATCTCTTCAATATACTAATTTTCTTTCATTTGGGTATATGGCTAGATCATATGGCAGCTCTAGTTATAGTTTTCTGAGGAACCGCCAAGTTTTTCTCCCTAGTAGCTATACTAATGTACATTCCCACCAACAGTGTACAAGGGTTCCATTTTCTCCACATTCTTTCAGCATTTGTTATTGCCTGACTTTTGAATGAAAGATATTTTTACTGGGGTGAGATGAGGTCTTATTATAGTTTTGATATATATTTATTTGATGATCAATGATGTTGAGCACCTTTTCACATATCTGTTCACCATTTGCATGTCTTTTTTTTGGAGAAATGTCTGTACAAATGTTTGGCCCATTTTTATTTTTATTTTTTACCAGATTATTATATTTTTTTCCTATACAGTTGTTTGAACCTCTTATATATTCGGGCTATTAATCTCTTGTCATATGGGTAGTGTTCAAAAGTTTTCTCTCATTCTATTGGTTGTCTCTTCACTTTGTTGTTTTCCTTTCTGTGCAACAGTTTTTTAACTTAATGTTATCCATTTGTCCATATTTGCTTTGGTTGCCTGTGCTTGTGTGGTATTACTCAGGAAATCTTTGCCCAGTCCAATGTCCTGGAGAGTTTCCCCAATGTTTTCTTTTAGTAGCTTCATAGTTTGAGGTCTTGGATTTAAATCCTTATTTCATTTTGATTTGATTTTGTGTATGGTGAGAGATAGGGGTCTAGTTTCATTCTTTTGCATATGGCTATCCAGTTTTCTCAACACTATCAATTAAACTGACTGTTCTTTTCACAATGTATTTTCATGGCAACATTGTCAAAAATGTGTTCACTGCCAATGTATGAATTTACTTCTACATTCTCTATTCTATTCCATTGTCTATGTGTCTGTTTTTATGATAATACCATGCTGTGTTAGTTACCATAGCTCTGTATTATTGTCCCATTGAGCTTGGAAGTATTTCTTACTGCCCTATTTTTTGACTTAGTTTGAGTAAAATTAGTATTAGTTTTTTTTTGTTTTGTTTTGTTTTTTTAATGTTTGGTAGAATTCAGCAGTGAAGCCATTGAGTCCCTGGCTTTTATTTCCTCCCCCCCCCCCCCCCCCGGAGACTTTTTATTAGGACTTCAGTCTTATTACTCTTTATTGGTCTGTTCAGGTTTTGGACTTACTCATGATTCAATCTGGATAGGTTGTATGTGTCTGGGAATTTATACATTTCTTCTAGATTTTCTAATTTATTGGCATATACTTGCTCATAGTAGCCACTAATCATTCTTTGAAGTAACAGTTGTAATGTCTCCTTTTTCATCTCTAATTTGGTTTATTTGATCTTTTTCTATTTTTCTTAGTCTAGCTAAAGTTCTGTCAATTTTTAATTTTTTCAAAAAATCAACTTTTTAATCCATTGATTTTTGTATAGTTTTTAAATTTCAATTTTTATTTATTCTGGTCTGATCTTTATTATTTCTTTTCTCCTACTAATTTTTGGTATGGTTTGTTCTTACTGTTTTACTTTTCAAAGATGCATCATTATGTTGTTTATTTGAATTTGTTGTTGTTGTTGTTTTTATGTAGGAACATATAGCTATAAACTTGCCTCTTAGGAATGCTTTTTCTGCGTCACATAGATTTGGGTATGCTGTGTTTCTATTATATATTTCACAAAATTTTTCAATTTCCTTCTTAATTTTCTCATTGACTCACTGGTCATTCAGGAGCACCTTGTTTAATTTCCTTGTGTTCATACAATTTCCAAAATTTCTCTCATATTTGATTTCTAGTTTTATTCCACTGTGGCCAGAGAAGATGCTTGATGTTATTTAAATTTTTTAAATGTTTTAAGACTTAAATGTTTTGTGACCTAACTTGTGTTTTAAATGTTTTGTGACCTCACCTATGATCTATGCTTGAGAATGATACATGTACTGAGGAAAAGAATGTGTACTTTGCAGTCTTTAGATAAAATGTTCTGTAAATATCTATTAGGTCCATTTGTTCTATAGTGCAGACTGAATCATTGTTGACTTTCTGTCTGGAAGATGTGCTCAATGCTGAAAGTGGAGTGTTGAAATCTCCAACTGTTATTGTGTTAAGATCTGGCTCTCTCTTTAGATCTAATAATATTTGCTTTATATAACTATGTGCTCCAGCGTTGGGTGCATATATATTTTAAATAGTTATATATTTTAAATAGATCTCTTTATTATTATATAGTAACCTTATTTTTATCTTCTTATAGTTTTGTCTTGAAATCTATTTTTTTCTGATATAAGTATAGCTACTCCTGCTTTTTTTGTTTGTTTGTTTTCATTGGCATGGAGTATCTTTTTCCATCCCTTTATATTTAGTTTATGTGTCTATTTACAGATGAAGTGCATATTTTATGAGCAACAAATCATTAAGTCTTATTTTTTTAATTATTCAGCCACTCTATGTCTTTTGGTTGAAAATTTTATTCTAATTACATTCAAAGTTTTTATTGATAAGTAAGGACTTACTCCTGCCATTTTGTTATCTTTTTTCTTGTTGTTTTGTGGTTTCTCTTTATTCTTTCCTTCCTTCCTATCTTCCTTTTAGTGATGGTAATTTACTCTGGTGGTGTAATTTAATTTCTTACTTTTAGTTTTTGTTTATCTGTTGTATGCTTTTGATTTGAGATTATCATGAGACTCAGAGATACTATCTTATAATCTTTTAAAAAATTTTTATAATCTATTATTTTAAGCTGATATCAACTTAACACTTTTTGCAAAAGCAACAAAATAAACCAGCAAAAAGAAAACTAATAAAAACTCTACATCTTTAACAACATTTCCCTGATGTAAACCTTTCTGTTGCTTTTATTTACATCTCATTGTACTATCTCTTCAAAAGTTGTTGTAGTTATTATTTTTGTTCGATTCGTCTTCTAGTGTTTCTACTAAAGAGTAGTTTACACACCACAGATACAGTATTATAGCAAATTGTTTTTTTCTGTATACTTACTATTATCAGTGAGTTTTGTACCTTCAAATTATTTCTTATTGCTCACTAATGTGCGTTTCTTTCTGATTGAAGTACTCTCTTTAGCATTTTTTAAGGACAGGCCTTGTATTGATGAAATTCCTCAACTTTTGTTTGTCTGGGAAAGTTTTATTTCTCGTTCATGTTTAAAGGGTATTCTTTTGTAAGATATACTATTATAGAGTAAAAGTTTTGTTTGTTTGTGTGTTTTGAAGAAAGGCCTCACTCCAATTTCCCAGGCTGGAGTGCAATGGTACAATCATGGCTCACTACAGCCTCAAACTCCCAGGCTCAGGTGATTCTCCATCTCAGCTACCTGAGTAGGTGAAACTACAAGCACTTGCCACCACCCCTGGCTACTTTTTAATATTTTCTGTAGGGATGGGGTTTAGCCATCTTGCTTAGGGTGGTCTTGAACTCCTGAAATCAAGCAATCTGCCCACTTCAGCCTCCCAAATGTTGGGATTACAGACATTAGCCACCACACCTGGCAGGGTAAAAATTGTTTTGTTTTCTTTTGTTTTGTTTTTTTCCTTCAGCACATTAAATATGTCATGCCACTCTCTCCATGCCTATGAGATTTCCAGTGAAAACTTTGCTGCCAGATGTATTAGAGATCCATTTTATGTTATTTATTTCTTTTTTTTTTTTTTCTATTTTTGGTATTATTTCTTTATCCTTGACCTTTGGGAGTGTGACTATTAAAGTCTTTGAGATAGACTTCTTTGGGTTAAATCTGCTTGAGATTCTATGATCTTCTTGTACTTAGATATTGATAGGTTTCTCTATGTTTAGGAGAAGTTCTCTGATGTTATTCCTTTTGAATAAACTTTTTCAAACCTATCTCTTTTTCTACCTCCTCTTCAAGGTCAATATCTCTTAGATTTGTCCTTTTGGGAATATTTTCTAGATTTTGTAGGTGTGCTTCATGGTTTTATATTCTTTTTTTGTCTTATCTGATAGTGTATTTTCAAATCACCCTTATTCAAGGTCAATTCTTTTTTCTGCTTGATCAGTTCTGCTATTGAGAGACTCTGACACATTCTTCAGGATGTCAATCATATTTTTCAACTCTAGAATTTATTTTTGATTCTGTTTATTTCAATACCTTTGTTAAATTTATCTGATAGAATTCTGAATTTGTTTTCTGTGTTATTTTAAATTTCTTTGAGTTCCCTTAAAACAGCTATTTTGAATTATCTGTCTGAAAAATCACATATATCTATTCCTCCACGATTAGTTTCTGTTGCCTTATTTAGTTCATTTGAGAAATCGTATTTTCCTGGATGGTTTTAATGTTTGTGGATGTTTGTCTTTGTCTGGACATTGAAGAGTTAGGTGTTCATCATAGTCTTTGCAGTCTGAGCTTGTTTGTACATGTCCTTATTGCAAAGAGTTTCCAGGTATTCAAAGAGACCTGGATTTTTTTTTTTTTTAATCTAGGTTGTATCTTCATTAAGGAGCACCTGAAGCCCAGTATTGATCTGGTTTTTGCATACTCATACAGGTAATGTTCTGATGGTCTTGAATGATATCTGGAAGAATTCTCTGGGTTTCCAGGGATAGACTCTGTATTAGTCCATTTTCACACTCCTGATAAAGACATATCTGAGACTGGGCAACTTAAAAGAGAAAGAGGTTTAATTTGACTTATAGTTCCACGTGGCTGGGTAAGCCTCACAATCATGGCAGAAGGCAAGGAGGAGCAAGTCCCATCTTACACGGATGGCAGCAGGCAAAGGGAAAATGAGGAAGATGCAAAAGCAGAAACCCCTGATAAAACCATGAGCTCTCATGAGACTTATCCACCACCACAAGAACAGTATGGGGGAGACTGCCCCATGATTCAATTACCTCCCATGGGGTCCTGCCCACAACATGTGGTAATTATGGGAGTACAATTCAAAATGAGATTGAGGTGGAGACACAGAGCCAAACCATATCATTCCACCCCCGGCCCCTGCCAAATCTCATGTCCTCACATTTCAAAACAAATCGTACCTTCCCAACAGTCCCGGAAAGTCGTAACTCATTTCAGCATTAGCTCAAAAGTCCACAGTCCAAAGTCTCATCTGAGACAAGGCAAGTACCTTCCACCTATGAGTCTGTAAAATCAAAAGCAAACAAGTTATTTCATAGATACAACAGGGGTAATGACATTAAGTAAATAAAACCATTCCAAATGGGAGAAATAGGCCAAAACAAAGGGGCTACAGGGCCCATGCAAGTTTGAAGTCTAGCGGGGCAGTCAAATCTTAAAGCTCCAAAATGATCTCCTTTGACTCCAGTCTCACATCCAGGTCACAGAGATGGGTTCCCATGGTCTTGGGCAGCTCCATCTCTGTGGCTTTG
The DNA here is from genome assembly GCF_000001405.40 of Homo sapiens. Lineage (NCBI taxonomy): Eukaryota > Metazoa > Chordata > Mammalia > Primates > Hominidae > Homo > Homo sapiens. The sequence continues at coordinate 57,640,542 of NC_000023.11, read as the reverse complement.
CAGGGTATAGCCTCCCTTCTGGCTGCTTTCATGGGCTGGTGTGGAGTGTCTGTGGCTTTTCCAGGCACACAGTGCAAACTGTTGGTGGATCTACCATCCTGGGGTCTGGAGGATGGTGGCCTCTTCTGACAGATCCACTAGGTGGTGCCCCAGTAAGAGCTCTGTGTGGGGGCTCTGACCCCACATTTCCCTTCTGTACTGCCCTAGCAGAGATTCACCATGAGAGCCCTGCCCCTGCTGCAAACTTCTGCCTGGGCGTTTCCATACATCTTCTGAAATCTAGGCAGAGGTTACCAAAGTTCAATTCTTGATTTCTGTGGACACACAGACTAAACACCACTTGGAAGTTGTCAAGGCTTGGGGCTTGCATCATCTGAAGCCATGGCCCAAGCTCCACATTGCCCCTTTCAGCCACAGCTGGAGCAGCTGGGAGGAAGGGCAACAAGTCCCTAGGCTGTGCACAGCTCAGGGACCGTGGGCTTAGCCCATAAAATTATTTTTTCCTCCTAGGCATTTTGGCCTATGATGGGAGAGGCTGCTGTGAAGACCTCTGACATGCTCTGGAGACATTTTACCTATTGTCTTGGGGATTAACATTTGGCTCTTCGTTACTTATGCAAATTTCTATAGTTGGCTTGAATTTCTCTGCAAAAATGGGATTTTCTTTTCTATTGCATTGTCAGCCTGCAGATTTTTCAAACTTTTATGCTGTTTTCTTTTTAAAACTGAATGCTTTTAACAGCACCCAAGTCAACTCTTGAATGCTTTGCTGCTTAGAAATTTCTTCTGCCAGATACCCTAAATCATCTCTCTCAAGTTCAAAGTTCCACAAATCTTTAGTGCAGGGGCAAAATCCCACCAGTCTCTTTGCTAAAACATAAAAAGCGTTACCTTTGCCTCAGTTCCCAACAAGTTCCTCATCTCTATCTGAGACTACCTCATTATGGACCTTATTGTCCATATCGCAATCAGCATTTTCGGCAAAGCCATTCAAAAACTCTCTAGGAAGTTCCAAACTTTCCCAAATCTTTCAGTCTTCTGAGCCCTCCAAACTGTTCCAATCTCTGCCTGTTTCCCAATTCTAAAGTTGCTTCCACGTTTTTGGGTATCTTTTCAGCAACACCTCATTCTACTGGTATTAATTTAGTGTATTAGTCCATTTTCACACTGCTGATAAAGACATACCAAGACTGTGCAATTAACAAAATAAAGAGGCTTAATTTGACTTCCAGTTCTACATGTCTGGGGAAGCCTCACAATCATGGCAGAATGCAAAGAGGAGCAAGTCCTGTCTTACATGGATGGCAGCAAGCAAAGAGAGAATCAGGAAGATGCAAAAGCAGAAACCCCTGATAAAACCATGAGATGTCATGAGTCTTATTCACTATCATGAGAAGAGTATGGGGAAACCACCCCCATGATTCAATTATCTCCCACTGGGTCCCTCCCACAACACGTGGGAATTATAGGAGTAAGAGTCAAAATGAGATTTGGATGGGGACACAGAGCCAAACCTTATCAGACTCTTTTTTTCTTTTCTACTTTATTTCAGGCAGAGTCTCTGTCTCTATTCTGAGCTGTCTGGAGCTGAGCATGAGGTGACACAAGCAGTTTTGTGGTACTGTGCTTAGTCAGTCCTAAAGCCAGCAAGGCACTGGCTCTCATTCAAGGCCCACTGTGACCACTACCTGGTTATCACTGTTGTTTGTTTAAGGCTTTAGGCCTCTACAATGAGCAAGTGGTAAAATAAACCAGGCTTGTGTCTTGATTGGTTGGGAAAAAGTGTCTTCTCTATCAAGGAGCAAAGGCATATGGTTTTTGAAAGATCTGAATTATCACTGTGGCTATATGCAAAATTATCATATTACCATGACCTGTGATCCTACTTTAATAAAGTGTTTTACACCTTTCATATTTGACATGCTTCTCAAAATTAAATTTCAAACCCTAAAATTCAGGCTTTTGAATCATGGAAGTTCAAGAGAGGCATATTAGGCTTATTTGTTATGTGAAAATTATGTAGGCAGCATTGTCAAATAAGGAAAAGTGTTTAACTCTCTGAGTTGTATCTGTATAAATGTGTTATCAACATGTATTCCAAAAGTTTGCAAGATTTCTAAAATTCTGATAGCTTAGTATATGTTATCACCAATCATTATGAGTTTTATGTTTTTTTTTTTTAACTTTAAGTTCTGAGATATATGTGCAGAACATGCAGGTTTGTTACACAGGTATACATGTGCCATGGTGGTTTGCTGCACCAGTCAACTCATCATCTAGGTTATAAGCCTTGCATGCATTAGGTATTTGTCTGAATGCTCTTGCTCCCATTGCCCCCAACCCCAAAACAGCCCCAGTGTGTGATGATCCCCTCCCTGTGTCCGTGTGTTCTCATTGTTCAACTTCCACTTATGAGTGAGAACATGCTGCGTTTGGTTTTCTGTTCCTGTGTTAGTTTGCTGAGAATTATGGTTTCCAGCTTCATCCATGCCCCTGCAAAGGACATGAACTCATTAATTTTTGTGACTGCATAGTATTCCAAAGTGTATATGTGTTACACTTTCTTTATCCAGTCTAACATTGATGGACATTTGGGTTGGTTCCAAGTCTTTGCTATTTTAAATAGTGCTGCAAGAAACATATGTGAGCATGTGTCTTTTTAGTTGAATGATTTATAATTCTTTGGGTATATACCCAGTAATTGGATTGCTGGGTCAAATGGTATTTCTTGTTCTAGATCTTTGAGAAATTTCCACACTGTCTTACACAATGTCTGAACTAATTGACACTCCCACTGAATGGTATTGCCTAGGTTTTCTTCTAGAGTTTTTAGGATTTTAGGTTTTATATTTAAGTCTTTAATCCATCTTGAGCTAATTTTTGTATAAGGTGTAAGAAAAGGGTCCAGTTTCTGTTTTCTGCATATGCCTAGCCAATTTCCCCAGCACCATTTTTTAAATAGGGAATTCTTTACCCATTGCTTGTTTTTGTCAGGTTGGTCGAAGATCAGATGATTGTAGATGTGTGGTGTTATTTCTGAGGCCTCTGTTCTGTTCCCTTGGTCTATATATCTGTTTTGGTATCAGTACCATGCTGCCTTGGTTACTGTAACCTTATAGTATAGTTTGAAGTCAGGTAAAGTGATGTCTCCAGCTTTGTTTTATTGCTTAGGATTGTCTTGGCTATATGGGCTCTTTTTTGGTTCCATATAAAATTTAAAGTACTTTTTTCTAATTCTGTGAAGAAAGTCAATGGTAGCCTGATGGGAATAGCATTGAATCTGTAGATTACTTTGGGCAGTATAACCATTTTCATGATATTGATTCTTCCTATCCATGAGCATGAAATGTATTCCCATTTGTTTGGGTCTTCTCTTATTTGCTTGAAAAGTGATTTGTAGTTCTCCTTGAAGAGGCCCTTCATGTCCTTTGTAAGTTGTATTCCTAGATATTTTATTCTCTTTGTAGCAATTGTGAATGGGTATTCACTCATGATTTCGCTCTCTGCTTGTCGGTTATTGGCATATAGGAATGCTTGTGATTTTTGCACATTGATTTTGTATCCTGAGACTTCGCTGAAGTTGCTTATCAGTTTAACGGGTTTTGGGGAAGAGAAAATGGGGTTTTCTAAATACAAAATTACATCATCTGCAAACAGAGACAATTTGACTTCCTCTCTTCCTATTTGAATACCTTTTATTTCTTACTCTTGCCTCATTGCCCTGGCCAGAACTACCAATACTATGTTGAATAGCAGTGGTGAGTGAGGGCATCCCTGTCTTGTGCCAGTTTTCCGAGGGAATGTTTCCAGCTTTTACCCATTCAATATGATATTGACTATGGGATTGTCATAAATACCTCTTATTTTTTTGAGTTGTGTTCCATCAACACCTAGTTTATTGAGAGTTTTTCGCATGAAGGGGAGTTGAATTTTATCAAAGGCCTTTTCTGCATCTGTTGAGATAATTATGTGGTTTTTGTCTTTGGTTCTGTTTATGTGGTGGATTATGTTTATTGATTAGTGTATGTTGAACCAGCATTGCATCCCAGTGATGAAGCTGACTTGATCATAGTGGATAAGCTTTGTGATGTGCTGCTGGATTTGGTCTGCCAGTGTTTTATTGAGGATTTTTGCATTGATGTTCAACAGAGTTATTGGCCTGAAATTTTCTTGTTTTGTTGTGTCTCTGATACGTTTTTGTATCAGGTCAATGATGGCCTCATAAAACGAGTTAGAGAAGAGTTCCTCCTTTTTGATTTTTTGGAAAAGTTTCAGAAGAAATGGTACCAGCTCCTGTTGGTACCTCTGGTCAAATACAGCTGTGAATCCATCTGGTCGTGTCCTTTTTTTTTTGGTTGGTAGGCTACTAATTACTGCCTCAATTTCTGAACTTGTTATTGTAATTTCAGAACTTGTTATTCTGGGATTGAACTTCTTCCTGCTTTAGTCTTGGAATGGTCTATGTGTCCAGGAATGTACTCCTTTCTTCTAGATTTTCTAGTTTATTGTGCAGAGGTGTTTAAAATATTCTCTAGTTTGTATTTTTGGGGGATCAGTGCTGATATCTCCTTTATCATTTTTTATGCTATTTAATTCTTCTCTCTTTTTTTCTTTATTAATATGCCTAGTGGTCTGTCTATTCTGTTAAACTTTTCAAAAAACAAGCTCCTCATTCATTGATTTCTTTGAAGGTTTTCTGTGTCTCTACCTCCTTCAGTTATGCTCTGATCTTAGTTATTTCTTGTCTTCTGCGAGCTATTGAATTTGGTTGCTCTTGCTTCTCTATTTTTTTTAAATTTTATTATTATTATACTTTAAGTTTTAGGGTACATGTGCACAAGGTGCAGGTTTGTTACATATGTATACATGTGCAATGCTGGTTTGCTGCACCCATTAACTCGTCATTTAGCATTAGGTATATCTCCTAATGCTATCCCTCCCCCTCCCCCACCCCAAAACAATCCCCAGTGTGTGATGTTCCCCTTCCTGTGTCCATGTGCTCTCATCGTTCAATTCCCACCTATGAGTGAGAACATGTGGCGTTTGGTTTCTTGTCCTTGCGATAGTTTGCTGAGAATGATGGTTTCCAGTTTCATCCATGTCCCTAAAAAGGACATGAACTTATCATTTTTTTTTTATTATACTTTAAGTTTTAGGGTACATTTGCACATTGTGCAGGTTAGTTACATATGTATACATGTGCCATGCTGGTGCGCTGCACCCACTAACTCATCATCTAGCATTAGGTATATCTCCCGATGCTATCCCTCCCCCTTCCCACCACCCCATAACAGTCCCCAGAGTGTGATATTCCCCTTCCTGTGTCCATGTGATCTCATTGTTCAGTTCCCACCTATGAGTGAGAATATGTGGTGTTTGGTTTTTTGTTCTTGTGATAGTTTACTGAGAATGATGATTTACAATTTCATCCATGTCCCTACAAAGGACATGAACTCATCATTTTTTATGGCTGCATAGTATTCCATGGTGTATATGTGCCACATTTTCTTGATCCAGTCTATCATTGTTGGACATTTGGGTTGGTTCCAAGTCTTTGCTATTGTGAATAATGCCGCAATAAACATACGTGTGCATGTGTCTTTATAGCAGCTTGATTTATAGTCCTTTGGGTATATACCCAGTAATGGGATGGCTGGGTCAAATGGTGTTTCCAGTTCTAGATCCCTGAGGAGTCGCCACACTGACTTCCACAAGGGTTGAACTAGTTTACAGTCCCACCAACAGTGTAAAAGTGTTCCTATTTCTCCACATCCTCTCCAGCACCTGTTGTTTCCTGACTTTTTAATGATTGCCGTTCTAACTGGTGTGAGATGGTATCTCATTGTGGTTTTGATTTGCATTTCTCTGATGAACAGTGATGATGAGCATTTTTTCATGTGTTTTTTGGCTGCATAAATGTCTTCTTTTGAGAAGTGTCTGTTCATGTCCTTCACCCACTTTTTGATGAGTTTTTTTTTTTTTCTTGTAAATTAGTTTGAGTTCATTGTAGATTCTAGATATTAGCCCTTTGTCAGATGAGTAGGTTGCAAAAATTTTCTCCCATTTTTTAGGTTGCCTGTTCACTCTGATGGTAGTTTCTTTTACTATGCAGAAGCTCTTTAGTTTAATTAGATCCCATTTGTTAATTTTGGCTTTTGTTGCCATTGCTTTTGGTGTTTTAGACATGAAGTCCTTGCCCATGCCTATGTCCTGAATGGTAATGCCTAGGGTTTCTTCTAGGGTTTTTATGGTTTTAGGTCTAACGTTTAAGTCTTTAATCAATCTTGAATTGATTTTTGTATAAGGTGTAAGGAAGGGATCCAGTTTCAGCTTTCTACATATGGCTAGCCACTTTTCCCAGCACCATTTATTAAATAGGGAATCCTTTCCCCATTGCTTGTTTTTCTCAGGTTTGCCAAAGATCAGATAGTTGTAGATATGCGGCATTATTTCTGAGGGCTCTGTTCTGTTCCATTGATCTATATCTCTGTTTTGGTACCAGTACCATGCTGTTTTGGTTACTGTAGCCTTGTAGTATAGTTTGAAGTCAGGTAGTGTGATGCCTCCAGCTTTGCTCTTTTCGTTTAGGATTGACTTGGCGATGCGGGCTCTTTTGTGGTTCCATATGAACTTGAAAGTAGTTTTTTCCAATTCTGTGAAGAAAGTCATTGGTAGCTTGATGGGGATGGCATTGAATCTGTAAATTACCTTGGGCAGTATGGCCATTTTCACGATATTGATTCTTCTTACCCATGAGCATGGAATATTCTTCCATTTGTTTGTATCCTCTTTTATTTCATTGAGCAGTGGTTTGTAGTTCTCCTTGAAGAGGTCCTTCACATCCCTTGTAAGTTGGATTCCTAGGTATTTTATTCTCTTTGAAGCAATTGTGAATGGGAGTTCACTCATGATTTGGCTCTCTGTTTGTCTGTTGTCTGTGTATAAGAATGCTTGTGATTTTTGTACATTGATTTTGTATCCTGAGTCTTTGCTGAAGTTGCTTATCAGCTTAAGGAGATTTTGGGATGAGACAATGGGGTTTTCTAGATATACAATCATGTTGTCTGCAAACAGGGACAATTTGACTTCCTCTTTTCCTAATTGAATACCCTTTATTTCCTTCTCCAGCCTGATTGCCCTGGCCAGAACTTCCAACACTATGTTGAATAGGAGTGGTGAGAGAGGGCATCCCTGTCTTGTGCCAGTTTTCAAAGGGAATGCTTCCAGTTTTTGCCCATTCAGTATGATATTGGCTGTGGGTTTGTCACAGATAGCTCTTATTATTTTGAAATACGTCCCATCAATACCTAATTTATTGAGAGTTTTTATCATGAAGGGTTGTTGAATTTTGTCAAAGGCTTTTTCTGCATCTATTGAGATATTCATGTGGTTTTTGTCTTTGGCTCTGTTTATATGCTGGATTACGTTTATTGATTTGCGTATATTGAACCAGCCTTGCATCCCAGGGATGAAGCCCACTTGATCATGGTGGATAATCTTTTTGATGTGCTGCTGGATTTGTTTTGCCAGTATTTTATTGAGGATTTTTGCATCAATGTTCATCAAGGATATTCGCATAAAATTATCTTTTTTTGTTGTGTCTCTGCCTGGCTTTGGTATCAGGATGATACTGGCCTCATAAAATGAGTTAGGGAGGATTCCCTCTTTTTCTATTGATTGGAATAGTTTCAGAAGGAATGGTAGCAGCTCCTCCTTGTACCTCTGGTAGAATTCGGCTGTGAATCCATCTGGTCCTGGACTCTTTTTGATTGGTAAGCTATTGATTATTGCCACAATTTCAGATCCTGTTATTGGTCTATTCAGAGATTCAACTTCTTCCTGGTTTAGTCTTGGAAAAGTGTATGTGTCCAGGAATTTATCCATTTCTTCTAGATTTTCTAGTTTATTTGCGTAGAGGTGTTTGTAGTATTCCCTGATGGTAGTTTGTATTTCTGTGGGATCGGTGGTGATATCCCCTTTATCATTTTTTATTGCGTCTATTTGATTCTTCTCTCTTTTTTTCTTTATTAGTCTTGCTAGCAGTCTATCAATTTTGTTGACCCTTTCAAAAAACCAGCTCCTGGATTCATTGATTTTTTGAAGGGTTTTTGTGTCTCTATTTCCTTCAGTTCTGCTCTGATCTTAGTTATTTCTTGCCTTCTGCTAGCTTTTGAATGTGTTTGCTCTTGCTTTTCTAGTTCTTTTAATTGTGATGTTAGGGTGTCAATTTTGGATCTTTCCTGCTTTCTCTTGTGGGCATTTAGTGCTATAAATTTCCCTCTACACACTGCTTTGAATGTGTCCCAGAGATTCTGGTATGTTGTGTCATTGTTCTCCTTGGTTTCAAAGAACATCTTTATTTCTGCCTTCCTTTCGTTATGTACCCAGTAGTCACTCAGGAGCAGGTTGTTCAGTTTCCATGTAGTTGAGCGGTTTTGAGTGAGTTTCTTAATCCTGAGTTCTAGTTTGATTGCACTGTGGTCTGAGAGATAGTTTATTATAATTTCTGTTCTTTTACATTTGCTGAGGAGAGCTTTACTTCCCAGTATGTGGTCAATTTTGGAATAGGTGTGGTGTGGTGCTGAAAAAAATGTATATTCTGTTGATTTGGGGTGGAGAGTTCTGTAGATGTCTATTAGGTCTGCTTGGTGCAGAGCTGAGTTCAATTCCTGGGTATCCTTGTTGAATTTCTGTCTCGTTGATCTGTCTAATGTTGACAATGGGGTGTTAAAGTCTCCCATTATTAATGTGTGGGAGTCTAAGTCTCTTTATAGTTCACTCAGGACTTGTTTTATGAATCTTGGTGCTCCTGTATTGGGTGCATATATATTTAGGACAGTTAGCTCTTCTTGTTGAATTGATCCCTTTACCATTATGTAATGGCCTTCTTTGTCTCTTTTGATCTTTGTTGGTTTAAAGTCTGTTTTATCAGAGACTAGGATTGCAACCCCTGCCTTTTTTTGTTTTTCATTTGCTTGGTAGATCTTCCTCCATCCTTTTATTTTGAGCTTATGTGTGTCTCTGCCCGTGAGATGGGTTTCCTGAATAGAGCACACTGACGGGTCTTGACTCTTTATCCAATTTGCCAGTCTGTGTCTTTTAATTGGAGCATTTAGTCCATTGACATTTAAAGTTAATATTGTTATGTGTGAATTTGATCCTCTCATTATGATGTTAGCTGGTTATTTTGCTAGTTAGTTGATGCAGTTTCTTCCTAGTCTCGATGGTCTTTACATTTTGGCATGATTTTGCAGCGGCTGGTACCGGTTGTTCCTTTCCATGTTTAATGCTTCCTTCAGGAGCTCTTGTAAGGCAGGCCTGGTGGTGAGAAAATCTCTCAGCATTTGCTTGTCTGTAAAGTATTTTATTTCTCCTTCACTTATGAAGCTTAGTTTGGCTGTATACGAAATTCTGGTTTGAAAATTCTTATCTTTAAGAATGTTGAATATTGGCCCCCACTCTCTTCTGGCTTGTAGGGTTTCTGCTGAGAGATCCACTGTTAGTCTGATGGGCTTCCCTTTGAGGGTAACCCGACCTTTCTCTCTGACTGCCCTTAACATTTTTTCCTTCATTTCAACTTTGGTGAATCTGACAATTATGTGTCTTGGAGTTGCTCTTCTCGAGGAGTATCTTTGTGGCGTTCTCTGTATTTCCTGAATCTGAACGTTGGCCTGCCTTGCTAGATTGGGGAAGTTCTCCTGAATAATATCCTGCAGAGTGTTTTCCAACTTGGTTACATCCTCCCCATCACTTTCAGGCACACCAATGAGACGTAGATTTGGTCTTTTCACATAGTCCCATATTTCTTGGAGGCTTTGCTGATTTCTTTTTATTCTTTTTTCTCTAAACTTCCCTTCTCGCTTCATTTCATTCATTTCATCTTCCATCACTGATGCCCTTTCTTCCAGTTGATCGCATTGGCTCCTGAGGCTTCTGCATTCTTCACGTAGTTCTCGAGCCTTGGTTTTCAGCTCCATCAGCTCCTTTCAGCACTTCTCTGTATTGGTTATTCTAGTTATACATTCTTCTAAATTTTTTTTCAAAGTTTTCAACTTCTTTGCCTTTGGTTTGAATGTCCTCCCGTAGCTCAGAGTAATTTGATCGTCTGAAGGCTTCTTCTCTCAGCTCGTCAAAGTCATTGTCCGTCCAGCTTTGTTCCGTTGCTTGTGAGGAACTGCGTTCCTTTGGAGGAGGAGAGGTGCTCTGCTTTTTAGAGTTTCCGGTTTTTCTGTTCTGTTTTTTCCCCATCTTTGTGGTTTTATCTATTTTTGTTCTTTGATGATGGTGATGTACAGATGGGTTTTTGGTGTGGATGTCCTTTCTGTTTGTTAGTTTTCCTTCTAACAGAGAGGACCCTCAGTTGCAGGTCTGTTGGAGTACCCTCCGTGTGTGGTGTCAGTGTGCCCCTGCTGGGGGGTGACTCCCAGTTAGGCTGCTCAGGGGTCAGGGGTCAGGGACCCACTTGAGGAGGCAGTCTGCCCATTCTCAGATCTCCAGCTGCGTGCTGGGAGAACCACTGCTCTCTTCAAAGCTGTCAGACAGGGACATTTAAGTCTGCAGAGGTTACTGCTGTCTTTTTGTTTGTCTGTGCCCTGCCCCCAGAGGTGGAGCCTACAGAGGCAGACAGGCCTCCTTGAGCTGTGTTGGGCTCCACCCAGTTCGAGGTTCCAGGCTGCCTTGTTTACCTAATCAAGCCTGGGCAATGGTGGGCGCCCCTCCCCCAGCCTCGCTGCCACCTTGTAGTTTGATCTCAGACTGCTGTGCTAGCAATCAGCAAGACTCCTTGGGCGTAGGAACCTCCGAGCCAGGTGCGGGATATAATCTCGTGGTGCGCCGTTTTTTAAGCCTATCAGAAAAGCACAGTATTCGGGTGGGAGTGACCCGATTTTCCAGGTGCCGTCCATCACCAATTTCTTTGACTCAGAAAGGGAACTCCCTGACCCCTTGCGCTTCCCTGGTGAGACAATGCCTTGCCCTGCTTCGTCTCACGCATGGTGCGCACACCCACTGACCTGCGTCCACTGTCTGGCACTCCCTAGTGAGATGAACCCGGTACCTCAGATGGAAATGCAGAAATCACCCGTCTTCTTCGTCGCTCATGCTGGGAGCTGTAGACTGGAGCTGTTCCTATTCGGCCATCTTGGCTCCTCCCCCCGAAATCCGAACTCATCATTTTTTATGGCTGCATAGTATTCCATGGTGTATATGTGCCACATTTTCTTAATCCAGTTTTTCGTTGTTGGACATTTAGGTTGGTTCCAAGTCTTTGCTATTGTGAATAGTGCCGCAATAAACATACGTTTGCACGTGTCTTTATACCAGCATGATTTAAAATCCTTTGGGTATATACCCAGTAATGGGATGGCTGGGTCAAATGGTATTTCTAATTCTAGATCCCTGAGGAATCGCCACACTGACTTCCACAATGGTTGAACTAGTTTACAGTCCCACCAACAGTGTAAAAGTCTTCCTATTTCTCCACATCCTCTCTAGCACCTGTTGTTTCCTGACTTTTTAATGATCACCATTCGAACTGGTGTGAGATTATATCTCATTGTGGTTTTGATTTGCATTTCTCTGATGGCCAGTGATGATGAGCATTTCTTCATGTCTTTTTCGGCTGCATAAATGTCTTCTTTTCAGAAGTGCCTGTTCATATACTTTGTCCACTTTTTGATGGGGTTGTTTGTTTTTTTCTTATAAATTTGTTTGAGTTCATTGTAGATTCTGGATATTAGCCCTTTGTCAGATGAGTAGGTTGCAAAAATTTTCTCCCATTTTGTAGGTTGCCTGTTCACTCTGATGGTAGTTTCTTTTGTTGTGCAGAAGCTCTTGAGTTTAATTAGATCCCATTTGTCAATTTTGGCTTTTGTTGCCATTGCTTTTGGTGTTTCAGACATGAAGCACTTGCACATGCTTATGTCCTGAATGGTATTGCCTAGGTTTGTTCTAGGGTTTTCATGGTTTTAGGTCTAACATTTAAGTCTTTAACTCATCGTGCCTTAATTTTTGTATAAGGTATAAGGAAGTGATCCAGTTTCAGCTTTCTACATATGTCTAGCCAGTTTTCCCAGCACCATTTATTAAATAGGGAATCCTTTCCCCATTGCTTGTTTTTCTCAGGTTTGTCAAAGATCAGATAGTTGTAGATATGCAGCATTATTTCTGAGGGCTCCGTTCTGTTCCATTGGTCTATATCTCTGTTTTGGTACCAGTACCATGCTGTTTTGGTTACTATAGCCTTGTAGTATAGTTTGAAGTCAGGTAGCGTGATGTCTCCAGCTTTGTTCTTTTGGCTTAGGATTGACTTGGTGATGCGGGCTTTTTTTGGTGCCATATGAACTTGAAAGTAGTTTTTTGCAATTCTGTGAAGAAAGTCATTGGTAGCTAGATGGGGATAGTATTAAATCTATAAATTACCTTGGGCAGTATGGCCTTTTTCACGATATTGATTCTTCCTACCCATGAACATGGAATGTCCTTCCATTTGTTTGTATCCTCTTTTATTTCATTGTGCAGTGGTTTGTAGTTCTCCTTGAAGAGGTCCTTCACATCCCTTGTAAGTTGGATTCCTAGGTATTTTATTTTTTTGAAGCAATTGTGAATGGGTGTTCACTCATGATTTGGCTCTCTGTTTGTCTGTTATTGGTGTATAAGAATGCTTGTGATTTTTGTACATTGATTTTGTATGCTGAGACTTTGCTGAAGTTGGTTACCAGCTTGAGAAGATTTTGGGCTGAGATGATGGGGTTTTCTAGATATACAATCATGTCACCTGCAAACAGGGACAATTTGACTTCCTCTTTTCCTAATTGAATACCTTTTATTTCCTTCTCCTGCCTGATTGCCCTGGCCAGAACTTCCAACACTATGTTGAATAGGAGTCGTGAGAGAGGGCATCCCTGTCTTGTGCCCGTTTTCAAAGGGAATGCTTCCAGTTTTTGTCCATTCAGTATGATATTGGTTTTGGGTTTTTCATAGATAGCTCTTATTATTTTGAGATACGTCCCATTGATACTTAATTTATTGAGAGATTTTATCATGAGGGGTTGTTGAATTTTGTCAAAGGCCTTTTCTGCATCTATTGAGACAATCATGTGGTTTTTGTCTTTGGTTCTCTTTATAGGCTGGATTACATTTATTGATTTACATATGTTGAATCAGCCTTGCATCCCAGGGATGAAGCCCACTTGATTATGGTGGATAAGCATTTTGAAGTGCTGCTGGATTTGGTTTGCCTTTATTTTATTGAGGATTTTTGCATTGATGTTCATCAAGGATATTGGTCTAAAATTCTCTTTTTTGGTTGTGTCTCTGCCAGGCTTTGGTATCAGGATGATGCTGTCCTCAGAAAATGAGTTAAGGAGGATTCCCTCTGTTTCTATCAATCAGAATAGTCTCAGAAGGAATGGTACCAGCTCCTCTTTGTACCTCTGGTAGAATTCGGCTGTGAATCCATCTGGTCCTGGACTTTTTTTGGTTGGTAAGCTGTTGATTATTGCCTCAATTTCAGAGCCTGTTATTGGTCTATTCAGAGACTCAACTTCTTCCTGGTTTAGTCTTGGGTGGATGTATGTGTCCAGGAATTTATGCATTTCTTCTAGATTTTCTAATTTATTTGCATAGAGGTGTTTATAGTATTCTCTGATGGTAGATTGTATTTCTGTGGTGATATGCCCTTTATCAATTTTTAATGCGTCTATTTGAGTCTTCTCTCTTTTCTTCTTTATTAATCTTGCTAGTGGTCTGTCAATTTTGTTGATCTTTTCAGAAAACTAGCTCCTGGATTCATTGATTTTTTGAAGGATTTTTTGTGTCTCTATTTCCTTCAGTTCTGCTCTGATCTTAGTTATTTCTTGCCTTCTGCTAGCTTTTGAATGTGTTTGCTCTTGCTTTTCTAGTTATTTTAATTGTGATGTTAGGGTGTCAATTTTAGATCTTTCCTCCTTTCTCTTGTGGGCATTTATTGCTATAAATTTCCCTCTACACACTGCTTTGAATGTGTCCCAGAGATTCTGGTATGTTGTGTCTTTGTTCTCCTTGGTTTCAAAGAACATCTTTATTTCTGCCTTCATTTCATTATGTACCTGGAAGTCATTCAGGAGCACGTTGTTCAGTTTCCATTTAGTTGAGCAGTTTTGAATGAGTTCCTTAATCCTGAGTTCTAGTTTGGTAGCAATGTGGTCTGAGAGACAGTTTGTTATAATTTCTGTTCTTTTACATTAACTGAGGAGTGCTTTACTTCCAACTATGTGTGCAATTTTGGAGTAGGTGTGGTGTGGTGATGAAAAGAATGTATATTCTGTTGATTTGGGGTGGAGAGTTCTGTAGATGTCTATTAGGTCTGCTTGGTGCAGAGCTGAGTTCAATTCCTGGGTATCCTTCTTAACTTTCTGTATCGTTGATCTGTCTAATGTTGACAATGGGGTGTTAAAGTCTCCCATTATTATTGTGTGGGAGTCTAAGTCTCTTTGTAGGTCACTCAGGACTTGCTTTATGAATCTGGGTGCTCCTGTATTGGGTGCATATATATTTAGGGTAGTTAGCTCTTCTTGTTGAATTGATCCCTTTACCATTATGTAATGGCCTTGTCTCTTTTGATCTTTGTTGGTTTAAAGTCTGTTTTATCAGAAACTAGGATTGCAACCCCTGCCTTTTTTTGTTTTCCATTTGCTTTGTAGATCTTCCTCCATCCCTTTATTTTGAGCCTATGTGTGGCTCTGCACATGAGATGGGTTTCCTGAATACAACCCACTGATGGTTCTTGACTCTATCCAACTTGCCAGTCTTTGTCTTTTAATTGGAGCATTTAGCCCATTTACATTTAAAGTTAATATTGTTATGTGTGAATCTGATCCTGTCATTATGATGTTAGCTGGTCATTTTGCTCGTTAGTTGATCGCGTTTCTTCCTAGCCTTAATGGTCTTTACAATTTGGCATGTTTTTGCAGTGGCTGGTACTGGTTGCTCCTTTCCATGTTTAGTGCTTCCTTCAGGAACTCTTTTAGGGCCAGCCTTGTGGAGATAAAATCTCTCAGCAATTGCTTGTCTGTAAAGGATTTTATTTCTCCTCCACTTATGAAGCTTAGTTTGGCTGGACATGAAATTCTGGGTTGAAATTTCTTTTCTGTAAGATTGTTGAATATTGGTCCCCACTCTCTTCTGGCTTGTAGTGTTTCTGCCAAGAGATCAGCTGTTAGTCTGATGGGCTTCCCTTTGTGTGTAACCCGACCTTTCTCTCTGGCTGCCCTTAACATTTTTTCCTTCATTTCAACTTTGGTGAATCTGACAATTATGTGTGTTGTAGGTGTTCTTCTCGAGGAGTATCTTTGTGGCGTGCGTTGTATTTCTGGAATTTGAATTTTGGCCTGCCTTTCTAGATTGGGGAAGTTCTCCTGGATAACATCCTTCAGAGTGTTTTCCAACTTGGTTCCATTCTCCCCATCACTTTCAGGTACACCAATGAGACATAAATTTGGTCTTTTTACATAGTCCCATATTTCTTGGAGGCTTTTTTCATTTCATTTTATTCTTTTTTCTCTAAACTTCTCTTCTCGCTTCATTTCATTCATTTGATCTTCAATCACTGATACCCTTTCTTCCAGTTGATCGCATCGTACACTGAGTCTTCTGCATTTGTCATGTAGTTCTCGTGCCTTGGTTTTCAGCTCCATCAGGTCCTTTAAGGACTTCTCTGCATTGGTTATTCTAGTTGTCCATTCCTCGAATTTTTTTCACATCTTTTAACTTCTTTGCTATTGGATCGAGTTTCCTCCTGTAGCTCAGAGTAGTTTGATCATCTGAAGCC
The DNA here is from genome assembly GCF_000001405.40 of Homo sapiens. NCBI lineage: Eukaryota > Metazoa > Chordata > Mammalia > Primates > Hominidae > Homo > Homo sapiens. The sequence continues at coordinate 57,624,734 of NC_000023.11, read as the reverse complement.
TTCTTCTCTCAACTCATCAAAGTCATTCTCTGTCCAGCTTTGTTCCGTTGCTGGTGAGGAGCTGCGTTCCTTGGAGGAGAGGTGCTCTGATTTTTAGAGTTTCCAGTTTTTCTGCTCTGTGTTTTCCACTTCTTTGTGGTTTTATATACCTTTGGTCTTTGATGATGGTGATGTACAGATGGGTTTTTGGTGCGAATGTCCTTTCTGTTTGTTAGTTTTCCTTCTAACAGACAGGACCCTCAGCTGCAGGTCTGTTGGAGTTTGCTAGAGGTCCACTCCAGACTCTCTTTGCCTGGGTATCAGCAGTTGTGGCTGCAGAACAGCGGATATTGGTGAACCGCAAATGCTGCTGCCTGATTGTTCCTCTGGAAGTTTTGTCTCAGAGGAGTACCTGGCCTTGTGAGGTGTCAGTCTGCCCCTGCTGGGGAGTGCCTCCCAGTTAGGCTACTGGGGGGTCAGGGACCCACTTGAGAAGGCAGTCTGCCTGTTCTCAGATCTCAAGGTGCATGCTGGGAGAACCACTACTCTCTTCAAAGCTGTCAGAGAGGGACATTTAAGTCTGCAGTGGTTACTGCTGTCTTTTTCTTTGTCTGTGCCCTGCCCCTAGAGGGGGAGCCTACAGAAGCCGGCAGGCCTCCTTGAGCTGTGATGGGCTCCACCCAGTTCGAGCTTCCAGGCAGCTTTTTTTGCCTAATCAAACAACTAACTCAGCAATGGCGGGTGCCCCTCCCCCAGCCTTGCTGCCACGTTGAAGTTTGATGTCAGACTGCTATGCTAGCAATGAGTGAGGTCTGTGGGCATAAGACCCTCCAAGCCATGTGCGGGGTATAATCTCCTGGTGTGCCATTTTTGAAGCCCATTGGAAAAGCATGTTATTAGGGTGAGAGTGACCCAATTTTCCAGGTGCTGTCTGTCACCCCTTTCTTTGACTAGGAAAGGGAATTCCCTGACCCGTTGTGCTTCCTGGGTGAGGCAATGCCTCGCTCTGCTTTGGCTTGCACACGGTGCACTGCACCCACTGTCCTGCACCTACTGTCTGGCACTCCCCAGTCAGATGAACCCGGTACCTCAGTTGGAAATGCAGAAATCACCCATCTTCTGCGTTGCTCATGCTGGGATCTGTAGACTGGAGCTGTTCCTATTTGGCCATCTTGGCTTTTCCCCCCTCTAGTTTTTTTTTAAAGTTATTATGTTAGGGTGTTGATGTTAGATGTTTCTCACTGTGTGATGTGGGTATTTAGTGCTATAAATTTCTCTCTTAACACTGCTTTGTGTCTCAGAGATTCTAATATGTTGTCTGTTTTTTGTCCTTGGTTTCCAAAATCTTCTTTATTATTGCCTTAATTTCATTATTTACCCAGTAGTCATTCAGGAGCAAGTTGTTCAATTTCCATGTTGTTGTGCAGTTTGAGTGTGTTTCTTAATTCTGAGTTCTAATTTGATTATGCTGTAGTCTGAGAGACTGTTTGTTATGCTTTCCATTCTTTTGCATTTGCTGAAGGGTGTTTTACTTCAAATTATGTGGTCAATTTTAGAATATTTTCTATGCAGTGCTGAGAAGGATGTATATTCTACTGATTTGGGGTGGAGAGTTTTGTAGACGTCTGTTAGGTTCACTTGGTCCAGATCCAAAATCAAGTACTAAATATTCTTGTTAATTTTCTGTTTCTTTGATCTGTCTAATACTGACAGTGGGGTGTTAAGTCTCCCACTATTATTGTGTGGGAGCCTACATCTCTCTGTAGGTCTCTAAGAACTTGTTTTATGAATCTGGGTGCTCCTGTATTGGATGCATATATATTTAGCATAGTTAGCTCTTCTTGCTGCATTGATTCCTTTACTATTTTGTAATGCCCTACTTTGTCTTTTTAATCTTTCTTGGTTTAAAGTCTGTTTTATCATAGACTAGTATTGCAAACCCTGCTTTTCTTTGCTTTCCATTTGTTTGGTAAATATTCCTCCCTTCCTTTACTTTGAGCCATTGTGTGTCTTTGCACGTGAGATGGGTCTCCTGAATACAGCACACCTATGGGTCTTGCCTATTTATCCAATTTCCAGTCCGTGTCTTTTAATTAGGGCATTTAGCACATTTACATTTAAAGTTAAGTTAATATTGGGCATTTAGCCCCTTTACATTTAAGGCTAATATTGTTATGTGTGAATTTGATCCTGTCATCATGATGCTAGCTGGTCATTTTTCACATTAGTTGATGCAGTTTCTATATAGTGTCATTGGTCTTTATATTTTGGTGTGTTTTTGCAGTGGCTGGTACTGCTTTTTCATTTCCATATCTAGTGCTACCTTCAGGAGCTCTTGTAAGGCAGGCCTGGTGGTGAGAATATCCCTCAGCATTTGTTTGTCTGTAAATAATTTTATTTCTCCTTTGCTTATGAAGCTTAGTTTGGCTGGATATGAAATTCTGGGTTGAAAATTCTTTTCTTTAAGAATGTTGAATATTGGCCCCCACTCTCTTCTGGCTTGTAGGGTTTCTGCAGACAGATCTGCTGTTAGTCTTGGAGAATCTGATTATTGTGTATCTTGAGGTTTCTCTTCTCAAGGAGTATCTTAGTGGTGTTCTCTGTATTTTCTGAATTTGAGTGTTGGTCTGTCTTGTTAGATTGGGAAAGCTTTCCTGGGTAATATCTTGAAGTGTGTTTTCCAACTTGGTTCCACTCTCCCCATCACTTTCAGGTACACCAATCATTCATAAGATTGGTCTTTTTAAATAGTCCCATATTTATTGGAGGCTTTGTTCATTCCTTTTCATTCTTTTTTCTCTAATCTTGTCTTCTCACCTTATTTCAGTAAGTTCTTATTCAATCTCTGATATCCTTTCTTCCCTGTGATTGATTCAGCTATTGATACATGTGTATGCTTCATGAAGTTCTCATGCTGTGTTTTTTTAGATCCATCAGCTCATTTATGTTCTTCTCTAAACTCTTTATTCTAGTTAGCAGTTCCTGTAACCTTTAATCAAGGTTCTTAGCTTCCTTGCACTGAGTTAGATCATGCTCCTTTAGCTCAGATGAGTTTGTTATTACCCATCTTCTGAAGCCTACTTCTGTCAATTTATGAAACTCATTCTCCATCCAGTTTAGTGCCCTTGGGGGAAAGGAGTTGTGATCATTTGGAGGAGGAGGCATTCCAGCTTTTCAAATGTTCAGCATTTTTGCACTGGTTTTATCTCATCTTTGTGGATTTATCTCCCTTTGATCTTTGAGGCTGATGACTTTTGGATGGGTTTTTTTGTGTGGGAATCCCTTTTGTTGAAGTTGATGTTATTGCTTTCTGTTTGTTACTTTTTCTTCTAACAGTCAGGCCCCTCTTTTGTATGACTGCTGGAGTTTGCTGGAAGTCCACTCCAGACCCTGTTTGCCTGAGTATCACCAGTGGAGGCTGCAGAACAGCAAAGATTTCTGCCTGCTCCTTCCTCTGGAAGCTTTATCCCAGAGGGGAACCCACCTGATGCCAGCCAGAGGTCTCTTGTGTGAAGTGTCTGTCAAAATCTTGCTGGGAAGTCTCTCCCAGTTAGGAGGCACAGGGGTCAGGGACCCACTTGAGGAGGCAGTCTGTCCCTTAGCAGAGCTCAAGCACTGTGCTGGAAAAAACCACCTTGTCAGAATCCACTGCTCACTTCAGAGCAAGCTGGCAGGAACGTTTAAGTCTGCTGAAGCTGTGCCCACAGCCACCCATTCCCCCAGGTGCTCTGTCCCAGGGAGATGGGAGTTTTTTTATAACCCCCTGACTGGGGCTACTGCCTTTCTTTTAGAGATGCCCTGTACAGTGAGAAGGAATCTAGAGAGGCAGTCTGGCCACAGCTGCTTTGCCACACTGTGGTGAGATCTGCTCATTCTGAACTTCCCGGCCTCCTTAGCACTATCAGGGGAAAACTACCTACTTAAGCCTCAGTAATGACAGATGCCCCTCCCCCAACCAAGCTGGATCATCGCAGGTCAACTTCAGACTGCTGTGCTGGCAGCGAGAATTTCAAGCCACTGGTTCTTAGCTTGCTGGGCTCTGTGGCAGTGGGACCTGCTGAGCAAGACCCCTTGGCTCCCTGGCTTCAGCCCCCTTTCCAGGGGAGTGAATGGTTTTGTCTCACTGGGGTTCCAGGCACCACTCAGTTTGAAATGCAGAAATCACCCACCTTATGTGTTGGTTTTGCTGAGAGCTGTAAAGCCAAGCCTTTCCTATTCAGCCATTCTGCCAGATCCCTCAGCAATTTTTTTCCAGCTTCTAGAGCTCCCTGCATTCCTTGGCTCATGGCCCTGCACACTCTAACCTTGGCTTCTGTTGTCCATCCCCTCTTGATTTTTATGTTAAACTGTTGTATTCCACAGAAATAATCAAATTTCCTAGTCAACTACATTTTTAATCATGGCTATTCTCAGCCTTTTGTCATCCACAGATTATTATTTTACCTTGATTCTTCTCAAGAAGTGGTTTATAATCACCTACAGCCCCAAATTTGCTGCTTCTTCAAGGAAAATTCATGAAAAGGACCTTTACAAGCACTCTTGAATACAGGTTTTCCTGATAATGTTGAAGATCATACTATTGGACTAAGTAAAATATTCCAAAACTCTAATTTAAAAGCTTACGTATTCATGCAGATTGCTAACTCAACAAGTGGAACAAAAGTTAATTACATGGAACCACACTAATAGAGGATTAAATTTATATGACATATTTGTTTAGAACATTGCCAATTCTTTTTATGTTTTATTTTCCAGAGTCAAGAAAAGTTTTTCTTTCTTTGGAGCTATTTATAGCTTCAATAAATAAGTTAAAAATAATACATAAAAACATAAAACTTATAACTTAAATAGCCCCAAAGAGCAATATTTTATATTCTGTTTATTATGTATATTTTTTATTTTATATATTATATATATTTTATTTTTTTCTAAAAACACGGGATACATGTGCAGAAAGTGAATGTTTGTAACGTAGGTATATATGTGCCATAGTGGTTTGCTGCACCTATCAGCCCATCCTCTAAGTTCTCTCCTCTCACCCCCATACCCCAACAGGCCCTGGTGTGTGTTGTTCCCTTCTCTGTGTTTATGTGTTCTCATTGTTCAACTCCCACTTGTGAGTGAGAACATGTGGTATTTATTTTTCTGTTCTGTGTTTGTTTGTTGAGGATAATGGCTGCAAGCTTCATCCATGTCCCTGCAAAGAACATGATCTCATTTCTTTTTATGGCTTCATGGTATTCCAAGTTGTATATGTAGCACATTTTCCTTATTCAGTCTATCATAGATGGAAATTTGGGCTGGTCCTATGTCTTTGCTGTTGTAAATAGTGCCAGAATAAAAATATGTGGGCAAGTGTCTTTATAGTAGAATGATTTCTATTCCTTTCAGAATATACCCAGTAATGGGATTTCTGCATCAAATGGTATTTCTGGTTCTAGATCCTTGAGGAATGGCCATACTGTCCTCCACAATGTTTGAAATAATTTACATTCCTACCAACAGTATAAAAGCATTCCTATTTCTCCCCAACTTCACCGGCATCTATTCTTTCCTGACTCTTTAATAATTGCCATTCTGACTGGCATGAGATGATATCTCATTGTGGTTTTGATTTGCATTACTCTGATGGCCAGTGATGTTTAGCTTTCTTCATATGTTTCTTGGCCACATAAATGTCTTCTTTTGAGAAGTGTCTGTTCATATCCTTCACCCATTTTTTGGTGTTTTTTTTTCTTTTAAATTTCTGTATGTTCCTTGTAAATTCTGGATATGAGACCTTTGCCAGATGGATAGATTGCAAAAATTTTCTCCCATTCTGTAGGTTGCCTGTTCACTGTGATGATAGTTTCTTTTACTATGCAGAAGCTCTTTAATTAAATCCCATTTGTCAATTTGGCTTATGTTGCAATTGCTTTTGGCATTTATGTCAGAAAGTCTTTGCCCATGCCTATGTCCTGAATGGTATTGCCTAGGTTTTTCTTCTGGAGTTTTTATGGTTTTGGGTTTTACATTTCAATCTTTAATCCATCTTGAGTTAATTTTTGTATAAGGTGTAAAGAAGGGATCCAGTTTTAATTTTCTCATATGACTAGCCAGTATTCCCAGCAACATTTACTGAATAGGAGATCATTTCCCCATTGTTTGTTTTTGTCAGGTTTGTCGAAGATCAGATGGTTGTAGATACGTGATGTTATTTCTGAGGTCTCCTTTTTGCTCCATTGGTCTATACATCTGTTTTTGTACCAGTACTATGTTGTCTTGGTTACTGTAGTCTTTTAGTATAGTTCAAAGTCAGGTAGTGTGATGCCTCCAAGTTTGTTCCTTTTACTTAGGATTGTCTTTTCTATACGGGGTCTTGTTTGACTCCATATAAAATTTAAAATAGTTTTTTTTTCTGATTCTGTGAAGAAGGTCAGTTTGATGGCATTAGTATTGAATCTATAAATTACTTTGGACAGTATGGCTGTTTTCACCATATTGATTATTCCTATCCACGAGGATTGAATATTTTTCCATTTGTTTGTGTCCTCTTTTATTTCCTTGAGGCGTGGTTTGTGGTTCTTCTCAGAGAGGTTCTTCACGTCCGTTGTTAGCTGTATTCCTAGGTATTTTATTCTCTGTGTAGTGATTTTGAATGGGAGTTCATTCATGACTTGTCTCTCTGATTGTGTATTATTGGTGTGAAGGGATGATTGTGATTTTTGCAATTTATTTAGTATCCTGAGAATTTGCTGAAGTTGCTTATCAGTTTAACGAGTTTGGGGTTGACATGTGAGGGTTTTCTAAATATAAAATCATGTCATCTGCAAACAGAGAAAATTTAACTTTTTCTTTTCCTATTTGAATACCTTTTATTTCTTTCTCTTGCCTGATTGCCCTGGCCAGAACTTCCAATACTATGTTGAATAGGAGTGGCGGGAGAGGGCATCCTTGTCTTGTACCAGTTCTCAAAAGGAATGCTTCCAGCTTTTACCCATTCGGTATGATATTCCTGTGGGTTTGTCATTAATAGCTCTTATTATTTTAGATATGTTCCATCAATACCTAATTTACTGAGATTTTTTAACATGAAGAGATGTTGAATTTTATCGAAGGCCTTTTCTGCATTTGTTGAGATAGTCATGTGGTTTTTGTCTTTGGTTCTGTTTATGTGATAGATTATGTTTATTGATTTGCATATGTTGAGCCAGCCTTGCATCCCAGGGATGAAGGTGACTTCATGGTGGTGGATAAATTTTTGATGTGTTGTTGAATTCAGTTTACCAGTATTCAATTGAAGACTTTCGCACTGATGTTCATCAGGGATATTGGCCTGAAGTTTTCTTTGTTTGTCGTGTTTCTTCCCATTTTTGGTATCAGGATGATGCTGACTTCATAAAATGAGTTAAGGAGGAGTCCCTCCTTTTCAATTGTTTGGAATCATTTCAGAAAAATAATGGTACTAGTTCCTCTCTGTATTTCTGGTAGAATTCAGCTGTCATTCTGTCTGGTCTTGGGCTTTTTTTTTTTTTTTTTGGTTGGTAGGCTATTAATTACTGTCTCAATTTCAGAACTTGTTATTGGTCTACTCAGGGATTTGACTTCTTCCTGGTTTAGTCTTGAGAGGGTGTATGTATCCAGGAATTTATCCATTTCTTCTAGATTTTCTAGTTTTTTTGTGTAAAAGTGTTTATAGTATTCTCTTATGGTAGATTGTATTTTTGTAGGGTCAGTGGTGATCTCTCCTTTGTCATTTTTTATTGTGTCTATTTGACTCTTCTCTCTTTTCTTCTTAATAGTCTAGCTAGCAGTCTATTTATTTTGTTAAATTTTTCAAAAACCCGGCTCCTGGATTCACTGATTTTTTGGAGGGTTTTTTGTGTCTCTATCTCCTTCAGTTCTGCTCTGAGCTTAGTTATTTTTTGTCTTCTGCTAGCTTTTGGATTAGTTTGTTCTTGCCCCTCTAGCTCTTTTAACTGTGATGTTTGGGTGTCAATTTGAAGTATTTCAAGCTTTCTGATGTGGGCATATAGTGCTGTAAATTTCCCTCTACACACTGCTTTATCTGTGTCCCAGGGATTCTGGTACATTGTCTTTTTGTTTTCTTTGGTTTCAAAGAAATTCTTCATTTCTGCCTTAATTTCATCATTTACCCAGGAGTCATTCAGGAGCAGGTTGTTCAATTTCCATGTAATTGTGTGGTTTTGAGTGAGTTTCTTAATCCTGATTTTTAATTTAATTGCACTGTGGTCTGAGAGACTGTTTGTTATTACTTCAGTATTTTTCCATTTGCTGAGGAGTGTTTTTCTCCCAATTATGTGGTTGACTTTAGAATAAGTGCCACGTAGCACTGAGAAGAATGTATATTCTGTTGATTTTGGGTAGAGAGTTCTGTAGATGTTTACTAGGTCAAACTTGATCCAGAGCTGAGTTCAACTCCTGAATATCCTTGTCAATTTTCTGTCTTATAGATGTGTCTAATACTGACAGTTGGGTGTTAAAGTCTCCCACTATTATTGTGTGGGAGTCTAAATCTATTTGTAGGTCTCTAAAAACTTGTTTTATAAATCTGAGTCCTCCTGTATTGGGTGCATGTATATTTAGAATAGTTAGCTCTTCTTGATGAATTGTTCTCTTTACTATTATGTAATGCCATTCTTTGTCTTTTTTGATCTTTGTTGGTTTAAAGTCTGCTTTGTCAGAGGCTAAAATTGCAAGCCCTGTTCTTTTGTTTGTTTCATTGTTTTTGTTTTTGTTTTTTTTTTTTTTTGTTGTTGTTGTTGGTTTGCTTTCCATTTGCTTGGTAAATTTTTCTTCATCCCTATTCTGAACCCATGTGCATCTTTGCACATGAGAAGGGTTTCCTGAATACAGCACACTGATTGGTCTTGACTCTTTATCCAATTTGCTAGTCTTTGTGTTTTAATTGGGGCATTTAGCCCATTTACATTTAAGGTTAGTATTGTTATGTGTGAATTTGATACTGTCATGATGCTGCTATTTGGTTATTTTGCACACCAGTTGATGCAGTTTCTTCATTGTTTCATTGTTATCTATATTTTGGTGTGTTTTTGCAGTGGCTGCTCCTGGATTTTCCTTTCCATATCTAGTGCTTCTTGCAGGAGCTCTTATGAGGCAGGCCTGGTGGTAAAGGTATCCCTCAGCATTTGCTTTTCTGGAAAGAATTTTATTTCTTCTTCAATTAGGAAGTTTAATTTGGCTGGATATAAAATTATTGGTTGAAAAAAAATTTAATAATATTGAATATTGACCCCGAATCTCTTTTGGCTTATAGTGTTGCTCCTGAGAGGTCCACTGTTAGTCTAATCATCTTCCCTATGTAGGTGACCTGGCCTTTCTCTCTGGCTGCCCTCACAATTTTCCCTTCATTTTGACCTTAGAGAATCTGATGATTATGTGTCCTTTGTATATGGAATCTCAGATTTGACTTTTAAAAGCTTTGAGTGTGGGAAGCCAAGCCAAACATTTGCCACCAGACTGTCTATAGCACCTGTGTAAATTGGGTGAATTGCTCTCTTTTCAAGTCCCAAAATATATTGGAATTCATAAGACTGTCAAAAAAAGGACATTTTTTACTTAACACAAGGCCAGAAACCTTGTAAGGGAACCATGTAGGCAAAGTATTAGGCCAGTTTTTCCAAAGAGCCTTTTATCAGCTCTATAAAGTAAACCTTAATTCTTCAAAACAGTCTGGTCATATCTTAAAACATGCCTTTCCAATCAAAGTCTTTGTAAAATAACTGGTGAAAAAAGAAAAAGACTAGAGACTACGAGCCAAGATGGCCGAATAGGAACAGCTCTGGTCTACAGCTCCCAGCATGAGTGACGCAGAAGATGGGTGATTTCTGCATTTCCATCTGAGGAACAGTTCCTCACAAGCAATGGAACAAAGCTGGATGGAGAATGACTTTGACGAGTTGAGAGAAGAAGGCTTCAGATGATCAAACTACCCTGAGCTACAGGAGGAAATTCAAACCAAAGGTAAAGAAGTTAAAAACTTTGAAAAAAATTTAGATGAATGTATAACTGGAATAAACAATACAGAGAAGTGCTGAAAGGAGCTGATGGAGCTGACAGGCAAGGCTCAAGAACTACGTGAAGAATGCAGAAGCCTCAGGAGTTGATGCGATCAACTGGAAGAAAGGGCATCAATGATGGAAGATGAAATGAATGAAATGAAGCAAGAAGGGAAGTTTAGAGAAAAAAAGGATAAAAAGAAACGAATAAAGCCTCCAAGAAATAAGGGACTATGTGAAAAGACCAAGTCTACGTCTGATTGGTGTACCTGAAAGTGATGGGGAGAATGAAACCAAGTTGGAAAACGCTCTGCAGGATATTATCCAGGAGAACTCCCCCAATCTAGCAAGGCAGGCCAACATTCAGATTCAGGAAATACAGAGAATGCCACAAAGATACTCCTCAAGAAGAGCAACTCCAAGACATAATTGTCAGATTCACCAAAGTTGAAATGAAGGAAAAAATGTTAAGGGCAGCCAGAGAGAAAGGTCGGATTACCCAAAAAGGGAAGCCCATCAGACTAACAGCAAATCTCTCAGCAGAAACTCTACAAGCCAGAAGAGAGTGCAGGCCAATATTCAACATTCTTAAAGAAAAGAATTTTCAACCCAGAATTTCATGTCCAGCCAAACTAAGCTTCATAAGTGAAGGAGAAATAAAATACTTTACAGACAAGCAAATGTTGACAGATTTTGTCACCACCAGGCCTACCCTAAAAGAGCTCCTGAAGGAAGCACTAAACATCGAAAGGAACAACCGGTACCAGCCACTGCAAAAAAAAAAAAAAATGCCAAATTGTAAAGACAATCTAGGCTAGGAAGAAACTGCATCAACTAACGAGGAAAATAACCAGATAACATCATAATGACAGGATCAAATTCACACATAACAATATTAACTTTAAATGTAAATGGACTAAATGATTCAATTAAAAGACACAGACTGGCAAATTGGATAAAGATACAAGACCCATCAGTGTGCTGTATTCAGGAGACCCATCTCACGTGCAGAGACACACATAGGCTCAAAATAAAGGGAAGGAGGAAGATCTACCAAGCTAATGGAAAACAAAAAAAAGGCAGGGGTTGCAATCCTAGTCTCTGATAAAACAGACTTTGAACCAGCAAAGATCAAAAGAGACAAAGAAGGCCATTACATAATGGTAAAGGGATCAAGTCAACAAGAAAAGCTAACTATCCTAAGTATATATGCACCCAATACAGGAGCACCCAGATTCATAAAGCAAGTCCTGAGTGAACTATAAAGAGACTTAGACTCCCACACAATAATAATGGGAGACTTTAACACCCCACTGTCAACATTAGACAGATCAATGAGACAGCAAGCTAACAAGGATATCCAGGAATTGAACTCAGCTCTGCACCAAGTGGACCTAATAGACATCTACAGAACTCTCCACCCCAAATCAACAGAATATACATTCTTTTCAGCACCACACCACACCTATTCCAAAATTGACCACATAGTTGGAAGTAAAGCTCTCCTCAGCAAATGTAAAAGAACACAAATTATAACAAACTGTCTCTCAGACCACAGTGCAATCAAACTAGAACTCAGGTTTAAGAAACTCACTCAAAACTGCGCAACTACATGGAAACTGAACAACCTGTTCCTGAATGACTACTGCATAAATAACAAATTAAGGCAGAAATAAAGATGTTCTTTGAAACCAATGAGAACAAAGACACAACATACCAGAATCTCTGGGACACATTCAAAGCAGTGTGTAGAGGGAAATTTATAGCACTAAATGCCCACAAGAGAAAGCAGGAAAGATCCAAAATTGACACCCTAACATCACAATTAAAAGAACTAGAAAAGCAAGAGCAAACACATTCAAAAGCTAGCAGAAGGCAAGAAATAACTAAAATCAGAGCAGAACAGAAGGAAATAGAGACATAAAAAACCCTTCAAAAATTAATGAATCCAGGAGCTGGTTTTTTGAAGGGATCAACAAAATTGATAGACCGCTAGCAAGACTAATAAAGAAGAAAAGAGAGAAGAATCAAATAGATGCAATAAAAAATGATAAAGGGGATATCACCACCGATCCCACAGAAATACAAACTACCAACAGAGAATAATACAAACACCTCTACGCAAATAAACTAGAAAATCTAGAAGAAATGGATAAATTCCTCAACACATACACCCTCCCAAGTCTAAACCAAGAAGAAGTTGAATCTCTGAATAGACCAATAACAGGCTATGAAATTGTGGCAATAACCAATAGCTAACCAACCAAAAAGATTCCAGGACCAGATGGATTCACAGCCAAATTCAACCCAAGGTACAAGGAGGAATTGGTACCATTCCTGCTGAAACTATTCCAATCAATAGAAAAAGAGGGAATCTTCCCTAACTCATTTTATGAGGCCAGCATCATCCTGATACCAAAGCTGGACAGAGACAGAACCAAAAAAGACAATTTTAGACCAATATCCTTGAGGAACAACAATGCAAAAATCCTCAATAAAATAATGGCAAACCGAATCCAGGAGCACATCAAAAAGCTTATCCACCATGATCAAGTGGGCTTCATCCCTGGGATGCAAGGCTGGTTCAATATATGCAAATCAATAAATGTAATCCAGCATATAAACAGAACCAAAGACAAAAACCACATGATTATCTCAATAGATGCAGAAAAGGCCTTTGACAAAATTCAACAACCCTTCATGCTAAAAACTTTCAATAAATTAGGTATTGATGGGACATACCTCAAAATAATAAGAGCTATCTATGACAAACCCACAGCCAATATCATACTGAATGGGCAAAAACTGGAAGCACTCCCTTTGAAATCGGGCACAAGACAGGGATGCCCTCTCTCACCACTCCTATTCAACATAGTGTTGGAAGTTCTGGCCAGGGCAATCAGGCAGGAGAAGGAAATAAAGGGTATTCACTTAGGAAAAGAGGAAGTCAAATTGTCCCTGTTTGCAGATGACATGATTGGATATCTAGAAAATCCCATTGTCTCAGCCCAAAATCTCCTCAAGCTGATAGGCAACTTCAGCAAAGACTCAGGATACAAAATCAATGTACAAAAATCACAAGCATTCTTATACACCAATAACAGACAAACAGAGAGCCAAATCATGAGTGAACTCCCATTCACAATTGCTTCAAAGAAAATAAAATACCTAGGAATCCAACTTACAAGGGACTTGAAGGACCTCTTCAAGGAGAACTACAAACCACTGCTCAATGAAATAAAAGAGGATACAAAAAATGGAAGAATATTCCATGCTCATGGGTAAGAAGAATCAATATTGTGAAAATGGCCATACTGCCCAAGGTAATTTATAGATTCAATGCCATCCCCATTAAGCTACCAATGTCTTTCTTCACAGAATTGGAAAAAACTACTTTCAAGTTCATATGGAACCAAAAAAGAGCCCACATCACCAAGTCAATCCTAAGCCAAAAGAACAAAGCTGGAGGCATCATGCTACCTGACTTCAAACTACACTACAAGGCTACAGTAACCAAAACAGCATGGTACTGGTACAAAAACAGAGATACAGACCAATGGAACAGAACAGAGCCCTCAGAAATAATGCTGCATATCTACAACTATCTGATCTTTGACAAACCTGACAAAAACAAGCAATGGGGAAAGGATTCCCTGTTTAATAAATGGTGCTGGGAAAACTGGCTAGACATATGTAGAAAGCTGAAACTGGATCACTTCCTTACACCTTATGCAAAAATCAATTCAAGATGGATTAAAGACTTAAATGTTAAAACCATAAAAACCCTAGAAGAAAACCTAGGCAATACCATTCAGGACATAGGCATGGGCAAGGACTTCATGTCTAAAACACCAAAAGCAATGGCAACAAAAGCCAAAATTGACAAGTGGGATCTAATTAAACTAAAGAGCTTCTGCACAGCAAAAGAAACTATCATCAGAGTGAACAGGCAACCTACAAAATGGGAGAAAATTTTTGCAACCTACTCATCTGACAAAGGGCTAATATCCAGAATCTACAATGAACTCAAACAAATTTACAAGAAAAATCAAACAACCCCATCAAAAAGTGGGCAAAGGACATGAACAGACACTTCTCAAAAGAAGACATTTATGCAGCCAAAAAACACATGAAAAAATGCTCACCATCACTGGCCATCAGAGAAATGCAAATCAAAACCACAATGAGATACCATCTCACACCAGTTAGAATGGTGTTCATTAAAAAGTCAGGAAATAACAGGTGCTAGAGAGGATGTGGAGAAATAGGAACACTTTTTCACTGTTGGTGGGACTCTGAACTAGTTCAACCATTGTGGAAGTCAGTGTGGTGATTCCTCAGGGATCTAGAACTAGAAATACCATTTGACCCAGCCATCCCATTACTGGGTATATACCCAAAGGATTATAAATCGTGCTGCTATAAAGACACATGCACACGTATGTTTATTGCGGCACTATTCACAATAGCAAAGACTTGGAACCAACCTAAATGTCCAACAATGATAGACTGGATTAAGAAAATGTGGCACATATACACCATGGAATACTATGCAGCCATAAAAAATGATGAGTTCATGTGCTTTGTAGGGACATGGATGAAACTGGAAACCATCATTCTCAGCAAACTATCACAAGGACAAAAAAGCAAACACTGCATGTTCTCTCTCGTAGGTGGGAATTGAACAATGAGAACACATGGACACAGGAAGGGGAACATCAGACACTGGGGACTGTTGTGGGGTTGGGGGAGGGGGGAGGGATAGCATTAGGAGATATACCTAATGCTAAATGACGAGTTAATGGGTGCAGCACACCAACATGGCACATGTATACATATGTAACAAACTCGCACATTGTGTACATGTACCCTAAAACTTTAAGTATAATAATAATAAAATAAAAAAATAATAAAAATTAAAAAAATAAAAAATAAAAATATAAGTATAATCTGTAAGATTCACCTAAAAAAAAAACTTCACAATATAAATAGTCTTCTCATTTTAAGAAATTGTTAGAGAGACAGAATAATTTTGCCAAAATATTTGCTCATACTTTCAAGATCATGTTTTCCTTCATGTAGCATATACAAATTTCAAGTGAAAAGGAATTAAAGTGTCTTATTTAATATCATCTACAAATTTAGAGAACTTACTTTGTCCACCATTATATTCCATAGAAAAGAAAAATAAGTATTAGATATATTTATTAAAAGTATCAATATTATATCAAAATAATGTTCACAAAATATCTGAGTTGGATACACAAATACATTAACTGTTCAGATATATCCAGAAAAATAAGCAAAGTGTTTATTGTTATTCAACATGTAACCAAAACATTAGAAGTAATCTAATGTATAACCAAAACACCAGTAAGCATCATTTCACAAATTGTCTTGAAGGTCAAGAACTTGAATTAAAGAACAACAAAAAAAGAAGGAATGAAAAGAGTCTATAGTGATATGTGTCAGGGCTAAACATTATACTGTAGTATGAGAACAAAGGTTTTAAAATGATTCAGATTTGTGCAAATCTCCACAGATAAAACTATATATATACTATATATAAACTATATATATAAACTATATATATATAAACTATATATATAAACTATATATATAAACTATATATATATAAACTATATATATAAACTATATATATAAACTATATATATATAAACTATATATATATAAACTATATATATATAAACTATATATATATAAACTATATATATATAAACTATATATATATAAACTATATATATATAAACTATATATATAAACTATATATATAAACTATATATAAACTATATATATAAACTATATATATACACACACACACACATTGAGGAAAATGAAGAAATAGCTAAATGGAGGGAATATACTATGTTCATAGATTAGAAGACTCAATACTGAATCTCAAATAAAATTCAAGTAGTTTTGTCATTGAAATGAATAAGTTTATTCTAATCGTATATGAAAAAAGAAAGAGTCAATAATGGTCAAGAAGATCTTATAGAAGAGAGTTAGGGAATTTATACTACCAAATATCAAAATTTTACTAACGTATTTAAAACTGTGTGGTACTGGTGCAAGGACAGAGAACAAAATAGAGAGCAATGAAGCAGACTTAAACATATATTGACACTTGATTTATAATAGAGTGATCATGGCAGAACAATCAGGCCACAGTAGTGTTTTTTAATAAATGGGGCTGGGTAAGCCAGATATCTAAATGGTGAAAAAACGGTGTAACAGCCTACCTCATGCCATTTATGAAAATTAATTCCAGGTGGATTATGAATAGAAATGAAAAAAGAAAAGTTTCTAAAAAGCAGCGACAGGAAAATATCTGTATAGTCTTTGGATTAGCAACATTGTTTTTAAAGGCACAAAAAGCACAAACCAAAAAAAAAAAAAAAACACTGTAAAACTGGAGTACATTAAAATTAAAACTTTTTATCAAAAGCCACCATTTTACAAGAGTAAAAGGAGTAGGATAGAGGGAGGGAACAATATGGCCGAGTAGAAACACCTCTGGTCTGCAGCTCCTAGCTAGATGATCGTAAACAGTGAATGAATTCTGCATTTCCAGCTGTGGTAGCCAGATCCTCTCATTGGGACTGACTAGGCAGTTGGTGCGACCCATAAAGAGCAAGGAAAAGCAGGGTGGGGTGATGGTTCACCTAGGAACTGCACGGGGCAAAGGGACTTCCCTCCCTTAGCCAAGGGAGGCGGGGGAGGGATTGTGCTACTCGCCCGAAGAACGCCTTTCCCACAGATTTTTGCAACCCGCAGATCAGGATATTCTCCTGTGAGCCCACAGCACCAAGGCCTTGGGTCCCAAGCACAAAGCTGTGCAGACCCATGGCAGCTGCAGGGGCTGGCAGCTGCTCGGGTAGGCACTGAGCTGCAGGAGTTTTTGCATACCCCAGTGGCTCCTGGAACTCCAGTGAGGCAGGAGATCCATTCACTCCCGCGGAAAGGGAGCTGAAGCCAGGGAGCCAAGCAGCCTCTCTCA
This sequence comes from Homo sapiens, assembly GCF_000001405.40. NCBI lineage: Eukaryota > Metazoa > Chordata > Mammalia > Primates > Hominidae > Homo > Homo sapiens. Next base: position 57,607,715 of record NC_000023.11, on the reverse strand, counting down.
GTGTGTCCCAATAACACAGAACCCCGCAAACGAAGATCCATTAGCTTGGAATCCTCGCTGCCCAGCACAGCAGGCTGGAGTCTGCCTAAGATGACCAAGTTCCCGAGGGGAGGGGCGACCACCATTACTGTGGCTCTAGTCAGCAGTTTTTTCCCTGCCAGTGCTAGGAAGACTGGGCAGAATTCCCCACAGCGCAGCACAGCTGCTGTGGCAGATCATGGCCAGACTGTTTCTTTAAGTGGGACCCAGATGTATCCCTCCTCACTGGGCAGGGCCACCCAGCAGGAATTTTAGCAACTCCAGC